>NC_000001.11:122503247-122829273 GCF_000001405.40 Homo sapiens | reverse complement strand
TTGGCCTCAAAGCGCTTGAAATCTCCACTTGCAAATTCCACACAAAGAGTGTTTCAAATCTGCTCTGTGTAAATGAAAGTTCAACTCTGTGAGTTGAACACACACAACACAAGGAAGTTACTGGGAATTCTTCTGTCTAGCATAGTATGAAGAAATCCCGTTTCCAACGAAGGCCTCAATGAGGACTGAATATCCACTTGCAGAGTATACAAACAGAGTGTTTCCTAACTGCTCTATGAAAAGAAAGGTTAAACTCTGTGAGTTGAACGCACACATCACAAAGAAGATTCTGAGAATCATTCTGTCTAGTTTTTATTCGAAGATATTTCCTTTTCTACCATTGACCTCAAAGCGGCTGAAATCTCCACTTGCAAATTACACAAAAACAGTGTTTCAAGTCTACTCTGTGTAAAGCATCGTTCAACTCTGTGAGTTGAAAACACACAACACAAGGAAGTTTCTCAGAATTCTTCTGTCTAGCAGAATATGAAGAAATCCCGTTTCCAACGAAGGCCACAAGATGTCAGAATATCCACTTACAGACTTTACAAACAGAGTGTTTCCTAACTGCTCTATGAACAGAAAGGTTAAACTCTGTGAGTTGAACGAACACATCACAACGCAGTTTGCGGGAATGATTCTGTCTAGTTTTGAAACGAAGATATTTCCTTTTCTGCCGTTGACCTTAAAGAGCTTGAAAACTACACTTGCAAATTGCACAAATAGAGTGTTTCAAATCTGCTCTGTCTAAGGGAACGTTCAACTCTGTGAGTTGAATACACACAACACAAGGAAGTTACTGAGAATTCTTCTGTCTAGCCTTACATGCAAAAAACCCGTTTCCAACGAAGGCCTCTAAGTGGTCAAAATATCCACGTGCAGACTTTACAAACAGAGTGTTTCCAAACCGCTGAATGAAAAGAAAAGTTAAACTCTGAGAGTTGAACGCACACATCACGCAGCAGTTTCTGAGAATGATTCTGTCTAGTTTTTATACGAAGATATTTCCTTTTCTGCCTTTGGCCTCAAAGCGCTTGACATCTCCACTTGCAAATTCCACAAAAAGAGTGTTTCAAATCTGCTCTGTGTAAATGAAAGTTCAACTCTGTGAGTTGAACACACACAACACAAGGAAGTTACTGGGAATTCTTCTGTCTAGCAGAATATGAGGAAATCCCGTTTCCAACGAAGGTCTCAAAGAGGTCTGAATATCCACTTGCAGACTTTACAAACAGAGTGTTTCCTAACTGCTCTATGAACAGAAAGGTTAAACTCTGTGAGTTGAACGCACACATCACAAAGGAGTTTCTGAGAATCATTCTGTCTAGTTTTTATACGAAGATATTTCCTTTTCTACCATTGACCTCAACGCAGCTGAAATCTCCGCTTGCAAATTCCAGAAAAAGAGTGTTTCAAGTCTGCTCTGTGTAAAGGATCGTTCAACTCTGTGAGTTGAATACACACAACACAAGGAAGTTACTGAGAATTCTTCTGTCTAGCCTTATAAGAAAAAAACCCGTTTCCAACGAAGGCCTCAAAGAGGTCTGAATATCCACTTGCAGACTTTACAAACAGAGTGTTTCCTAACTGCTCTATGAAAAGAAAGGTTAAACTCTGTGAGTTGAACGCACACATCACAAAGGAGTTTCTGAGAATCATTCTGTCTAGTCTTTATACGAAGATATTTCCTTTTCTACCATTGACCTCAAAGCGGCTGAAATCTCCACTTGCAAATTCCACAAAAAGAGTGTTTCAAGTCTGCTATGTGTAAAGCATCGTTCAACTCTGTGAGTTGAATACACACAACACAAGGAAGTTACTGAGAATTCTTCTGTCTAGCATAATATGAAGAAATCCCGTTTCCAACGAAGGCCTCAAAGACGTCTGAATATCCACTTGCAGACTTTACAAACAGAGTGTTTCCTAACTGCTCTATGAAAAGAAAAGTTAAACTCTGTGAGTTGAACGCACACATCACAAAGGAGTTTCTGAGAATCATTCTGTCTAGTTTCTATAGGAAGATATTTCCTATTCTACCATTGACCTCAAAGCGGCTGAAATCTCCACTTGCAAATTCCACAAAAAGAGTGCTTCAAGTCTGCTCTCTGTAAAGGATCGTTCAACTCTGACAGTTGAATACACACAACACAAGGAAGTTACTGAGAATTATTCTGTCTAGCCTTATATGAAAAAAACCCGTTTCCAACGAAGGCCTCAAAGAGGTCTGAATATCCACTTGCAGACTTTACAAAGAGAGTGTTTCCTAACTGCTCTAAGAAAAGAAAGGTTAAACTCTGTGAGTTGAACACACACATCACAAAGGAGTTTGTGAGAATCATTCTGTCTAGTTTTTCTACGAAGATATTACCTTTTCTACTATTGACCTCAAAGCGGCTGAAATCTCCACTTGCAAATTCCACAAAAAGAGTGTTTCAAGTCTGCTCTGTGTAAAGGATCGTTCAACTCTGTGAGTTGAATACACACAACACAAGGAAGTTACTGAGAATTCTTCTGTCTAGCAGAATATGAAGAAATCCCGTTTCCAACGAAGGCCACAAAGAGGTCTGAATATCCACTTGCAGACTTTACAAACAGAGTGTTTCCTAACTGCTCTATGAAAAGAAAGGTTAAACTCTGTGAGTTGAACGCACACATCACAAAGGAGTTTCTGAGAATCGTTCTGTCTAGTTTTGAAACGAAGATATTTCCTTTTCTGCCATTGACCTCAAAGCGCTTGAAATCTCCACTTGCCAATTGCACAAAAAGAGTGTTTCAAATCTGCTCTGTCTAAGGGAACGTTCAACTCTGTGAGTTGAATGTACACAACACAAGGAAGTTACTGGGAATTCTTCTGTCTAGCCTTACATGAAAAAAACCCGTTTCCAACGAAGGCCTCTAAGTGGTCAAAATATCCACGTGCAGACTTTACAAACAGAGTGTTTCCAAACTGCTGAATGAAAAGCAAAGTTAAACTCTGAGAGTTGAACTCACACATCGCAGAGCAGTTTCTGAGAATGATTCTGTCTAGTTTTTATACGAACATATTTCCTTTTCTGCCTTTGGCCCCAAAGCGCTTGAAATCTCCACTTGCAAATTCCACAAAAACAGTGTTTCAAATCTGCTCTCTCTAAATGAAAGTTCAACTCTGTCAGTTGAATACACACAACACAAGGAAGTTACTGAGAATTCTTCTGTCTAGCATAATATGAAGAAATCCCGTTTCCAACGAAGGCCTCAAAGGGGTCTGAATATCCACTTGCAGACTTTACAAACAGAGTGTTTACTAACTGCTCTATGAAAAGAAAGGTTAAACTCTGTGAGTAGAACACACACATCACAAAGGAGTTTCTGAGAATCATTCTTTCTAGTTTTTCTACGAAGATATTTCCTTTTCTACTATTGACCTCAAAGCGGCTGAAATCTCCACTTGCAAATTCCACAAAAAGAGTGTTTAAAGTCTGCTCTGTGTAAAGGATCGTTCAACTCTGTGAGTTGAATACACACAACACAAGGAAGTTACTGAGAATTCTTCTGTCTAGCAGAATATGAAGAAATCCCGTTTCCAACGAAGGCCACAAGATGTCAGAATATCCACTTACAGAATTTACCAACAGAGTGTTTCCTAACTGCTCTATGAAAAGAAAGGTGAGTTGGTTTCCTAACTGCTGTGTGAGTTGAACGAACACATCACAACGCAGTTTGTGGGAATGATTCTGTCTAGTTTTGAAACGAAGATATTTCCTTTTCTGCCATTGACCTGAAAGCGCTTGAAATCTACACTTGCAAATTGCACAAATAGAGTGTTTCAAATCTGCTCTGTCTAAGGGAACGTTCAACTCTGTGAGTTGAATGCACACAACACAAGGAAGTTACTGGGAATTCTTCTGTCTAGCCTTACATGAAAAAAACCCGTTTCCAACGAAGGCCTCTAAGTGGTCAAAATATCTACGTGCAGACTTTACAGAGTGTTTCCAAACTGCTGAATGAAAAGAAAAGTTAAACTCTGAGAGTTGTACGCACACATCACAGAGCAGTTTCTGAGAATGATTCTGTCTAGTTTTTATACGAAGATATTTCCTTTTCTGCCTTTGGCCCCAAAGCGCTTGAAATCTTCACTTGCAAATTCCACAAAAACAGTGTTTCAAATCTGCTCTCTCTAAATGAAAGTTCAACTCTGTCATTTGAATACACACAACACAAGGAAGTTACTGAGAATTCTTCTGTCTAGCAGAATAGGAAGAAATCCCGTTTCCAACGAAGGCCTCAAAGAGGTCTGAATATCCACTTGCAGACTTTACAAACAGAGTGCTTCCTAACTGCTCTATGAAAAGAAAGGTTAAACTCTGTGAGTTGAACGCACACATCACAAAGGAGTTTCTGAGAATCGTTCTGTCTAGTTTCTATAGGAAGATATTTCCTATTCTACCGTTGAACTCAAAGCGGCTGAATTCTCCACTTGCAAATTCCACAACAAGAGTGTTTCAAGTCTGTTCTGCGTAAAGGATCATTCAACTCTGTGAGTTGAATACACACAACACAAGGAAGTTACTGAGAATTCTTCTGTCTAGCAGAATATGAAGAAATCCCGTTTCCAACGAAGGCCTCAAGGAGGTCTGAATATCCACTTGCAGACTTTACAAACAGAGTGTTTCCTAACTGCTCTATGAAAAGAAAGGTTAAACTCTTTGAGTTGAACGCACACATCACAACGCAGTTTGTGGGAATGATTTCTGTCAAGTTTTGAAACGAAGATATTTCCTTTTCTGCCATTGACCTTAAAGCGCTTGAAATCTACACTTGCAAACTGCACAAATAGAGTGTTTCAAATCTGCTCTGTCTAAGGGAACGTTCAACTCTGTGAGTTGAATGCACACAACACAAGGAAGTTACTGGGAATTCTTCTGTCTAGCCTTACATGAAAAAAACCCGTTTCCAACGAATGCCTCTAAGTGGTCAAATTATCCACGTGCAGACATTACAAACAGAGTGTTTCCAAACTGCTGAATGAAAAGAAAAGTTAAACTCTGAGAGTTGAACGCACACATCGCAGAGCAGTTTCTGAGAATGATTCTGTCTAGTTTTTATACGAAGATATTTCCTTTTCTGCCTTTGGCCTCAAAGCTCTTGAAATCTCCACTTGCAAATTCCACAAAAAGAGTGTTTCAAATCTGCTCTGGGTAAATGAAAGTTCAACTCTGTGAGTTGAACACACACAACACAAGGAAGTTACTGGGAATTCTTGTGTCTAGCATAATATGAAGAAATCCCGTTTCCAACGAAGGCCTCAAAGAGGTCTGAATATCCACTTGCAGACTTTACAAACAGAGTGTTTCCTAACTGCTCTATGAAAAGAAAGGTTAAACTCCGTGAGTTGAACGCACACATCACAAAGGAGTTTCTGAGAATTATTCTGTCTAGTTTTTATACGAAGATATTTCCTTTTCTACCATTGACCTCAAAGCGGCTGAAATCTCCACTTGCCAATTCCACAAAAAGAGTGTTTCAAGTCTACTCTGTGTAAAGGTTCGTTCAACTCTGTGAGTTGAAAACACACAACAGAAGGAAGTTTCTGAGAATTCTTCTTTCTAGCAGAATATGAAGAAATCCCGTTTCCAACAAAAGCCTCAAGGATGTCTGAATATCCACTTGCAGACTTTACAAACAGAGTGTTTCCTAACTGCTCTATGAAAAGAAAGGTTAAACTCTGTGAGTTGAACGCACACATCACAAAGGAGTTTCTCAAAATCATTCTGTCTAGTTTCTATAGGAAGATATTTCCTATTCTACCATTGACCTCAAAGCGGCTGAAATCTCCAGTTGCAAATTCCACAAAAAGAATGTTTCAAGTCTGCTCTGTGTAAAGCATCGTTCAACTCTGTGAGTTGAATACACACAACACAAGGAAGTTACTGAGAATTCTTCTGTCTAGCATAATATGAAGAAATCCCGTTTCCAACGAAGGCCTCAAAGAGGTCTGAATATCCACTTGCAGACTTTACAAACAGAGTGTTTCCTAACTGCCCTATGAAAAGAAAAGTTAAACTTTGTGAGTTGAACGCACACATCACAAAGGAGTTTATGAGAATCATTCTGTCTAGTTTTGAAACGAAGATATTTCCTTTTCTGCCATTGACCTTAAAGCGCTTGAAATCTCCATTTGCCAATTGCTCAAAAAGAGTGTTTCAAATCTGCTCTGTCTAAGGGAACGTTCAACTCTGTGAGTTGAATGTACACAACACAAGGAAGTTACTGGGAATTCTTCTGTCTAGCCTTACAGGAAAAAAACCCGTTTCCAACGAAGGCCTCTAAGTGGTGAAAATATCCACGTGCAGACTTCACAAACAGAGTGTTTCCAAACTGCTGAAGGAAAAGAAAAGTTAAACTCTGAGAGTTGAACACACACATCGCAGAGCAGTTTCTGAGAATGATTCTGTCTAGTTTTTATACGAACATATTTCCTTTTCTGCCTTTGGCCTCAAAGCGCTTGAAATCTCCACTTGCAAATTCCACAAAAAGAGTGTTTCAAATCTGCTCTGTCTAAATGAAAGTTCAACTCTGTCAGTTGAATACACACAACACAAGGAAGTTACTGAAAATTCTTCTGTCTAGCAGAATATGAAGAAATCCCGTTTCCAACGAAGGTCTCAAGGAGGTGTGAATATCCACTTGCAGACTTTACAAACAGAGTGTTTCCTAACGGCTCTATGAACAGAAATGTTAAACTCTGTGAGTTGAACGCACACATCACAAAAGAGTTTCTGAGAATCATTCTGTCTAGTTTTTCTACGAAGATATTTCCTTTTCTACTATTGACCTCAAAGCGGCTGAAATCTCCACTTGCAAATTCCACAAAAAGAGTGTTTCAAGTCTGCTCTGTGTAAAGGATCATTCAACTCTGTGAGTTGAATAAACACAACACAAGGAAGTTACTGAGAATTCTTCTGTCTAGCAGAATATGAAGAAATCCCGTTTCCAACGAAGGCCACAAGATGTGAGAATATCCACTTACAGAATTTTCAAACAGACTGTTTCCTAACTGCTCTATGAAAAGAAAGGTTAAACTCTGTGAGTTGAACGAACACATCACAACGCAGTTTGTGGGAATGATTCTGTCTAGTTTTGAAACGAAGATATTTCCTTTTCTGCCATTGACCTCAACGCGCTTGAAATCTCCACTTGCCAATTGCACAAAAAGAGTGTTTCAAATCTGCTCTGTCTAAGGGAACGTTCAACTCTGTGAGTTGAATGTACACAACACAAGGGAAGTTACTGGGAATTCTTCTGTCTAGCCTTACAGGAAAGAAACCCGTTTCCAACGAAGGCCTCTAAGTGGTCAAAATATCCACGTGCAGACTTTACAAACAGAGTGTTTCCAAACTGCTGAATGAAAAGAAAAGTTAAACTCTGAGAGTTGAACGCACACATCGCAGAGCCAGTTTCTGAGAATGATTCTGTCTAGTTTTTATACGAAGATATTTCCTTTTCTGCCTTTGGCCCCAAAGCGCTTGAAATCTCCACTTGCAAATTCCACAAAAACAGTGTTTCAAATCTGCTCTCTCCAAATGAAAGTTCAACTCTGTCAGTTGAATACACACAACACAAGGGAAGTTACTGAGAATTCTTCTGTCTAGCCTTACATGAAAAAAAAACCGTTTCCAACGAAGGCCTCAAGGAAGTCCAAATATCCACGTGCAGACTTTACAAACAGAGTGTTTCCTAACTGCTCTATGAAAAGAAAGGTTAAACTCTGTGAGTTGAACGCACACATCACAAAGGAGTTTCTGAGAATCATTCTGTCTAGTTTCTATAGGAAGATATTTCCTATTCTACCATTGACCTCAAAGCGGCTGAAATCTCCACTTGCAAATTCCACAAAAAGAGTGTTTCAAGTCTGCTCTTTGTAAAGGATCGTTCAAATCTGTGAGTTGAATACACGCAACACAAGGAAGTTACTGAGAATTCTTCTGTCTAGCATAATATGAAGAAATCACGTTTCCAACGAAGGCCTCAAGGAGGTCTGAATATCTACTTGCAGACTTTACAAACAGAGTGTTTCCTAACTGCTCTATGAAAAGAAAGGTTAAACTCTGTGAGTTGAACGCACACATCACAAAGGAGTTTCTGAGAATCATTCTGTCTAGTTTTGAAACGAAGATATTTCCTTTTCTGCCATTGACCTTAAAGCGCTTGAAATCTCCACTTGCCAATTGCACAAAAAGAGTGTTTCAAATCTGCTCTGTCTAAGGGAACGTTCAACTCTGTGAGTTGAATATACACAACACAAGGAAGTTACTGGGAATTCTTCTGTCTAGCCTTACATGAAAAAAACCCGTTTCCAAAGAAGGCCTCTAAGTGGTCAAAATATCCACGTGCAGACTTTACAAACAGAGTGTTTCCAAACTGCTGAATGAAAAGAAAAGTTAAACTCTGAGAGTTGAACGCACACATCGCAGAGCAGTTTCTGAGAATGATTTCTGTCTAGTTTTTATACGAAGATATTTCCTTTTCTGCCATTGGCCCCAAAGCGCTTGAAATCTCCACTTGCAAATTCCACAAAAAGAGTGTTTCAAATCTGCTCTGTGTAAATGAAAGTTCAACTCTGTGAGTTGAACACACACAACACAAGGAAGTTACTGGGAATTCTTCTGTCTAGCCTTATATGAAAAAAACCCGTTTCCAACGAAGGCCTCAAAGAGGTCTGAATATCCACTTGCAGACTTTACAAACAGAGTGTTTCCTAACTGCTCTATGAAAAGAAAGGTTAAACTCTGTGAGTTGAACGCACACATCAAAAAGGAGTTTCTGAGAATCATTCTGTCTAGTTTTTATAGGAAGATATTTCCTTTTCTACATTTGACTTCAAAGCGGCTGAAATCTCCACTTGCAAATTCCACAAAAAGAGTGTTTCAAATCTGCTCTGTGTAAAGGATCGTTCAACTCTGTGAGTTGAATACACACAACAGAAGGAAGTTACTGAGAATTCTTCTGTCTAGCAGAATATGAAGAAATCCCGTTTCCAACGAAGGCCACAAGATGTCAGAATATCCACTTACAGACTTTACAAACAGAATGTTTCCTAACTGCTCTATGAACAGAAAGGTTAAACTCTGTGAGTTGAACGTACACATCACAACGCAGTTTGTGGGAATGATTCTGTCTAGTTTTGAAACGAAGATATTTCCTTTTCTGCCGTTGACCTTAAAGCGCTTGAAATCTACACTTGCAAATTGGACAAATAGAGTGTTTCAAATCTGCTCTGTCTAAGGGAACGTTCAACTCTGTGAGTTGAATGCACACAACACAAGGAAGTTACTGGGAATTCTTCTGTCTAGCCTTACATACAAAAAAACCCGTTTCCAACGAAGGCTTCTAAGTGGTCAAAATATCCACGTGCAGACTTTACAAACAGAGTGTTTCCAAACCGCTGAATGAAAAGGAAAGTTAAACTCTGAGAGTTGAACACACACATCACGCAGCAGTTTCTGAGAATGATTCTGTCTAGTTTTTATACGAAGATATTTCCTTTTCTGCCTTTGGCCTCAAAGCGCTTGAAATCTCCAATTGCAAATTCCACAAAAAGAGTGTTTCAAATCTGCTCTGTCTAAATGAAAGTTCAACTGTGTCAGTTGAATACACACAACACAAGGAAGTTACTGAGAATTCTTCTGTCTAGCATAGTATGAAGAAATCCCGTTTCCAACGAAGGCCTCAAAGAGGTCTGAATATCCACTTGCAGAGTTTACAAACAGAGGGTTTCCTAACTGCTCTATGAAAAGAAAGGTTAAACTCTGTGAGTTGAACGCACACATCACAAAGAAGTTTCTGAGAATCATTCTGTCTAGTTTTTATACGAAGATATTTCCTTTTCTACCATTGACCTCAAAGCGGCTGAAATCTCCACTTGCAAATTCCACAAAAAGAGTGTTTCAAGTCTGCTCTGTGTAAAGGATCGTTCAAGTCTGTGAGTTGAATACACACAACACAAGGAAGTTACTGAGAATTCTTCTGTCTAGCAGAATATGAAGAAATCCCGTTTCCAACGAAGGCCACAAGATGTCAGAATATCCACTTACAGACTTTACAAACAGAGTGTTTCCTAACTGCTCTATGAACAGAAAGGTTAAACTCTGTGAGTTGAACGAACACATTACAACGCAGTTTGTGGGAATGATTTCTGTCTAGTTTTGAAACCAAGATATTTCCTTTTCTGCCGTTGACCTAAAAGAGCTTGAAAACTACACTTGCAAATTGCACAAATAGAGTGTTTCAAATCTGCTCTGTCTAAGGGAACGTTCAACTCTGTGAGTTGAATGCACACAACACAAGGAAGTTACTGGGAATTCTTCTGTCTAGCCTTACATGAACAAAACCCGTTTCCAACGAAGGCCTCTAAGTGGTCAAAATTTCCACGTGCAGACTTTACAAACAGAGTGTTTCCAAACCGCTGAATGAAAAGAAAAGTTAAACTCTGAGAGTTGAACGCACACATCACGCAGCAGTTTCTGAGAATGATTCTGTCTAGTTTTTATACGAAGATATTTCCTTTTCTGCCTTTGGCCCCAAAGCGCTTGAAATCTCCACTTGCAAATTCCACAAAAACAGTGTTTCAAATCTGCTCTCTCTAAATGAAAGTTCAACTCTGTCAGTTGAATACACACAACACAAGGTAGTTACTGAGAATTCTTCTGTCTAGCAGAATATGAAGAAATCCCGCTTCCAACGAAGGCCTCAAAGAAGTCTGAATATCCACTTGCAGACTTTACAAACAGAGTGTTTCCCAACTGCTCTATGAAAAGAAAGGTTGAACTCTGTGAGGTGAACGCACACATCACAAAGGAGTTTCTGAGAATCATTCTGTGTACTTTCTATAGGAAGATATTTCCTATTCTACCATTGAACTCAAAGCGGCTGAAATCTCCACTTGCAAATTCCACAAAAAGAGTGTTTCAAGTCTGCTCTGTGTAAAGGATCGTTCAACTCTGTGAGTTGAATACACACAACACAAGGAAGTTCCTGAGAATTCTTCTGTCTAGCATAATATGAAGAAATCCCGTTTCCAACGAAGGCCTCAAGGAGGTCTGAATATCCACTTGCAGACTTTACAAACAGAGTGTTTCCCAACTGCTCTATGAAAAAAAAGGTTAAGCTCTGTGAGTTGAACGCACACATCACAAAGGAGTTTCTGAGAATCATTCTGTCTAGTTTTTATACGAAGATATTTCCTTTTCTACCATTGACCTCAAAGCAGCTGAAATCTCCACTTGCCAATTCCACAAAAAGAGTGTTTCAAGTCTGCTCTGTGTAAAGGATCGTTCAACTCTGTGAGTTGAATACACACAACACAAGGAAGTTTCTGAGAATTCTTCTGTATAGCAGAATATGAAGAAATCCCGTTTCCAACGAAGGCCTCAAGGAGGTCTCAATATCCAATTGCAGACTTTACAAACAGAGTGTTTCCTAACTGCTCTATGAAAAGAAAGGTTGAACTCTGTGAGTTGAACGCAGATATCACAAAGGAGTTTCTGAGAATCACTCTGTCTAGTCTTTATACGAAGATATTTCCTTTTCTACCATTGACATCAAAGTGGCTGAAATCTCCACTTGCAAATTCCACAAAAAGAGTGTTTCAAGTCTGCTCTGTGTAAAGGATCGTTCAACTCTGTGAGTTGAATACACACAACACAAGGAAGTTACTGAGAATTCTTCTGTCTAGCAGAATATGAAGAAATCCCGTTTCCAACGAAGGCCACAAGATGTCAGAATATCCACTTACAGAATTTACAAACACAGTGTTTCCTAACTGCTCTATGAAAAGAAAGGTTAAACTCTGTGAGATGAACGAACACATCACAACGCAGTTTGTGGGAATGATTCTGTCTAGTTTTGAAACGAAGATATTTACTTTTCTGCCATTGACCTTAAAGCGCTTGAAATCTCCACTTGCCAATTGCACAAAAAGAGTGTTTCAAATCAGCTCTGTCTAAGGGAACGTTCAAATCTGTGTGTTGAATGTACACAACACAAGGAAGTTACTGGGAATTCTTCTGTCTAGCCTTACAAGAATAAAACCCGTTTCCAACGAAGGCCTCTAAGTGGTCAAAATATCCACGTGCAGACTTTACAAAGAGAATGTTTCCAAACTGCTGAATGAAAAGAAAAATTAAACTCTGAGAGTTGAATGCACACATCGCAGAGCAGTTTCTGAGAATGATTCTGTCTAGTTTTTATACGAAGATATGTCCTTTTCTGCCTTTGGCCCCAAAGCGCTTGAAATCTCCCCTTGCAAATTCCACAAAAAGAGTGTTTCAAGTCTGCTCTGTGTAAAGGATCGTTCAACTCTGTCAGTTGAATACACACAACACAAGGAAGTTACTGAGAATTCTTCTTTCTAGCAGAATATGAAGAAATCCCTGTTTCCAACGAAAGCCTCAAGGATGTCTGAATATCCAATTGCAGACTTTACAAACAGAGTGTTTCCTAACTGCTCTATGAAAAGAAAGGGTAAACTCTGTGAGTTGAACGCACACATCACAAAGGAGTTTCTGAGAATCATTCTGTCTAGTTTCTATAGGAAGATATTTCCTATTCTACCATTGAACTCAAAGCGGCTGAAATCTCCACTTGCAAATTTCACAAAAAGAGTGTTTCAAGTCTGCTCTGTGTAAAGGATCGTTGAACTCTGTGATTTGAATACACACAACACAAGGAAGTTACTGAGAATTCTTCTGTCTAGCAGAACATGAAGAAATCCCGTTTCCAATGAAGGGCACAAGATGCTCAGAATATCCACTTACAGAATTTACAAACAGACTGTTTCCTAACTGCTCTATGAAAAGAAAGGTTAAACTCTGTGAGATGAACGAACACATCACAACGCAGTTTGTGGGAATGATTCTGTCTAATTTTGAAACGAAGATATTTCCTTTTCTGCCATTGACCTTAATGCGCTTGAAATCTACACTTGCAAATTGCACAAATAGAGTGTTTCAAATCTGCTCTGTCTAAGGGAACGTTCAACTCTGTGAGTTGAATGCACACAACACAAGGAAGTTACTGGGAATTCTTCTGTCTAGCCTTACAGGAAAGAAACCCGTTTCCAACGAAGGCCTCTAAGTGGTCAAAATATCCACGTGCAGACTTTACAAACAGAGTGTTTCCAAACTGCTGAATGAAAAGAAAAGTTAAACTCTGAGAGTTGAACGCACACATCGCAGAGCAGTTTCTGAGAATGATTCTGTCTAGTTTTTATACGAAGATATTTCCTTTTCTGCCTTTGGCCTCAAACCGCTTGAAATCTCCACTTGCAAATTCCACAAAAAGAGTGTTTCCAATCTGCTCTGTGTAAATGAAAGTTCAACTCTGTGAGTTGAACACACACAACACAAGGAAGTTACTGGGAATTCTTCTGTCTAGCATAATATGAAGAAATCCCGTTTCCAACGAAGGCCTCAAAGAGGTCTGATTATCCACTTGCAGACTTTACAAACAGAGTGTTTCCTAACTGCTCTATGAAAAGAAAGGTTAAACTCTGTGAGTTGAACACACACATCACAAAGGAGTTTCTGAGAATCATTCTGTCTAGTTTTTCTACGAAGATATTTCCTTTTCTACTATTGACCTCAAAGCGGCTGAAATCTCCACTTGCAAATTCCACAAAAAGAGTCTTTCAAGTCTGCTCTGTGTAAAGGATCGTTCAACTCTGTGAGTTGAATACACACAACACAAGGAAGTTACTGAGAATTCTTCTGTCTAGCCTTACATGAAAAAAACCCGTTTCCAACGAAGGCCTCTAAGTGGTCAAATTATCCACGTGCAGACTTTACAAACAGAGTGTTTCCAAACTGCTGAATGAAAAGAAAAGTTAAACTCTGAGAGTTGAACGCACACATCGCAGTGCAGTTTCTGAAAATGATTCTGTCTAGTTTTTATACGAAGATATTTCCTTTTGTGCCTTTGGCCCCAAAGCGCTTGAAATCTCCACTTGCAAATTCCACAAAAACAGTGTTTCAAATCTGCTCTCTCTAAATGAAAGTTCAACTCTGTCAGTTGAATACACACAACACAAGGGAAGTTACTGAGAATTCTTCTGTCTAGCATAGTATGAAGAAATCCCGTTTCCAACGAAGGCCTCAAAGAGGTCTGAGTATCCACTTGCAGAGTTTACAAACAGAGTGTTTCCTAACTGCTCTATGAAAAGAAAGGTTAAACTCTGTGAGTTGAACACACACATCACAAAGAAGTTTCTGAGAATCATTCTGTCTAGTTTCTATAGGAAGATATTTCCTATTCTACCATTGACCTCAAAGCGGCTGAAATCTCCACTTGCAAATTCCACAAAAAGAGTGTTTCAAGTCTCCTCTGTGTAAAGGATCGTTGAACTCTGTGAGTTGAAAACACACAACACAAGGAAGTTTCTGAGAATTCTTCTGTCTAGCAGAATATGAAGAAATCCCGTTTCCAACGAAGGCCACAAGATGTCAGAATATCCACTTACAGACTTTACAAACAGAGTGTTTCCTAACTGGTCTATGAACGGAAAGGTTAAACTCTGTGAGTTGAACGAACACATCACAACGCAGTTTGTGGGAATGATTCTGTCTAGTTTTGAAACGAAGATATTTCCTTTTCTGCCATTGACCTTAAAGCGCTTGAAATCTCCACTTGCCAATTGCACAAAAAAAGTGTTTCAAATCTGCTCTGTCTAAGGGAACGTTCAACTCTGTGAGTTGAATGTACACAACACAAGGAAGTTACTGGGAATTCTTCTGTCTAGCCTTACATGAAAAAAACCCGTTTCCAACGAAGGCCTCTAAGTGGTCAAAATTTCCACGTGCAGACTTTACAAACAGAGTGTTTCCAAAACCGCTGAATGAAAAGAAAAGTTAAACTCTGAGAGTTGAACGCACACATCACGCAGCAGTTTCTGAGAATGATTCTGTCTAGTATTTATACGAAGATATTTCCTTTTCTGCCTTTGGCCCCAAAGCGCTTGAAATCTCCACTTGCAAATTCCACAAAAACAGTGTTTCAAATCTGCTCTCTCTAAATGAAAGTTCAACTCTGTCAGTTGAATACACACAACACAAGGAAGTTACTGAGAATTCTTCTGTCTAGCATAATATGAAGAAATCCCATTTCCAACGAAGGCCTCAAGGAGCTCTGAATATCCACTTGCAGACTTTACAAACAGAGTGTTTCCTAACTGCTCTATGAAAAGAAAGGTTAAACTCTGTGAGTTGAACGCACACATCACAAAGGAGTTTCTGAGAATCATTCTGTCTAGTTTCTATAGGAAGATATTTCGTATTCTACCATTGACCTCAAAGCGGCTGAAATCTCCACTTGCAAATTCCACAAAAGGTGGGTTTCAAGTCTGCTCTGTGTAAAGTATCGTTCAACTCTGTGAGTTGAATACACACAAGACAAGGAAGTTACTGAGAATTCTTCTGTCTAGCCTTATATGAAAAAAACCCGTTTCCAACGAAGGCCTCAAAGAGGTCTGAATATCCACTTGGAGACTTTACAAACAGAGTGTTTCCTAACTGCTCTATGAAAAGAAAGGTTAAACTCTGTGAGTTGAACTGCACACATCACAAAGGAGTTTCTGAGAATCATTCTGTCTAGTCTTTATACGAAGATATTTCCTTTTCTACCATTGACCTCAAAGCGGCTGAAATCTCCATTTGCAAATTCCACAAAAAGACTGTTTCAAGTCTGCTCTCTGTAAAGGATCGTTCAACTCTGTGAGTTGAATACACACAACACAAGGAAGTTACTGAGAATTCTTCTGTCTAGCAGAATATGAAGAAATCCCGTTTCCAACGAAGGCCACAAGATGTCAGAATATCCACTTACAGAATTTACCAACAGAGTGTTTCCTAACTGCTCTATGAAAAGAAAGGTTAAACTCTGTGAGTTGAACGAACACATCACAACGCAGTTTGTGGGAATTATTCTGTCTAGTTTTGAAACGAAGATATTTCCTTTTCTGCCATTGACCTTAAAGCGCTTGAAATCTACACTTGCAAATTGCACAAATAGAGTGTTTCAAATCTGCTCTGTCTAAGGGAACATTCATCTCTGTGAGTTGAATGCACACAACACATAGAAGTTACTGGGAATTCTTCTGTCTAGCCTTACATGAAAAAAACCCGTTTCCAACGAAGGCCTCTAAGTGGTCAAATTATCCACGTGCAGACTTTACAAACAGAGTGTTTCCAAACTGCTGAATGAAAAGCAAAGTTAAACTCTGAGAGTTGAACGCACACATCGCAGAGCAGTTTCTGAGAATGATTCTGTCTAGTTTTTATACGAAGATATTTCCTTTTCTGCCTTTGGCCTCAAAGCGCTTGAAATCTCCATTTGCAAATTCCACAAAAAGAGTGTTTCAAATCTGCTCTGTCTAAATGAAAGTTCAACTCTGTGAGTTGAACACACACAACACAAGGAAGTTACTGGGAATTCTTCTGTCTAGCAGAATATGAAGAAACCCCGTTTCCAACGAAGGCCTCAAAGGGGTCTGAATATCCACTTGCAGACTTTATAAACAGAGTGTTTACTAACTGCTCTATGAAAAGAAAGGTTAAACTGTGTGAGTTGAACACACACATCACAAAGGAGTTTCTGAGAATCATTCTATCTAATTTTTATACGAAGATATTTCCTATTCTACCATTGACCTCAAAGCGGCTGAAATCTCCACTTGCAAATTCCACAAGAAGAGTGTTTCTAGTATGTTCTGTGTAAAGGATCGTTCAACTCAGTGAGTTGAATACACACAACACAAGGAAGTTACTGAGAATTCTTCTGTCTAGCACAGTATGAAGAAATCCCGTTTCCAACGAAGGCCTCAAAGAGGTCTGAATATCCACTTGCAGAGTTTACAAACAGAGTGTTTCCTAACTGCTCTATGAAAAGAAAGGTTAAACTCTGTGAGTTGAACGCACACGTCACAGTGAAGTTTCTGAGAATCATTCTGTCTAGTTTTTATACGAAGATATTTCCTTTTCTACCATTGACCTCAAAGCGGCTGAAATCACCACTTGCCAATTGCACAAAAAGAGTGTTTCAAATCTGCTCTGTCTAAGGGAACGTTCAACTCTGTGAGTTGAATGTACACAACACAAGGAAGTTACTGGGAATTCTTCTGTCTAGCCTTACATGAAAAAAACCCGTTTCCAACGAAGGCCTCTAAGTGGTCAAATTATCCACGTGCAGACTTTACAAACAGAGTGTTTCCAAACTGCTGAATGAAGAGAAAAGTTAAACTCTGAGAGTTGAACGCACACATCACAGAGCAGTTTCTGAGAATGATTCTGTCTAGTTTTTATATGAAGATATTTCCTTTTCTGCCTTTGGCCCCAAAGCGCTTGAAATCTCCACTTGCAAATTCCACAAAAACAGTGTTTCAAATCTGCTCTCTCTAAATGAAAGTTCAACTCTGTCAGTTGAATACACACAACACAAGGAAGTTACTGAGAATTCTTCTGTCTAGCATAATATGAAGAAATCCCGTTTCCAACGAAGGCCTCAAGGAGGTCTGAATATCCACTTGCAGACTTTACCAACAGAGTGTTTCCTAACTGCTCTATGAAAAGAAAGGTTAAACTCTGTGAGTTGAACGCACACATCAGAAAGGAGTTTCTCAGAATCATTCTGTCTAGTTTTTATACGAAGATATTTCCTTTTCTACCATGGACCTCAAAGCAGCTGAAATCTCCACTTGCAAATTCCACAAAAAGAGTGTTTCAAATCTGCTCTGTGTAAATGAAAGTTCAACTCTGTGAGTTGAACACACACAACACAAGGAAGTTACTGGGAATTCTTCTGTCTAGCAGAATATGAAGAAATCCCGTTTCCAACGAAGGCCTCTAGGAGGTCTGAATATCCACTTGCAGACCTTACAAACAGAGTGTTTCCTAACTGCTCTATGAACAGAAAGGTTAAACTCTGTGAGTTGAACGAACACATCACAACGCAGTTTGTGGGAATGATTCTGTCTAGTTTTGAAACGAAGATATTTCCTTTTCTGCCATTGACCTTAAAGCGCTTGAAATCTCCACTTGCCAATTGCACAAAAAGAGTGTTTCAAATCTGCTCTGTCTACGGGAACGTTCAACTCTGTGAGTTGAATGTACACAACACAAGGAAGTTACTGGGAATTCTTCTGTCTAGCCTTACATGAAAAAAACCCGTTTCCAACGAAGGCCTCTAAGTGGTCAAATTATCCACGTGCAGACTTTACAAACAGAGTGTTTCCAAACTGCTGAATGAAAAGAAAAGTTAAACTCTGAGAGTTGAACGCACACATCACAGAGCAGTTTCTGAGAATGATTGTGTCTAGTTTTTATACGAAGATATTTCCTTTTCTGCCTTTGGCCTCAAAGCGCTTGAAATCTCCACTTGCAAATTCCACAAAAAGAGTGTTTCAAATCTGCTCTGTGTAAATGAAAGTTCAACTCTGTGAGTTGAACACACACAACACAAGGAAGTTACTGGGAATTCTTCTGTCTAGCAGAATATGAAGAAATCCCTTTTCCAACGAAGGCCTCAAGGAGGTCAGAATATCCACTTGCAGACTGTACAAACAGAGTGTTTCCTAACTGCTCTATGAAAAGAAAGGTTAAACTCTGTGAGTTGAACGCACACATCACAAAGGAGTTTCTGAGAATCATTCTGTCTAGTTTTTATACGAAGATATTTCCTTTTCTGCCATTGACCTCAAAGCAGCTGAAATCTCCACTTCCAAATTCCACAAAAAGTGTTTCAGATCTGCTCTGTGTAAACCATCGTTCAACTCTGTGTGTTGAATACACACAACTGAAGGAAGATTCTGAGAATTCTTCTGTCTAGCAGAATATGAAGAAATCCCGTTTCCAACGAAGGCCACAAGATGTCAGAATATCCACTTACAGACTTTACAAACAGAGTGTTTCCTAACTGCTCTATGAACAGAAAGGTTAAACTCTGTGAGTTGAACGAACGCATCACAACGCAGTTTGTGGGAATGATTCTGTCTAGTTTTTATACGAAGATATTTCCTTTTCTACCATTGACCTCAAAGCGGCTGAAATCACCACTTGCCAATTGCACAAAAAGAGTGTTTCAAATCTGCTCTGTCTAAGGGAACGTTCAACTCTGTGAGTTGAATGTACACAACACAAGGAAGTTACTGGGAATTCTTCTGTCTAGCCTTACATGAAAAAAAATCCGTTTCCAAACAAGGCCTCTAAGTGGTCAAATTATCCACGTGCAGACTTTACAAACAGAGTGTTTCCAAACTGCTGAATGAAAAGAAAAGTTAAACTCGGAGAGTTGAACGCACACATCACAGAGCAGTTTCTGAGAATGATTCTCTCTAGTTTTTATACGAAGATATTTCCTTTTCTGCCTTTGGCCTCAAAGCGCTTGAAATCTCCACTTGCAAATTCCACAAAAAGAGTGTTTCAAATCTGCTCTGTGTAAATGAAAGTTCAACTCTGTGAGTTGAACACACACAACACAAGGAAGTTACTGGGAATTCTTCTGTCTAGCATAATATGTAGAAATCCCGTTTCCAACGAAGGCCTCAAAGAGGTCTGAATATCCACTTGCAGACTTTACAAACAGAGTGTTTCCTAACTGCTCTATGAAAAGAAAAGTTAAACTCTGTGATTTGAACGCACACATCACAAAGGAGTTTATGAGAATCATTCTGTCTAGTTTTTATACGAAGATATTTCCTTTTCTACCATTGACCTCAAAGCGGCTGAAATCTCCACTTGCAAATTCCACAAAAAGAGTGTTTCAAATCTGCTCTGTGTAAACCATCGTTCAACTCTGTGAGTTGAATACACACAACACAAGGAAGATTCTCAGAATTCTTCTGTCTAGCAGAACATGAAGAAATCCCGTTTCCAACGAAGGCCACAAGATGTCAGAATATCCACGTACAGAATTTACAAACAGACTGTTTCCTAACTACTCTATGAAAAGAAAGGTTAAACTCTGTGAGTTGAACGAACACATCACAACGCAGTTTGTGGGAATGATTCTGTCTAGTTTTGAAACGAAGATATTTCCTTTTCTGCCATTGACCTTAAAGCGCTTGAAATCTCCACTTGCCAATTGCACAAAAAGAGTGTTTCAAATCTGCTCTGTCTAAGGGAACGTTCAACTCTGTGAGTTGAATGTACACAACGCAAGGAAGTTACTGGGAATTCTTCTGTCTAGCCTTACATGAAAAAAACCCGTTTCCAACGAAGGCCTCTAAGTGGTCAAATTATCCACGTGCAGACTTTACAAACAGAGTGTTTCCAAACTGCTGAATGAAAAGAAAAGTTAAACTCTGAGAGTTGAACGCACACATCGCAGAGCACTTTCTGAGAATGATTCTGTCTAGTTTTTATACGAAGATATTCCCTTTTCTGCCTTTTTCCTCAAAGCGCTTGAAATCTCCATTTGCAAATTCCACAAAAAGAGTGTTTCAAATCTGCTCTGTGTAAATGAAAGTTCAACTCTGTGAGTTGAACACACACAACACAAGGAAGTTACTGGGAATTCTTCTGTCTAGCCTTTCATGAAAAAAACCCGTTTCCAACGAAGGCCTCAAAGAAGTCCAAATATCCAGGTGCAGACTTTACAAACAGAGTGTTTCCTAACTGCTCTATGAAAAGAAAGGTTAAACTCTGTGAGTGGAACGCACACATCACAAAGGAGTTTCTGAGAATCATTCTGTCTAGTTTTTCTACGAAAATATTTCCTTTTCTACTATTGACCTCAAAGCGGCTGAAATCTCCACTTGCAAATTCCACAAAAAGAGTGTTTCAAGTCTGCTCTGTGTAAAGGATCGTTCAACTCTGTGAGTTGAATACACACAACACAAGGAAGTTACTGAGAATTCTTCTGTCTAGCAGAATATGAAGAAATCCCGTTTCCAACGAAGGCCACAAGATGTCAGAATATCCACTTACAGAATTTACAAACAGACTGTTTCCTAACTGCTCTATGAAAAGAAAGGTTAAACTCTGTGAGATGAACGAACACATCACAACGCAGTTTGTGGGAATGATTCTGTCTAGTTTTGAAACGAAGATATTTCCTTTTCTGCCATTGACCTTAAAGCGCTTGAAATCTACACTTGGAAATTGCACAAATAGAGTGTTTCAAATCTGCTCTGTCTAAGGGAACGTTCAACTCTGTGAGTTGAATGCACACAACACAAGGAAGTTACTGGGAATTCTTCTGTCTAGCCTTACATGAAAAAAACCCGTTTCCAACGAAGGCCTCTAAGTGGTCAAAATTTCCACGTGCAGACTTTACAAACAGAGTGTTTCCAAACCGCTGAATGAAAAGAAAAGTTAAACTCTGAGAGTTGAACGCACACATCACAAAGGAGTTTCTGAGAATGATTCTGTCTAGTTTTTATACGAAGATATTTCCTTTTCTGCCTTTGGCCTCAAAGCGCTTGAAATCTCCACTTGTAAATTCCACAAAAAGAGTGTTTCAAATCTGCTCTGTCTAAATGAAAGTTCAACTCTGTCAGTTGAATACACACAACACAAGGAAGTTACAGGGAATTCTTCTGTCTAGCCTTATATGAAAAAAACCCGTTTCCAACGAAGGCCTCAAAGAGGTCTGAATATCCACTTGCAGACTTTAGAAACAGAGTGTTTCCTAACTGCTCTATGAAAAGAAAGGTTAAACTCTGTGAGTTGAACACACACATCACAAAGGAGTTTCTGAGAATCATTTCTGTCTAGTTTTTCTACGAAGATATTTCCTTTTCTACTACTGACCTCAAAGCGGCTGAAATCTCCACTTGCAAATTCCACAAAAAGAGTGTTTCAAGTCTGCTCTTTGTAAAGGATCGTTCAACTCTGTGAGTTGAATACACACAACACAAGGAATTTACTGAGAATTCTTCCGTCTAGCAGAATATGAAGAAATCCTGTTTCCAACGAAGGCCTCAAGGAGGTCTGAATATCCACTTGCAGACTTTACAAACAGAGTGTTTCCTAACTGCTCTATGAAAAGAAAAGTTAAACTCTGTGAGTTGAACGCACACATCACAAAGGAGTTTCTGAGAATCATTCTGTCTAGTCTTTATACGAAGATATTTCCTTTTCTACCATTGACCTCAAAGCGGCTGAAATCTACACTTGCAAATTCTACAAAAAGAGTGTTTCAAGTCTGCTCTTTGTAAAGGATCGTTCAACTCTGTGAGTTGAATACACACAACACAAGGAAGTTAGTGAGAATTCTTCTGTCTAGCAGAATATGAAGAAATCCCGTTTCCAAAGAAGGCCTCAAGGAGGTCTGAATATCCACTTGCAGACTTTACAAACAGAGTGTTTCCTAACTGCTCTATGAAAAGAAAAGTTAAACTCTGTGAGTTGAACGCACACATCACAAAGGAGTTTCTGAGAATCATTCTGTCTAGTTTTGAAACGAAGACATTTCCTTTTCTGCCTTTTTCCTCAAAGCGCTTGAAATCTCCATTTGCAAATTCCACAAAAAGAGTGTTTCAAATCTGCTCTGTGTAAATGAAAGTTCAACTCTGTGAGTTGAACACACACAACACAAGGAAGTTACTGGGAATTCTTCTGTCTAGCAGAATATGAAGAAATCCCGCTTCCAACGAAGGCCTCAAAGAGGTCTGAATATCCACTTGCAGACTTTACAAACAGAGTGTTTCCTAATTGCTCTATGAAAAGAAAGGTTAAAGTGTGTGAGTTGAACGCACACATCACAAAGGAGTTTCTCAGAATCATTCTGTCTAGTCTTTATACGAAGATATTTCCTTTTCTACTATTGACCTCAAAGCGGCTGAAATCTCCACTTGCAAATTCCACAAAAAGAGTGTTTCAAGTCTGCTCTGTGTAAAGGATCGTTCAACTCTGTGAGTTCAATACACACAACACAAGGAAGTTACTGAGAATTCTTCTGTCTAGCAGAATAGGAAGAAATCCCGTTTCCAACGAAGGCCTCAAAGAGGTCTGAATATCCACTTGCAGCCTTTACAAACAGAGTGTTTCCTAACTGCTCTATGAAAAGAAAGGTTAAACTCTGTGAGTTGAACGCACACATCACAAAGGAGTTTCTGAGAATCGTTCTGTCTAGTTTCTATAGGAAGATATTTCCTATTCTACCATTGACCTCAAAGCGGCTGAAATCTCCACTTGCAAATTCCACAAAAAGAGTGTTTCAAGTCTGCTCTGTGTAAAGGATCGTTCAACTCTGTGAGGTGAATACACACAACACAAGGAAGTTACTGAGAATTCTTCTGTCTAGCACAGTATGAAGAAATCCCGTTTCCAAAGAAGGCCTCAAAGAGGTCTGAATATCCACTTGCAGAGTTTACAAACAGAGTGTTTCCTAACTGCTCTATGAAAAGAAAGGTTAAACTCTGTGAGTTGAACGCACACATCACAATGAAGTTTCTGAGAATCATTCTGTCTAGTTTTTATACGAAGATATTTCCTTTTCTACCATGGACCTCAAAGCGGCTGAAATCTCCGCTTGCAAATTCCACAAAAAGAATGTTTCTAATCTGCTCTGTGTAAAGGATCGTTCAACTCTGTGAGTTGAATGCACACAACACAAGGAAGTTTCTGAGAATTCTTCTGTCTATCATAATATGAAGAAATCCCGTTTCCAACGTAGGCCTCAAAGAGGTCTGAATATCCACTTGCAGACTTTACAAAGAGAGTGTTTCCTAACTGCTCTACGAAAAGAAAGGTTAAACTCTTTGAGTTGAACGCACACATCACAAAGGAGTTTCTGAGAATCATTCTGTCTAGTTTTTCTACGAAGATATTTCCTTTTCTGCTATTGACCTCAAAGCGGCTGAAATCTCCACTTGCAAATTCCACAAAAAGAGTGTTTCAACTCTGCTCTGTGTAAAGGATCGTTCAACTCTGTGAGTTGAATACACACAACACAAGGAAGTTACTGAGAATTCTTCTGTCTAGCATAATAGGAAGAAATCCCGTTTCCAACGAAGGCCTCAAGGAGGTCTGAATATCCACTTGCAGACTTTACAAACAGAGTGTTTCCTAACTGCTCTATGAAAAGAATGGTTAAACTCTGTGAGTTGAACGCACACATCACAAAGGAGTTTCTGAGAATCATTCTGTCTAGTTTTTATACGAAGATATTTACTTTTCTACCATTGACCTCAAAGCGGCTGAAATCTCCACTTGCAAATTCCACAAAAAGAGTGTTTCAAGTCTGCTCTGTGTAAAGGATCGTTCAACTCTGTGAGTTGAATACACACAACACAAGGAAGTTACTGAGAATTCTTCTGTCTAGCCTTATATGAAAAAAACCCGTTTCCAACGAAGGCCTCAAAGAGGTCTGAATATCCACTTGTAGACTTTACAAACAGAGTGTTTCCTAACTGCTCTATGAAAAGAAAGGTTAAACTCTGTGAGTTAAACGCACACATCACAAAGGAGTTTCTGAGAACCATTCTGTCTAGTTTTTATACGAAGATAATTCCTTTTCTACCATTGACCTCAAAGCGGCTGAAATCTCCACTTGCAAATTCCACAAAAAGAGTGTTTCAAGTCTGCTCTGTGTAAACGATCGTTCAACTCTGTGAGTTGAATACACACAACACAAGGAAGTTACTGAGAATTCTTCTGTCTAGCAGAATATGAAGAAATCCCGTTTCCAACGAAGGCCACAAGATGTCAGAATATCCACGTACAGAATTTACAAACAGACTGTTTCCTAACTGCTCTATGAAAAGAAAGTTTAAACTCTGTGAGTTGAACGAACACATCACAACGCAGTTTGTGGGAATGATTCTGTCTAGTTTTGAAACGAAGATATTTCCTTTTCTGCCATTGACCTTAAAGCGCTTGAAATCTCCACTTGCCAATTGCACAAAAAGAGTGTTTCAAATCTGCTCTGTCTAAGGGAACGTTCAACTTTGTGAGTTGAATGTACGCAACACAAGGAAGTTACTGGGAATTCTTCTGTCTAGCCTTACATGAAAAAAACCTGTTTCCAACGAAGGCCTCTAAGTGGTCAAATTATCCACGTGCAGACTTTACAAACAGAGTGTTTCCAAACTGCTGAATGAAAAGAAAAGTTAAACTCTGAGAGTTGAACGCACACATCGCAGAGCAGTTTCTGATCATGATTCTGTCTAGTTTTTATAGGAAGATATTTCCTTTTCTGCCTTTGGCCTCAAAGCGCTTGAAATCTCCACTTGCAAATTCCACAAAAAGAGTGTTTCAAATCTGCTCTGTTTAAATGAAATTTCAACTCTGTGAGTTGAACACACACAACACAAGGAAGTTACTGGGAATTCTTCTGTCTAGCAGAATATGAAGAAATCCCGTTTCCAACGAAGGCCTCAGAGAGGTCTAAATATCCACTTGCAGACTTTACAAACAGAGTGTTTCCTAACTGCTCTATGAAAAGAAAGGTTAAACTCTGTGAGTTGAACGCACACATCACAAAGGAGTTTCTGAGAATCATTCTGTCTAGTTTCTATAGGAAGATATTTCCTTTTCTGCCATTGACCTCAAAGCGGCAGAAATCTCCACTTGCAAATTCCACAAAAACAGTGTTTCAATTCTGCTCTGTGTAAAGGATCGTTCAACTCTGTGAGTTGAATACACACAACACAAGGAAGTTGCTGAGAATTCTTCTGTCTAGCAGAATATGAAGAAATCCCGTTTCCAACGAAGGCCACAAGATGTCAGAATATCCACTTACAGACTTTACAAACAGAGTGTTTCCTAACTGCTCTATGAATAGAATGGTTAAACTCTGTGAGTTGAACGAACACATCACAACGCAGTTTGTGGGAATGATTCTGTCTAGTTTTGAAACGAAGATATTTCCTTTTCTGCCATTGACCTTATAGTGCTTGAAATCTACACTTGCAAATTGCACAAATAGAGTGTTTCAAATCTGCTCTGTCTAAGGGAACGTTCAACTCTGTGAGTTGAATGCACACAACACAAGGAAGTTACTGGGAATTCTTCTGTCCAGCCTTATATGAAAAAAACCCGTTTCCAACGAAGGCCTCAAAGAGGTCTGAATATCCACTTGCAGACTTTACAAACAGAGTGTTTCCTAACTGCTCTATTAAAAGAAAGGTTAAACTCTGTGAGTTGAACGCACACATCACAAAGGAGTTTCTGAGAATCCTTCTGTCTAATTTTTATATGAAGATATTTCCTTTTCTACCATTGACCTCAAAGCGGCTGAAATCTCCACTTGCAAATTCCACAAAAAGAGTGTTTCAAGTCTGCTCTGTGTCAAGGATCATTCAACTCTGTGAGTTGAATACACACAACACAAGGAAGTTACTGAGAATTCTTCTGACTAGCAGAATATGAAGAAATCCCGTTTCCAACGAAGGCCTCTAGGAGGTCTGAATATCCACTTGCAGACTTTACAAACAGAGTGTTTCCTAACTGCTCTATGAAAAGAAAGGTTAAACTCTGTGAGTTGAACACACACATCACAAAGGAGTTTCTGAGAATCATTCTGTCTAGTTTTTATACGAAGATATTTCCTTTTCTACCATTGACCTCAACGCGGCTGAAATCTCCAATTGCAAATTCCACAAAGAGTGTTTCAAGTCTGCTCTGTGTAAAGGATCGTTCAACTCTGTGAGTTGAATACACACAACACAAGGAAGTTACTGAGAATTCTTCTGTCTAGCTGAACATGAAGAAATCCCGCTTCCATGGAAGGCCTCAAGGAGGTCTGAATATCCACTTGCAGACTTTACAAACAGAGTGTTTCCTAACTGCTCTATGAAAAGAAAGGTTAAACTCTGTGAGTTGAACGCACACATCACAAAGGAGTTTCTGAGAATCATTCTGTCTAGTCTTTATACGAAGATATTTCCTTTTCTACCATTGACCTCAAAGCGGCTGAAATCTCCACTTGCAAATTCCACAAAAAGAGTGTTTCAAGTCGGCTCTGTGTAAAGGATCGTTCAACTCTGTGAGTTGAATACACACAACACAAGGAAGTTACTGAGAATTCTTCTGTCTAGCATAATATGAAGAAATCCCGTTTCCAACGAAGGCCCCAAGGAGGTCTGAATATCCACTTGCAGACTTTACAAACAGAGTGTTTCCTAACTGCTCTATGAAAAGAAAGGTTAAACTCTGTGAGTTGAACGCACACATCACAAAGGAGTTTCTGAGAATCATTATGTCTAGTTTCTATATGAAGATATTTCCTTTTCTACTATTGACCTCAAAGCGGCTGAAATCTCCCCTTGCAAATTCCACAAAAAGAGTGTTTCAAGTCTGCTCTGTGTAAAGGTTCGTTCAACTCTGTGAGTTGAATACACACAACACAAGGAAGTTACTGAGAATTCTGCTGTCTAGCAGAATATGAAGAAATCCCGTTTCCAACGAAAGCCTCAAAGATGTCTGAATATCCACTTGCAGACTTTACAAACAGATTGTTTCCTAACTGCTCTATGAAAAGAAAGGTTAAACTCTGTGAGTTGAACGCACACATCACAAAGGAGTTTCTGAGAATCATTCTGTCTAGTTTCTATAGGAAGATATTTCCTATTCTACCATTGACCTCAAAGCGGCTGAAATCTCCACTTGCAAATTCCAGAAAAAGAGTGTTTCAAGACTGTTCTGTGTAAAGGATCATTCAACTCTGTGAGTTGAATACACACAACACAAGGAAGTTACTGAGAATTCTTCTGTCTAGCAGAATATGAAGAAATCCCGTTTCCAACGAAGGCCTCAAGGAGATCTGAATATCCACTTGCAGACTTTACAAACAGAGTGTTTCCTAACAGCTCTATGAACAGAAAGGTTAAACTCTGTGAGTTGAACGCACACATCACAAAGGAGTTTCTGAGAATCATTCTGTCTAGTTTTGAAACGAAGATATTCCCTTTTCTGCCATTGACCTTAAAGCGCTTGAAATCTACACTTGCAAATTGCACAAATAGAGTGTTTCAAATCTGCTCCGTCTAGGGAACGTTCAACTCTGTGAGTTGAATGCACACAACACAAGGAAGTTACTGGGAATTCTTCTGTCTAGCCTTACATGAAAGAAACCCGTTTCCAACGAAGGCCTCTAAGTGGTCAAATTATTCACGTGTAGACGTTACAAACAGAGTGTTTCCAAACTGCTGAATGAAAAGAAAAGTTAAACTCTGAGAGTTGAACGCACACATCGCAGAGCAGTTTCTGAGAATGATTCTGTCAAGTTTTTATACGAAGATATTTCCTTTTCTGCCTTTGGCCTCAAAGCGCTTGAAATCTCCACTTGCAAATTCCACAAAAAGAGTGTTTCAAATCTGCTCTGTGTAAATGAAAGTTCAACTCTGTGAGTTGAACACACACAACACAAGGGAAGTTACTGGGAATTCTTCTCGTCTAGCCTTATATGAAAAAAACCCGTTTCCAACGAAGGCCTCAAAGAGGGCTGAATATCCACTTGCAGACTTTACAAGCAGAGTGTTTCCTAACTGCTCTATGAAAAGAAAGGTTAAACTCTGTGAGTTGAACGCACACATCACAAAGGAGTTTCTGAGAATCATTCTGTCTAGTTTTTATTTGAAGATATTTCCTTTTCAACCATTGACCTCAAAGCGGCTGAAATCTCCATTTGCAAATTCCACAAAAAGAGTGTTTCAAGTCTGCTCTGTGTAAAGGATCATTCAACTCTGTGAGTTGAATACACACAACACGAGGAAGTTACTGAGAATTCTTCTGTCTAGCATAATATGAAGAAATCCCGTTTCCAACGAAGGCCTCAAAGGGGTCTGAATATCCACTTGCAGACTTTATAAACAGAGTGTTTACTAACTGCTCTATGAAAAGAAAGGTTAAACTCTGTGCGTTGAACACACACATCACAAAGGAGTTTCTGAGAATCATTCTGTCTAGTTTTTATAGGAAGATATTTCCTTTTCTACCTTTGACTTCAAAGCGGCTGAAATCTCCACTTTCAAATTCCACAAAAAGAGTGTTACAAGTCTGCTCTGTGTAAAGGATCGTTCAACTGTGTGAGTTGAATACACACAACACAAGGAAAGTTACTGAGAATTCTTCTGTCTAGCCTTATATGAAAAAACCCCGTTTCCAACGAAGGCCTCAAAGAGGACTGAATATCCACTTGCAGACTTTACAAACAGAGTGTTTCCTAACTGCTCTATGAAAAGAAAGGTTAAACTCTGTGAGTTGAACGCACACATCACAAACGAGTTTCTGAGAATCATTCTGTCTAATTTCTATAGGAAGATATTTCCTATTCTACCATTGACCTCAAAGCGGCTGAAATCTCCAGTTGCAAATTCCGCAAAAAGAGTGTTTCAAGTCTGCTCTGTGTAAAGGATCGTTCAACTCTGTGAGTTGAATACGCACAACACAAGGAAGTTACTGAGAATTCTTCTGTCTAGCATAATATGAAGAAATCCCGTTTCCAACGACGGCCTCAAAGAGGTCTGAATATCCACTTGCAGACTTTACAAACAGAGTGTTCCCTAACTGCTCTATGAAAAGAAAGGTTAAACTCTGTGTGTTGAACTGCACACATCACAAAGGAGTTTCTGAGAATCATTCTGTCTAGTTTTTATACGAAGATATTTCCTTTTCTACCATTGACCTCAAAGCGGCTGAAATCTCCACTTGCAAATTCCACAACAAGAGTGTTTCAAGACTGCTCTGTGTAAAGGATCGTTCAACTCTGTGAGTTGAATACACACAACACAAGGAAGTTACTGATAATTCTTCTTTCTAGCAGAATATGAAGAAATCCCGTTTCCAACGAAAGCCTCAAGAATGTCTGAATATCCACTTGCAGACTTTACAAACAGAGTGTTTCCCAACTGCTCTATGAAAAGAAAGGTTAAACTCTGTGAGTTGAACGCACACATCACAAAGGAGTTTCTGAGAATCATTCTGTCTAGTCTTTATACGAAGATAGTTTCCTTTTCTACCATTGACCTCAAAGCGGCTGAAATCTCCACTTGCAAATTCAACAAAAAGAGTGTTTCAAGTCTGCTCTCTGTAAAGGATCGTTCAACTCTGTGAGTTGAATACACACAACACAAGGAAGTTACTGAGAATTATTCTTTCTAGCAGAATATGAAGAAATCCCGTTTCCAACGAAAGCCTCAAGGAGGTCTGAATATCCACTTGCAGACTTTACAAACAGAGTGTTTCCCAACTGCTCTATGAAAAGAAAGGGTAAACTCTGTGAGTTGAACGCACACATCACAAAGGAGTTTCTGAGAATCATTCTGTCTAGTTTCTATAGGAAGATATTTCCTATTCTACCATTGACCTCAAAGCGGCTGAAATCTCCACTTGCAAATTCCACAAAAAGAGTGTTTCAAGTCTGCTCTCTGTAAAGGATCGTTCAACTCTGAGAGTTGAATACACACAACACAAGGAAGTTACTGAGAATTCTTCCGTCTAGCAGAATATGAAGAAATCCCGCTTCCAACGAAGGCCTCAAAGAAGTTTGAATATCCACTTGCAGACTTTACAAACAGAGTGTTTCCCAACTGCTCTATGAAAAGAAAGGTTAAACACTGTGAGTTGAACGCACACATCACAAAGGAGTTTCTGAGAATCATTCTGTCTAGTCTTTATACGAAGATATTTCCTTTTCTACCATTGACCACAAAGCGGCTGAAATCTCCACTTGCAAATTCCACAAAAAGAGTGTTTCAAGTCTGCTCTGTGTAAAGGATCATTCAACTCTGTGATTTGAATAAACACAACACAAGGAAGTTACTGAGAATTCTTTTTTCTAGCAGAATATGAAGAAATCCCGTTTCCAACGAAGGCCTCAAGGAGGTCTGAATATCCACTTGCAGACTTTACAAACAGAGTGTTTCCTAACTGCTCTATGAAAAGAAAGGTTAAACTCTGTGAGTTGAACGCACACATCACAAAGGAGTTTCTGAGAATCATTCTGTCTAGTTTCTTTAGGAAGATATTTCCTATTCTACCATTGACCTCAAAGCGGCTGAAATCTCCACTTGCAAATTCCACAAAAAGAGTGTTTCAAGTCTGCTCTGTGTAAAGGATCGTTCAACTCTGTGAGTTGAATACACACAACACAAGGAAGTTGCTGAGAATTCTTCTTTCTAGCAGAATATGAAGAAATCCCGTTTCCAACGAAAGCCTCAAGGATGTCTGAATATCCACTTGCAGACTTTACAAACAGAGTGTTTCCTAACTGCTCTATGAAAAGAAAGGATAAACTCTATGAGTTGAACGCACACATCACAAAGGAGTTTCTGAGAATCATTCTGTCTAGTTTCTATAGGAAGATAATTCCTATTCTACCATTGACCTCAAAGCGGCTGAAATCTCCACTTGCAAATTCCACAAAAAGTTTGGTTCAAGTCTGCTCTGTGTAAAGGATAGTTCAACTCTGTGAGTTGAATACACACAACACAAGGAAGTTACTGAGAATTCTTCTGTCTAGCAGAATATGAAGAAATCCCGTTTCCAACGAAGGCCACAAGATGTCAGAATATCCACTTACAGAATTTACAAACAGACTGTTTCCTAACTGCTCTATGAAAAGAAAGGTTAAACTCTGTGAGTTGAACGAAGACATCACAACGCAGTTTGTGGGAATGATTCTGTCTAGTTTTGAAAGGAAGATATTTCCTTTTCAGCCGTTGACCTTAAAGCGCTTGAAATCTACACTTGCAAATTGCACAAATAGGCTGTTTCAAATCTGCTCTGTCTAAGGGAACGTTCAACTCTGTGAGTTGAATGCACACAACACAAGGAAGTTAGTGGGAATTCTTCTGTCTAGCCTTACATGAAAAAAACCCGTTTCCAACGAAGGTCTCTAAGTGGTCAAATTATCCACGTGCAGACTTTACAAACAGAGTGTTTCCAAACTGCTGAATGAAAAGAAAAGTTGAACTCTGAGAGTTGAACGCACACATCGCAGAGCAGTTTCTGAGAATGATTCTGTCTAGTTTTTATACGAAGATATTTCCTTTTCTGCCTTTGGCCCGAAAGCGCTTGAAATCTCCACTTGCAAATTCCACAAAAACAGTGTTTCAAATCTGCTCTCTCTAAATGAAAGTTCAACTCTGTCAGTTGAATACACACAACACAAGGAAGTTACTGAGAATTACTCTGTCTAGCAGAATATGAAGAAATCCCGCTTCCAACGAAGGCCTCAAAGAAGTCTGAATATCCACTTGCAGACTTTACAAACAGAGTGTTTCCCAACTGCTCTATGAAAAGAAAGGTTGAACTCTGTGAGTTGAACGCACACATCACAAAGGAGTTTCTGAGAATAATTCTGTCTAGTTTTTATACGAAGATATTTCCTTTTCTACCATTGACCTCAAAGCGGCTGAAATCTCCACTTGCAAATTCCACAAAACGAGTGTTTCAAGTCCGCTCTGTGTAAAGGATCGTTCAACTCTGTGAGTTGAATACTCACAACACAAGGAAGTTACTGAGAATTCTTCTGTCTAGCAGAATAGGAAGAAATCCCGTTTCCAACGAAGGCCACAAGATGTCAGAATATCCACTTACAGACTTTACAAACAGAGTGTTTCCTAACTGCTCTATGAACAGAAAGGTTAAACTCTGTGAGTTGAGCGAACACATCACAACGCAGTTTGTGGGAATGATTCTGTCTAGTTTTGAAACGAAGATATTTCCTTTTCTGCCATTGACCTTAAAGCGCTTGAAATCTCCACTTGCCAATTGCACAAAAAGAGTGTTTCAAATCTGCTCTGTCTAAGGGAACGTTCAACTCTGTGAGTTGAATGTACACAACGCAAGGAAGTTACTGGGAATTCTACTGTCTAGCCTTACATGAAAAAAACACTTTTCCAACGAAGGCCTCAAACAAGTCCAAATATCCACGTGGAGACTTTACAAACAGAGTGTTTCCAAACTGCTGAATGAAAAGAAAAGTTAAACTCTGAGAGTTGAACGCACACATCACAGAGCAGTTTCTGAGAATGATTCTGTCTAGTTTTTATACGAAGATATTTCCTTTTCTGCCTTTGGCCTCAAAGCGCTTGAAATCTCCATTTACAAATTCCACAAAAAGAGTGTTTCAAATCTGCTCTGTGTAAATGAAAGTTCAACTCTGTGAGTTGAACACACACAACACAAGGAAGTTACTGGGAATTCTTCTGTCTAGCATAGTATGAAGAAATCCCGTTTCCAACGAAGGCCTCAAAGAGGTCTGAATATCCACTTGCAGACTTTACAAACGGAGTGTTTCCTAACTGCTCTATGAAAAGAAAGGTTAAACTCTGTGAGTTGAACGCACACATCACAAAGAAGTTTCTGAGAATCATTCTGTCTAGTTTTTATACGAAGATATTTCCTTTTCTACCATTGACCTCAATGCGGCTGAAATCTCCACTTGCAAATTCCACAAAAAGTGTGTTTAAAGTCCGCTCTGTGTAAAGGATCGTTCAACTCTGTGAGTTGAATACACACAACACAAGGAAGTTACTGAGAATTCTTCTGTCTAGCACAGTATGAAGAAATCCCGTTTCCAACGAAGGCCTCAAAGAGGTCTGAATATCCACTTGCAGACTTTACAAACAGAGTGTTTCCTAACTCCTCTATGAAAAGAAAGGTTAAACTCTGTGAGTTGAAAGCACACGTCACAATGAAGTTTCTGAGAATCATTCTGTCTAGTTTTGAAACGAAGATATTTCCTTTTCTGCCATTGACCTTAAAGCGCTTGAAATCTACACTTGCAAATTGCACAAATAGAGTGTTTCAAATCTGCTCTGTCTAAGGTACGTTCAACTCTGTGAGTTGAATGCACACAACACAAGGAAGTTACTGGGAATTCTTCTGTTTAACCTTACATGAAAAAAACCCGTTTCCAACGAAGGCCTCAAAGAAGTCCAAGTATCCACGTGCAGACTTTACAAACAGAGTGTTTCCTAACTGCTCCATGAAAAGAAAGGTTAAACTCTGTGAGTTCAACGCACACATCACAAAGGAGTTTCTGAGAATCATTCTGTCTAGTTTTTAAACGAAGATATTTCCTTTTCTGCCTTTGGCCTCAACGCGCTTGAAATCTCCACTTGCAAATTCCACAAAAAGAGTGTTTCAAATCTGCTCTGTGTAAATGAAAGTTCAACTCTGTGAGTTGAACACACACAACACAAGGAAGTTACTGGGAGTTCTTCTGTCTAGCATAATATGAAGAAATCCCGTTTCCAACGAAGGCCTCAAGGAGGTCTGAATATCCACTTGCAGACTTTACAAACAGAGTGTTTCCTAACTGCTCTATGAAAACAAAGGTTAAACTCTGTGAGTTGAACGCACACATCACAAAGGAGTTTCTGAGAATCATTTCTGTCTAGTTTCTATAGGAAGATATTTCCTATTCTACCATTGAACTCAAAGCGGCTGAAATCTCCACTTCCAAATTCCACAAAAAGAGTGTTTCAAGTCTGCTCTGTGTAAAGGATCATTCAACTCTGTGAGTTGAATACACACAACACAAGGAAGTTACTGAGAATTCTTCTGTCTAGCAGAATATGAAGAAATCCCGTTTCCAACGAAGGCCACAAGATGTCAGAATATCCACTTACAGACTTGACAAACAGAGTGTTTCCTAACTGCTCTATGAACACAAAGGTTAAACTCTGTGAGTTGAACGAACACATCACAACGCAGTTTGTGGGAATGATTCTGTCTAGTTTTTATTCGAAGATATTTCCTTTTCTACCATTGACCCCAAAGCGGCTGAAATCACCACTTGCCAATTGCACAAATAGAGTGTTTCAAATCTGCTCTGTCTAAGGGAACGTTCAACTCTGTGAGTTGAACACACACAACACAAGGAAGTTACTGGGAATTCTTCTGTCTAGCCTTACATGCAAAAAACCCGTTTCCAACGAAGGCCTCTAAGTGGTCAAAATATCCACGTGCATACTTTACAAACAGAGTGTTTCCAAACCGCTGAATGAAAAGAAAAGTTAAACTCTGAGAGTTGAACGCACACATCACGCAGCAGTTTCTGAGAATGATTCTGTCTAGTTTTGAAACGAAGATATTTCCTTTTCTGCCTTTGGCCTCAAAGCGCTGGAAATCTCCACTTGCAAATTCCACAAAAAGAGTGTTTCAAATCTGCTCTGTGTAAATGAAAGTTCAACTCTGTGAGTTGAACACACACAACACAAGGAAGTTACTGGGAATTCTTCTGTCTAGCATAATATGAAGAAATCCCGTTTCCAACGAAGGCCTCAAAGAGGTCTGAATATCCACTTGCAGACTTTGCAAAAAGAGTGTTTCCTAACTGCTCTATGAAAAGAAAAGTTAAACTCTGTGAGTTGAACGCACACATCACAAAGGAGTTTCTGAGAATCATTCTGTCTAGTCTTTATACGAAGATATTTCCTATTCTACCATTGACCTCAAAGCGGCTGAAATCTCCACTTGCAAATTCCACACAAAGAGTGTTTCAAGTCTGCTCTGTGTAAAGGATCGTTCAACTCTGTGAGTTGAATACACACAACACAAGGAAGTTACTGAGAATTCTTCTGTCTAGCAGAATATGAAGAAATCCCGTTTCCAAAGAAGGCTACAAGATGTCAGAATATCCACTTACAGACTTTACAAACAGAGTGTTTCCTAACTGCTCTATGAACAGAAAGGTTAAACTCTGTGAGTTGAACGAACACATCACAACGCAGTTTGTGGCAATGATTCTGTCTAGTTTTGAAACGATGATATTTCCTTTTCTGCCATTGACCTTAAAGCGCTTGAAATCTACACTTGCAAATTGCACAAATAGAGTGTTTCAAATCTGCTCTGTCTAAGGGAACGTTCAACTCTGTGAGTTGAATGCACACAACACAAGGAAGTTACTGGGAATTCTTCTGTCTAGCCTTACAGGAAAAAAACCCGTTTCCAACGAAGGCCTCTAAGTGGTCAAGTTATCCACGTGCAGACTTTACAACCAGAGTGTTTCCAAACTGCTGAATGAAAAGAAAAGTTAAACTCTGAGAGTTGAACGCACACATCGCAGAGCAGTTTCTGAGAATGATTCTCTGTCTAGTTTTTATACGAAGATATTTCCTTTTCTGCCTTTGGCCCCGAAGCGCTTGAAATCTCCACTTGCAAATTCCACAAAAACAGTGTTTCAAATCTGCTCTCTCTAAATGAAAGTTCAACTCTGTCAGTTGAATACATACAACAGAAGGAAGTTACTGAGAATTCTTCTGTCTAGCATAATATGAAGAAATCCCGTTTCCAACGAAGGCCTCAAAGGGGTCTGAATATCCACTTGCAGACTTTATAAACAGAGTGTTTACTAACTGCTCTATGAAAAGAAAGGTTAAACTCTGTGAGTTGAACGCACACATCACAAAGGATTTTGTGGGAATCATTCTGTCTAGTTTCTATGGGAAGATATTTCCTATTCTACCATTGACCTCAAAGCGGCTGAAATCTCCACTTGCAAATTCCACAAAAAGAGTGTTTCAAGTCTGCTCTCTGTAAAGGATCGTTCAACTCTGTGAGTTGAATACACACAACACAGGGAAGTTACTGAGAATTCTTCTGTCTAGCAGAATAGGAAGAAATCCCGTTTCCAACGAAGGCCACAAGATGTCAGAATATCCACTTACAGACTTTACAAACAGAGTGTTTCCTAACTGCTCTATGAACAGAAAGGTTAAACTCTGTGAGTTGAACGAACACATCACAACGCAGTTTGTGGGAATGATTCTGTCTAGTTTTGAAACGAAGATATTTCCTTTTCTGCCATTGACCTTAAAGCGCTTGAAATCTCCATTTGCCAATTGCACAAAAAGAGTGTTTCAAATCTGCTCTGTCTAAGGGAACGTTCAACTCTGTGAGTTGAATGTACACAAAACAAGGAAGTTACTGGGAATTCTTCTGTCTAGCCTTACATGAAAAAAACCCGTTTCCAACGAAGGCCTCTAAGTGGTCAAATTATCCACGTGCAGACTTTGCAAACAGAGTGTTTCCAAACTGCTAAATGAAAAGAAATGTTAAACTCTGAGAGTTGAACGCACACATCGCAGAGCAGTTTCTGAGAATGATTCTGTCTAGTTTTTATACGAAGATATTTCCTTTTCTACCATTGACCTCGAAGCGGCTGAAATCTCCACTTGCAAATTACACAAAAAGAGTGTTTCAAGTCTGCTCTGTGTAAACTATCGTTGAACTCTGTGAGTTGAATACACACAACACAAGGAAGTTTCTGAGAATTCTTCTGTATAGCAGAATATGAAGAAATCCCGTTTCCAACGAAATCCACAAAGATGTCTAAATATCCACTTGCAGACTTTACAAACAGAGTGTTTCCTAACTGCTCTATGAAAAGAAAGGTTAAACTCTGTGAGTTGAACGCACACATCACAAAGGAGTTTCTGAGAATCATTCTGTCTAGTTTCTATAGGAAGATATTTCCTATTCTACCATTGACCTCAAAGCGGCTGAAATCTCCAGTTGCAAATTCCACAAAAAGAGTGTTTCAAGTCTGCTCTGTGTAAAGGATCGTTCAACTCTGTGAGTTGAATACACAAAACACAAGGAAGTTACTGAGACTTCTTCTGTCTAGCAGAATATGAACAAATCCCGTTTCCAACGAAGGCCACAAGATGTCAGAATATCCACTTACAGACTTTACAAACAGAGTGTTTCCTAACTGCTCTATGAACAGAAAGGTTAAACTCTGTGAGTTGAACGAACACATCACAACGCAGTTTGTGGGAATGATTCTGTCTAGTTTTGAAACGAAGATATTTCCTTTTCTGCCGTTGACCTTAAAGAGCTTGAAAACTACACTTGCAAATTGCACAAATAGAGTGTTTCAAATCTGCTCTGTCTAAGGGAACGTTCAACTCTGTGAGTTGAATGCACACAACACAAGGAAGTTACTGGGAATTCTTCTGTCTAGCCTTACATGAAAAAATCCCGTTTCCAACGAAGGCCTCTAAGTGGTCAAAATTTCCACGTGCAGACTTTACAAACAGAGTGTTTCCAAACCGCTGAATGAAAAGAAAAGTTAAACTCTGAGAGTTGAACGCACACATCACGCAGCAGTTTCTGAGAATGATTCTGTCTAGTTTTTATAAGAAGATATTTCCTTTTCTGCCTTTGGCCTCACAGCGCTTGAAATCCCCACTTGCAAATTCCACAAAAAGAGTGTTTCAAATCTGCTCTGTGTAAATGAAAGTTCAACTCTGTGAGTTGAACACACACAACACAAGGAAGTTACTGGGAATTCTTCTGTCTAGCAGAATATGAAGAAATCCCGTTTCCAACGAAGGCCTCAAGGAGGTCTGAATATCCACTTGCAGACTTTACAAACAGAGTGTTTCTTAACTGCTCTATGAAAAGAAAGGTTAAACTCTGTGAGTTGAACACACACATCACAAAGGAGTTTCTGAGAATCATTCTGTCTATTTTCTATAGGAAGATATTTCCTATTCTACCATTGACCTCAAAGCGGCTGAAATCTCCACTTGCAAATTCCACAAAAAGAGTGTTTCAAGTCTGCTCTGTGTAAAGGATCGTTCAACTCTGTGAGTTGAATACACACAACACAAGGAATTTACTGAGAATTCTTCTGTCTAGCATAATATGAAGAAATCCCGTTTCCAACGAAGGCCTCAAAGAGGTCTGAATATCCACTTGCAGACTTTACAAACACAGTGTTTCCTAACTGCTCTATGAAAAGAAAAGTTAAACTCTGTGAGTTGAACGCACACATCACAAAGGAGTTTCTGAGAATCATTCTGTCTAGTTTCTATAGGAAGTTATTTCCTATTCTAACATTGACCTCAAAGCGGCTGAAATCTCCACTTGCAAATTCCACAAAAAGAGTGTTTAAAGTCTGCTCTCTGTAAAGGATCGTTCAGCTCTGTGAGTTGAATACACACAACAAAAGGAAGTTACTGAGAATTATTCTTTCTAGCAGAATATGAAGAAATCCCATTTCCAACGAAAGCCTCAAGGATGTCTGAATATCCACTTGCAGACTTTACAAACAGAGTGTTTCCCAACTGCTCTATGAAAAGAAAGGTTAAACTCTGTGAGTTGAACGCACACATCACAAAGGAGTTTCTGAGAATCATTCTGTCTAGTTTTTATACGAAGATATTTCCTTTTCTACCATTGACCGCAAAGCGGCTGAAATCTCCACCCTGCCAATTCCACAAAAAGAGTGTTTCAAATCTACTCTGTGTAAAGGATCGTTGAACTCTGTGAGTTGAAAACACACAACACAATGAAGTTTCTGAGAATTCTTCTGTATAGCAGAATATGAAGAAATCCCGTTTCCAACGAAGCCCTCAAGGAGGTCGGAATATCCATTTGCAGACTTTACAAACAGAGTGTTTCCTAACTGCTCTATGAAAAGAAAGGTTAAACTCTGTGAGTTGAACGCACACATCACAAAGGAGTTTCTGAGAATCATTCTGTCTAGTTTTGAAACGAAGATATTTCCTTTTCTGCCGTTGACCTTAAAGAGCTTGAAAACTACACTTGCAAATTGCACAAATAGAGTGTTTCAAATCTGCTCTGTCTAAGGGAACGTTCAACTCTGTGAGTTGAATGCACACAACACAAGGAAGTTACTGGGAATTCTTCTGTCTAGCATAATATGAAGAAATCCCGTTTCCAACGAAGGCCTCAAGGAGGTCTGAATATCCACTTGCAGACTTTATAAACAGAGTGTTTACTAACTGCTCTATGAAAAGAAAGGTTAAACTCTGTGAGTTGAACACACACATCACAAAGGAGTTTGTGAGAATCATTCTGTCTAGTTTTTATACGAAGATATTTCCTTTTCTGCCTTTGGCCCCAAAGCGCTTGAAATCTCCACTTGCAACTTCCACAAAAACAGTGTTTCAAATCTGCTCTCTCTAAATGAAAGTTCAACTCTGTCAGTTGAATACACACAACACAAGGAAGTTACTGAGAATTCCTTCTGTCTAGCATAATATGCAGAAATCCCTTTTCCAAAGAAGGCCTCAAGCAGGTCTGAATATCCACTTGCAGACTTTACAAACAGAGTGTTTCCTAACTGCTCTATGAAAAGAAAGGTTAAACTCTGTGAGTTGAACGCACACATCACAAAGGAGTTTATGAGAATCATTCTGTCTGGTTTCTATAGGAAGATATTTCCTATTCTACCATTGACCTCAAAGAGGCTGAAATCTCCACTTGCAAATTCCACAAAAAGAGTGTTTCAAGTCTGCTCTGTGTAAAGGATCGTTGAAATCTGTGAGTTGAATACACACAACACAATGAAGTTACTGAGAATTCTTCTGTCTAGCAGAATATGAAGAAATCCCCTTTCCAACGAAGGCCTCAAAGCGGTCTGAATATCCACTTGCAGACTTTACAAACAGAGTGTTCCCTAACTGCTCTATGAAAAGAAAGGTTAAACTCTGTGAGTTGAACGCACACATCACAAAGGAGTTTCTGAGAATCATTCTGTCTAGTTTTTATACGAAGATATTTCCTTTTCTACCATTGACCTCAACGCAGCTGAAATCTCCGCTTGCAAATTCCAGAAAAAGAGTGTTTCCTGTCCGCTCTGTGTAAAGGATCGTTCAACTCTGTGAGTTGAATACACACAACACAAGGAAAGTTACTGAGAATTCTTCTGTCTAGCAGAATATGAAGAAATCCCGTTTCCAACGAAAGCCTCAAAGATGTCTGAATATCCACTTGCAGACTTTACAAACAGAGAGTTTCCTAACTGCTCTATGAAAAGAAAGGTTAAACTCTGTGAGTTGAACGCACACAGCACAAAGGAGTTTCTGAGAATCATTCTGTCTAGTTTCTATAGGAAGATATTTCCTATTCTACCATTGACCTCAAAGCGGCTGAAATCTCCACTTGCAAATTCCACAAAAAGAGTGTTTCAAGTCTGCTCTGTGTAAAGGATCGTTCAACTCTGTGAGTTGAATACACACAACACAAGGAAGTTACTGAGAATTCGTCTGTCTAGCCTTATATGAAAAAAACCCGTTTCCAACGAAGGCCTCAAAGAGGTCTGAATATCCACTTGCAGACTTTACAAACAGAGTGTTTCCTAACTGCTCTATGAAAACAAAGGTTAAACTCTGTGAGTTGAACGTACACATCACAAAGTAGTTTCTGAGAATCATTCTGTCAAGTTTCTATAGGAAGATATTTCCTATTCTACCATTGACCTCAAAGCGGCTGAAATCTCCACTTGCAAATTCCACAAAAAGAGTGTTTCAAGTCTGCTCTCTGTAAAGGATCGTTCAACTCTGTGAGTTGAATACACACAACACAAGGAATTTTCTGAGAATTCTTCTGTCTAGCATAATATGAAGAAATCCCGTTTCCAACGAAGGCCTCAAAGAGGTCTGAATATCCACTTGCAGACTTTACAAACAGAGTGTTTCCTAACTGCTCTATGAAAAGAAAGTTTAAACTCTGTGAGTTGAACGCACACATCAGAAAGGAGTTTCTGAGAATCATTCTGTCTAGTTTTTATATGAAGATATTTCCTATTCTACCATTGAACTCAAAGCGGCTGAAATCTCCACTTGCAAATTCCACAAAAAGAGTGTCTCAAGTCTGCTCCGTGTAAACGATCGTTCAACTCTGTGAGTTGAATACACACAACACAAGGAAGTTTCTGAGAATTCTTCTGTCTAGCCTTACATGAAAAAAACCCGTTTCCAACGAAGGCCTCTAAGTGGTCAAATTATCCACGTGCAGACTTTACAAACAGAGTGTTTCCAAACTGCTGAATGAAAAGAAATGTTAAACTCTGAGAGTTGAACGCACACATCACAGAGCAGTTTCTGAGAATGATTCTGTCTAGTTTTTATACGGAGATATTTCCTTTTCTGCCTTTGGCCCCAAAGCGCTTGAAATCTCCACTTGCAAATTCCACAAAAACAGTGTTTCAAATCTGCTCTCTCTAAATGAAAGTTCAACTCTGTCAGTTGAATACACACAACACAAGGAAGTTACTGAGAATTCTTCTTTCTAACAGAATATGAAGAAATCCCGTTTCCAACGAAAGCCTCAAGGATGTCTGAATATCCACTTGCAGACTTTACAAACAGAGTGTTTCCTAACTGCTCTATGAAAAGAAAGGTTAAACTCTGTGAGTTGAACGCACACATCACAAAGGAGTTTCTGAGAATCATTCTGTCTAGTTTTTATAGGAAGATATTTCCTTTTCTACCTTTGACTTCAAAGCGGCTGAAATCTCCACTTGCAAATTCCACAAAAAGAGTGTTACAAGTCTGCTCTGTGTAGAGGATCGTTCAACTCTGTGAGTTGAATACACACAAGACAAGGAAGTTACTGAGAATTCTTCTGTCTAGCCTTATATGAAAAAAACCCGTTTCCAACGAAGGCCTCAAAGAGGTCTGAATATCCACTTGCAGACTTTACAAACAGAGTGTTTCCTAACTCCTCTATGAAAACAAAGGTTAAACTCTGTGAGTTGAACACACACATCTCAAAGGAGTTTCTGAGAATCATTCTGTCTTGTTTCTATACGAAGATTTTTCCTTTTCTACCATTGACCTCAAAGCGGCTGAAATCTCCACTTGCAAATTCCACAAAAAGAGTGTTTCAAGTCTCCTCTGTGTAAAGGATCGTTCAACTCTGTGAGTTGAATACACACAACACAAGGAAGTTACTGAGAATTCTTCTGTCTAGCAGAATATGAAGAAATCCCGTTTCCAACGAAGGCCACAAGATGTCTGAATATCCACTTACAGACTTTACAAACAGAGTGTTTCCTAACTGCTCTATGAACAGAAAGGTTAAACTCTGTGAGTTGAACGAACACATCACAACGCAGTTTGTGGGAATGATTCTGTCTAGTTTTGAAACCAAGATATTTCCTTTTCTGCCGTTGACCTTAAAGAGCTTGAAAACTACACTTGCAAATTGCACAAATAGAGTGTTTCAAATCTGCTCTGTCTAAGGGAACGTTCAACTCTGTGAGTTGAATGCACACAACACAAGGAAGTTACTGGGAATTCTTCTGTCTAGCCTTACATGAAAAAAACCCGTTTCCAACGAAGGCCTCTAAGTGGTCACAATTTCCACGTGCAGACTTTACAAACAGAGTGTTTCCAAACCGCTGAATGAAAAGAAAAGTTAAACTCTGAGAGTTGAACGCACACATCACGCAGCAGTTTCTGAGAATGATTCTGTCTAGTTTTTATACGAAGATATTTCCTTTTCTGCCTTTGGCCCCAAAGCGCTTGAAATCTCCACTTGCAAATTCCACAAAAACAGTGTTTCAAATCTGCTCTCTGTAAATGAAAGTTCAACTCTGTCACTTGAATACACACAACACAAGGAAGTTACTGAGAATTCTTCTGTATAGCAGAATATGAAGAAATCCCTTTTCCAAAGAAAGCCTCAAAGATGTCTGAATATCCACTTGCAGACTTTACAAACAGAGTGTTTCCTAACTGCTCTATGAAAAGAAAGGTTAAACTCTGTGAGTTGAACGCACACATCACAGAGGAGTTTCTGAGAATCATTCTGTCTAATTTCTATAGGAAGATATTTCCTTTTCTACCATTGACCTCAAAGCGGCTGAAATCTCCACTTGCAAATTCCACAACAAGAGTGTTTCAAGTCTGCTCTGTGTAAAGGATCGTTCAAATCTGTGAGTTGAATACACACAACACAAGGAAGTTACTGAGAATTCTTCTGTCTAGCATAATAGGAAGAAATCCCGTTTCCAACGAAGGCCTCAAGGAGGTCTGAATATCCACTTGCAGACTTTACAAACAGAGTGTTTCCTAACTGCTCTATGAAAAGAAAGGTTAAACTCCTGTGAGTTGAACGCACACATCACAAAGGAGTTTCTGAGAATCATTCTGTCTAGTTTTTATACGAAGATATTTCCTTTTCTACCATTGACCTCAAAGCAGCTGAAATCTCCACTTGCAAATTCCACAAAAAGAGTGTTTCAAATCTGCTCTCTGTAAACCATCGTTCAACTCTGTGAGTTGAATACACACAACACAAGGAAGATTCTGAGAATTCTTCTGTCTAGCAGAATATGAAGAAATCCCGTTTCCAACGAAGGCCACAAGATGTCAGAATATCCACTTACAGACTTTACAAACAGAGTGTTTCCTAACTGCTCTATGAACAGAAAAGTTAAACTCTGTGAGTTGAACGAACACATCACAACGCAGTTTGTGGGAATGATTCTGTCTAGTTTTGAAACGAAGATATTTCCTTTTCTGCCATTGACCTTAAAGCGCTTGAAATCTCCACTTGCCAGTTGCACAAAAAGAGTGTTTCAAATCTGCTCTGTCTAAGGGAACGTTCAACTCTGTGAGTTGAATGTACACAACACAAGGAAGTTACTGGGAATTCTTCTGTCTAGCCTTACAGGAAAAAACCCGTTTCCAACAAAGGCCTCTAAGTGGTCAAAATATCCACGTGCAGACTTTACAAACAGAGTGTTTCCAAACTGCTGAATGAAAAGAAAAGTTAAACTCTGAGAGTTGAACGCACACATCGCAGAGCAGTTTCTGAGAATAATTCTGTCTAGTTTTTATACGAAGATATTTCCTTTTCTGCCTTTGGCCTCAAAGCGCTTGAAATCTCCACTTGCAAATTCCACAAAAAGAGTGTTTCAAATCTGCTCTGTGTGAAGGAAAGTTCAACTCTGTGAGTTGAACACACACAACACAAGGAAGTTACTGGGAATTCTTCTCTCTAGCCTTATATGAAAAAAACCCGTTTCCAACGAAGGCCTCAAACAGGTCTGAATATCCACTTGCAGACTTTAGAAACAGAGTGTTTCCTAACTGCTCTATGAAAAGAAAGGTTAAACTCTGTGAGTTGAACGCACACATCACAAAGGAGTTTCTGAGAATCATTCTGTCTAGTTTCTATAAAAAGATATTTCCTATTCTACCATTGACCTCAAAGCGGCTGAAATCTCCACTTGCAAATTCGACAAAAAGAGTGTTTCAAGCCTGCTCTCTGTAAAGGATCCTTCAACTCTGTGAGTTGAATACACACAACACAAGGAAGTTACTGAGAATTATTCTGTCTAGCCTTACATGAAAAAAACCCGTTTCCAACGAAGGCCTCTAAGTGGTCAAATTATCCACGTGCAGACTTTACAAACAGAGTGTTTCCAAACTGCTGAATGAAAAGAAAAGTTAAACTCTGAGAGTTGAACGGACATATCACAGAGCAGTTTCTGAGAATGATTCTGTCTAGTTTTTATACGAAGATATTTCCTTTTCTGCCTTTGGCCTCAAAGCGCTTGAAATCTCCATTTGCAAATTCCACAAAAAGAGTGTTTCAAATCTGCTCTGTGTAAGTGAAAGTTCAACTCTGTGAGTTGAACACACACAACACAAGGAAGTTACTGGGAATTCTTCTGTCTAGCATAATATGAAGAAATCCCGTTTCCAACGAAGGCCTCAAGGAGGTCTGAATATCCACTTGCAGACTTTACAAACAGAGTGTTTCCTAACTGCTCTATGAAAAGAAAGGTTAAACTCTGTGAGTTGAACGCACACATTTCAAAGGAGTTTCTGAGAATCATTCTGTCTAGTTTTTCTACGAAGATATTTCCTTTTCTACTATTGACCTCAAAGCGGCTGAAATCTCCAATTGCAAATTCCACAAAAAGAGTGTTTCAAGTCTGCTCTGTTTAAAGGATCGTTCAACTCTGTGAGTTGAATACACACAACACAAGGAAGTTACTGAGAATTCTTCTGTCTAGCCTTACATGAAAAAAAACCCGTTTCCAACGAAGGCCTCTAAGTGGTCAAAATATCCACGTGCAGTCTTTACAAACAGAGTTTTTCCAAATCGCTGAATGAAAAGAAAAGTTAAACTCTGAGAGTTGAACGCACACATCACGCAGCAGTTTCTGAGAATGATTCTGTCTAGTTTTTATACGAAGATATTTCCTTTTCTGCTTTTGGCCTCAAAGCGCTTGAAATCTCCATTTGCAAATTCCACAAAAAGAGTGTTTCAAATCTGCTCTGTGTAAACGAAAGTTCAACTCTGTGAGTGGAACACACACAACACAAGGAAGTTACTGGGAATTCTTCTGTCTAGCCTTATATGGAAAAAACCCGTTTCCAACGAAGGCCTCAAAGAGGTCTGAATATCCACTTGCAGACTTTACAAACAGAGTGTTTCCTAACTGCTCTATGGAAAGAAAGGTTAAACTCTGTGAGTTGAACGCACACATCACAAAGGAGTTTCTGAGAATCATTCTGTCTAGTTTTTCTACGAAGATATTTCCTTTTCTACTATTGACCTCAAAGCGGCTGAAATCTCCACTTGCAAATTCCACAAAAAGAGTGTTTCAAGTCTGCTCTGTGTAAAGGATCGTTCAACTCTGTGAGTTGAATACACACAACACAAGGAAGTTACTGAGGATTCTTCTGTCTAGCATAATATGAAGAAATCCCGTTTCCAACGAAGACCTCAAAGAGGTCTGAATATCCACTTGCAGACTTTACAAACAGAGTGTTTCCTAACTGCTCTATGAGAAGAAAAGTTAAACTCTGTGAGTTGAAGGCACACATCACAAAAGATTTTCTGAGAATCATTCTGTCTAGTTTTTATACGAAGATATTTCCTTTTCTACCATGGACCTCAAAGCGGCTGAAATCTCCACTTGCAAATTCCACAAAAAGAGTGTTTCAAGTCTGCTCTGTGTAAAGGATCGTTCAACTCTGTGAGTTGAATACACACAACACAAGGAAGATTCTGAGAATCTTCTGTCTAGGAGAATATGAAGAAATCCCGTTTCCATCGAAGGCCAGAAGATGTCAGAATATCCACTTACAGACTTTACAAACAGAGTGTTTCCTAACTGCTCTATGAACAGAAAGGTTAAACTCTGTGAGTTGAACGAACACATCACAACGCAGTTTGTGGGAATGATTCTGTCTAGTTTTGAAACGAAGATATTTCCTTTTCTGCCATTGAACATAAAGCGCTTGAAATCTCCATTTGCCAATTGCACAAAAAGAGTGTTTCAAATCTGCTCTGTCTAAGGGAACGTTCAACTCTGTGAGTTGAATGTACACAACACAAGGAAGTTACTGGGAATTCTTCTGTCTAGCCTTACATGCAAAAAACCCGTTTCCAACGAAGGCCTCTAAGTGGTCAAAATATCCACGTGCAGACTTTACAAACAGAGTGTTTCCAAACCGCTGAATGAAAAGAAAAGTTAAACTCTGAGAGTTGAACGCACACATCACGCAGCAGTTTACTGAGAATGATTCTGTCTAGTTTTTATACGAAGATATTTCCTTTTCTGTCTTTGGCCTCAAAGCGCTTGAAATCTCCATTTGCAAATTCCACAAAAAGAGTGTTTCAAATCTGCTCTGTGTAAATGAAAGTTCAACTCTGTGAGTTGAACACATACAACACAAGGAAGTTACTGGGAATTCTTCTGTCTAGCAGAATATGAAGAAATCCCGTTTCCAACGAAGGCCTCAAGGATGTCTGAATATCCACTTGCAGACTTTACAAACAGAGTGTTTCCTAACTGCTCTATGAAAAGAAAGGTTAAACTCTGTGAGTTGAACGCACACATCACAAAGGAGTTTATGAGAATCATTCTGTCTAGTCTTTATACGAAGAAAGTTTCCTTTTCTACCATTGACCTCAAAGCGGCTGAAATCTCCACTTGCAAATTCCACAAAAAGAGTGTTTCAAGTCTGCTCTGTGTAAAGGATCGTTCAACTCTGTGAGTTGAATACACACAACACAAGGAAGTTACTGAGAATTCTTCTGTCTAGCCTTACATGAAAAAAACCCGTTTCCAACGAAGGCCTCTAAGTGGTCAAGTTATCCACGTGCAGACTTTACAAACAGAGTGTTTCCAAACTGCTGAAGGAAAAGAAAAGTTAAACTCTGAGAGTTGAACGCACACATCGCAGAGCAGTTTCTGAGAATGATTCTGTCTAGTTTTTATACAAAGATATTTCCTTTTCTGCCTTTGGCCTCAAAGCGCTTGAAATCTCCACTTGCAAATTCCACAAAAAGAGTGTTTCCAATCTGCTCTGTGTAAATGAAAGTTCAACTCTGTGAGTTGAACACACACAACACAAGGAAGTTACTGGGAATTCTTCTGTCTAGCAGAATATGAAGAAATCCCGTTTCCAACGAAGGACTCAAAGGGGTCTGAATATCCACTTGCAGACTTTACAAACAGAGTGTTTCCTAACTGCTCTATGAAAAGAAAGGTTAAACTCTGTGAGTTGAACGCACACATCACAAAGGAGTTTATGAGAATCATTCTGTCTAGTTTTTATAGGAAGTTATTTCCTTTTCTACCTTTGACTTCAAAGCGGCTGAAATCTCCACTTGCAAATTCCACAAAAAGAGTGTTACAAGTCTGCTCTGTGTAAAGGATCGTTCACCTCTGTGAGTTGAATACACACAACACAAGGAAGTTACTGAGAATTCTTCTGTCTAGCCTTACATGAAAAAAACCCGTTTCCAACGAAGGCCTCTAAGTGGTCAAATTATCCACGTGTAGACTTTACAAACAGAGTGTTTCCAAACTGCTGAATGAAAAGAAAAGTTAAACTCTGAGAGTTGAACGCACACATCGCAGAGCAGTTTCTGAGAATGATTCTGTCTAGTTTTTATACGAAGATATTTCCTTTTCTGCCTTTGGCCTCAAAGCGCTTGAAATCTCCACTTGCAAATTCCACAAAAAGAGTGTTTCAAATCTGCTCTGTGTAAATGAAAGTTCACCTCTGTGAGTTGAACACACACAACACAAGGAAGTTACTGGGAATTCTTCTGTCTAGCATAGTATGAAGAAATCCCGTTTCCAACGAAGGCCTCAAACAGGTCTGAATATCCACTTGCAGAGTTTACAAACAGAGGGTTTCCTAACTGCTCTATGAAAAGAAAGGTTAAACTCTGTGAGTTGAACGCACACATCACAAAGAAGTTTCTGAGAATCATTCTGTCTAGTCTTTATACGAAGATATTTACTTTTCTACCATTGACCTCAAAGCGGTTGAAATCTCCACTTGCAAATTCCACAAAAAGAGTGTTTCAAGTCTGCTCTGTGTAAAGGATCATTCAACTCTGTGAGTTGAATAAACACAACACAAGGAAGTTACTGAGAATTCTTCTGCCTAGCAGAATATGAAGAAATCCCGTTTCCAACGAAGGCCACAAGATGTCAGAATATCCACTTACAGAATTTACAAACAGACTGTTTCCTAACTGCTCTATGAAAAGAAAGGTTAAACTCTGTGAGTTGAACGAACACATCACAACGCAGTTTGTGGGAATGATTCTGTCTAGTTTTGAAACGAAGATATTTCCTTTTCTGCCGTTGACCTTATAGCGCTTGAAATCTACACTTGCAAATTGCACAAATAGAGTGTTTCAAATCTGCTCTGTCTAAGGGAACGTTCAACTCTGTGAGTTGAATGCACACAACACAAGGAAGTTACTGGGAATTCTTCTGTCTAGCCTTACATGAAAAAAACCCGTTTCCAACGAAGGCCTCTAAGTGGTCAAAATATCCACGTGCAGACTTTACAAACAGAGTGTTTCCAAACCGCTGAATGAAAAGAAAAGTTAAACTCTGAGAGTTGAACGCACACATCACGCTGCAGTTTCTGAGAATGATTCTGTCTAGTTTTTATACGAAGATATTTCCTTTTCTTCCTTTGGCCCCAAAGCGCTTGAAATCTCCACTTGCAAATTCCACAAAAACAGTGTTTCAAATCTGCTCTCTCTAAATGAAAGTTCAACTCTGTCAGTTGAATACACACAACAGAAGGAAGTTATTGAGAATTCTTCTGTCTAGCCTTATATGAAAAAAACCCGTTTCCAACGAAGGCCTCAAAGAGGTCTGAATATCCACTTGCAGACTTTACAAACAGAGTGATTCCTAACTGCTCTATGAAAAGAAAGGTTAAACTCTGTGAGTTGAACACACACATCACAAAGGAGTTTCCTGAGAATCATTCTGTCTAGTTTTTATACGAAGATATTTCCTTTTCTACCATTGACCTCAACGCAGCTGAAATCTCCGCTTGCAAATTCCAGAAAAAGAGTGTTTCCTGTCCGCTCTGTGTAAAGGATCGTTCAACTCTGTGAGTTGAATACACACAACACAAGGAAGTTACTGAGAATTCTTCTGTCTAGCACAGTATGAAGAAATCCCGTTTCCAACGAAGGCCTCAAAGAGGTCTGAATATCCACTTGCAGACTTTACAAACACAGTGTTTCCTAACTGCTCTATGAAAAGAAAGGTTAAACTCTGTGAGTTGAATGCACACATCACAAAGAAGTTTCTGAGAAACATTCTGTCTAGTTTTTTACGAAGATATTTCCTTTTCTGCCTTTGGCCCCAAAGCGCTTGAAATCTCCAATTGCAAATTCCACAAAAACAGTGTTTCAAATCTGCTCTCTCTAAATGAAAGTTCAACTCTGTCAGCTGAATACACACAACACAAGGAAGTTACTGAGAATTCTTCTGTCTAGCCGTATATGAAAAAAACCCGTTTCCAACGAAGGCCTCAAAGAGGTCTGAATATCCACTTGCAGACTTTACAAACAGAGTGTTTCCTAACTGCTCTATGAAAAGAAAGGTTAAACTCTGTGAGTTGAACGCACACATCACAAAGGAGTTTCTGAGAATCATTCTGTCTAGTTTTTATACGAAGATATTTCCTTTTCTACCATTGACCTCAACGCAGCTGAAATCTCCGCTTGCAAATTCCAGAAAAAGAGTGTTTCAAGTCTGCTCTGTGTAAAGGATCGTTCAACTCTGTGAGTTGAATACACACAACACAAGGAAAGTTACTGAGAATTCTTCTGTCTAGCATAGAATGAAGAAATCCCGTTTCCAACGAAGGCCTCAAAGAGGTCTGAATATCCACTTGCAGAGTTTACAAACAGAGTGTTTCCTAACTGCTCTATGAAAAGAAAGGTTAAACTCTGTGAGTTGAACGCACACATCACAAAGAAGTTTCTGAGAATCATTCTGTCTAGTTTTTATAGGAAGATATTTCCTTTTCTACCATGGACCTCAAAGCGGCTGAAATCTCCACTTGCAAATTCCACAAAAAGAGTGTTACAAGTCTGCTCTGTGTAAAGGATCGTTCAACTCTGTGAGTTGAATACACACAACACAAGGAAGTTACTGAGAATTCTTCTGTCTAGCAGAATATGAAGAAATCCCGTTTCCAACGAAGGCCACAAGATGTCAGAATATCCACTGACAGACTTTACAAACAGAGTGTTTCCTAACTGCTCTATGAACAGAAAGGTTAAACTCTGTGAGTTGAACGAACACATCACAACGCAGTTTGTGGGAATGATTCTGTCTAGTTTTGAAACGAAGATATTTCCTTTTCTGCCATTGAACTTAAAGCGCTTGAAATCTCCATTTGCCAATTGCACAAAAAGAGTGTTTCAAATCTGCTCTGTCTAAGGGAACGTTCAACTCTGTGAGTTGAATGTACACAACACAAGGAAGTTACTGGGAATTCTTCTGTCTAGCCTTACAGGAAAAAAACCCGTTTCCAACGAAGGCCTCTAAGTGGTCAAAATATCCACGTGCAGACTTTACAAACAGAGTGTTTCCAAACTGCTGAATGAAAAGAAAAGTTAAACTCTGAGAGTTGAACGCACACATCGCAGAGCAGTTTTCTGAGAATGATTTCTGTCTAGTTTCCATAGGAAGATATTTCCTATTCTACCATTGACCTCAAAGCGGCTGGAATCTCCACTTGCAAATTCCACAAAAGGAGTGTTTCAAGTCTGCTCTGAGTAAAGGATCGTTCAACTCTGTGAGTTGAATACACACAACACAAGGAAGTTTCTGAGAATTCTTCTGTCTAGCAGAATATGAAGAAATCCCGTTTCCAAAGAAAGCCTCAAAGATGTCTGAATATCCACTTGCAGACTTTACAAACAGAGTGTTTCCTAACTGCTCTATGAAAAGAACGGTTAAACTCTGTGAGTTGAACGCACACATCACAAAGGAGTTTCTGAGAATCATTCTGTCTAGTTTCTATAGGAAGATATTTCCTATTCTACCATTGACCTCAAAGCGGCTGAAATCTCCACTTGCAAATTCCACAAAAGGAGTGTTTCAAGTCTGCTCTGTGTACAGGATCGTTCAACTCTGTGAGTTGAATACACACAACACAAGGCAGTTACTGAGAATTCTTCTGTCTAGCCTTACATGAAAAAAACCCGTTTCCAACGAAGACCTCTAAGTGGTCAAAATATCCACGTGCAGACTTTACAAACAGAGTGTTTCCAAACCGCTGAATGAAAAGAAAAGTTAAACTCTGAGAGTTGAACGAACACATCACGCAGCAGTTTCTGAGAATGATTCTGTCTAGTTTTTATACGAAGATATTTCCTTTTCTACCATTGACCTAAAAGCGGCTGAAATCTCCACACTGCCAATTCCACAAAAAGAGTGTTTCAAGTCTACTCTGTGTAAAGGATCGTTGAACTCTGTGATTTGAAAACACACAACACAACGAAGTTTCTGAGAAATCTTCTGTCTAGCCTTATATGGAAAAAACCCGTTTCCAACGAAGGCCTCAAAGAGGTCTGAATATCCTCTTGCAGACTTTACAAACAGAGTGTTTCCTAACTGCTCTATGAAAAGAAAGGTTAAACTCTGTGAGTTGGACACACACATCACAAAGGAGTTTCTGAGAATCATTCTGTCTAGTCTTTATACGAAGATATTTCCTTTTCTACCATTGACCTCAAAGCGGCTGAAATCTCCACTTGCAAATTCCACAAAAAGAGTGTTTCAAGTCTGCTCTCTGAAAAGGATCGTTCAACTCTGTGAGTTCAATACACACAACACAAGGAAGTTACTGAGAATTCTTCTGTCTAGCAGAATATGAAGAAATCCCGTTTCCATCGAAGGCCTCTAAGAGGTCTGAATATCCACTTGCAGACTTTACAAACGGAGTGTTTCCTAACTGCTCTATGAAAAGAAAGGTTAAACTCTGTGAGTTGAACGCACACATCACAAAGGAGTTTCTGAGAATCATTCTGTCTAGTTTCTATAGGAAGATATTTCCTATTCTACCATTGAACTCAAAGCGGCTGAAATCTCCACTTGCAAATTCCACATAAAGAGTGTTTCAAGTCTGCTCTGTGTAAAGGATCATTCAACTCTGTGAGTTGAATACACACAACACAAGGAAAGTTACTGACAATTCTTCTGTCTAGCATAGTATGAAGAAATCCCGTTTGCAAAGAAGGCCTCAAAGAGGTCTGAATATCCACTTGCAGAGTTTACAAACAGAGTGTTTCCTAACTGCTCTATGAAAAGAAAGGTTTAAACTCTGTGAGTTGAACGCACACATCACAAAGAAGTTTCTGAGAATCATTCTGTCTAGTTTCTATAGGAAGATATTTCCTATTCTACCATTGACCTCAAAGCGGCTGAAATCTCCACTTGCAATTTCGACAAAAAGAGTGTTTCAAGCCTGCTCTGTGTAAAGGATCCTTCAACTCTGTGAGTTGAATACACACAAAACAAGGAACTTACTGAGAATTATTCTGTCTAGCCTTATATGAAAAAAACCCCTTTCCAACGAAGGCCTCAAAGAGGTCTGAACATCCACTTGCAGACTTTACAAACAGAGTGTTTCCTAACTGCTCTATGAAAAGAAAGGTTAAACTCTGTGAGTTGAACGCACACATCACAAAGGAGTTTCTGAGAATCATTCTGTCTAGTTGTTATACGAAGATATTTCCTTTTCTACCATTGACCTCAAAGCGGCTGAAATCTCCACTTGCAAATTCCACCAAATGAGTGTTTCAAATCTGCTCTGTGTAAACGATCGTTCAACTCTGTGAGTTGAATACACACAACACAAGGAAGATTCTGAGAATTCTTCTGTCTAGCACAGTATGAAGAAACCCGTTTCCAACGAAGGCCTCAAAGAGGTCTGAATATCCACTTGCAGAGTTTAAAAACACAGTGTTTCGTAACTGCTCTATGAAAAGAAAGGTTAAACTCTGTGAGTTGAACGCACACATCACAAAGGAGTTTCTGAGAATCATTCTGTCTAGTTTCTATACGAAGATATTTCCTTTTCTACTATTGACCTCAAAGCGGCTGAAATCTCCCCTTGCAAATTCCACAAAAAGAGTGTTTCAAGTCTGCTCTGTGTAAAGGATCGTTCAACTCTGTGAGTTGAATACACACAACGCAAGGAAGTTACTGAGAATTCTTCTGTCTAGCAGAATATTAAGAAATCCCGTTTCCAACGGAGGCCTCAAGGAGGTCTGAATATCCACTTGCAGACTTTACAAACAGAGTGTTTCCTAACTGCTCTATGAAAAGAAAGGTTAAACTCTGTGAGTTGAACGCACACATCACAAAGGAGTTTCTGAGAATCATTCTGCCTAGTTTTGAAACGAAGATATTTCCTTTTCTGCCATTGACCTTAAAGCGCTTGAAATCTACACTTGCAAATTGCACAAATAGAGTGTTTCAAATCTGCTCTGTCTAAGGGAACGTTCAACTCTGTGAGTTGAATGCACACAACACAAGGAAGTTACTGGGAATTCTTCTGTCTAGCCTTACATGAAAAAAACCCGTTTCCAACGAAGGCCTCTAAGTGGTCAAATTATCCACGTGCAGACTTTACAAACAGAGTGTTTCCAAACTGCTGAAGGAAAAGAAAAGTTAAACTCTGAGAGTTGAACACACACATCGCAGAGCAGTTTCTTAGAATGATTCTGTCTAGTTTTTATACGAAGCATACTTCCTTTTCTGCCTTTGGCCTCACAGCGCTTGAAATCTCCACTTGCAAATTCCACAAAAAGAGTGTTTCAAATCTGCTCTGTGTAAATGAAAGTTCAACTCTGTGAGTTGAACACACACAACACAAGGAAAGTTAGTGGGAATTCTTCTGTCTAGCATAATATGAAGAAATCCCGTTTCCAACGAAGGCCTCAAAGGGGTCTGAATATCCAATTGCAGACTTTATAAACAGAGTGTTTACTAACTGCTCTATGAAAAGAAAGGTTAAACTCTGTGAGTTGAACACACACATCACAAAGGAGTTTCTGAGAATCATTCTCTCTAGTCTTTATACGAAGATATTTCCTTTTCTACCATTGACTTCAAAGCGGCTGAAATCTCCACTTGCAAATTCCACAAAAAGAGTGTTTCAAGTCTGCTCTCTGTAAAGGATCTTTCAACTCTGTGAGTTGAATACACACAACACAAGGAAGTTACTGAGAATTCTTCTGTCTAGCAGAATATGAAGAAATCCAGTTTCCAACGAAAGCCTCAAAGAGGTCTGAATATCCACTTGCAGACTTTACAAACAGAGTGTTTCCTAACTGCTCTATGAAAAGAAAGGTTAAACTCTGTGAGTTGAACGCACACATCACAAAGGAGTTTCTGAGAATCATTCTGTCTAATTTTTATACGAAGATATTTCCTTTTCTACCATTGACCTCAAAGCGGCTGAAATCTCCACTTGCAAATTCCACAAAAAGAGTGTTTCAAATCTGCTCTGTGTAAAGGATCGTTCAACTCTGTGAGTTGAATACACACAATAAAAGGAAGTTACTGAGAATTCTTCTGTCTAGCATAATATGAAGAAATCCCGTTTCCAACGAAGGCCTCAAGGAGGTCTGAATATCCACTTGCAGACTTTACAAACAGAGTGTTTCCTAACTGCTCTATGAAAAGAAAGGTTAAACTCTGTGTGTTGAACGCACACATCACAAAGGAGTTTCTGAGAATCATTCTGTCTAGTTTTTATACGAAGATATTTCCTTTTCTACCATGGACCTCAAAGCGGCTGAAATCTCCACTTGCAAATTCCACAAAAAGAGTGTTTCAAGTCTGCTCTGTGTAAAGGATCGTTCAACTCTGTGAGTTGAATACGCACAACACAAGGAAGATTCTGAGAATTCTTCTGTCTAGCAGAATATGAAGAAATCCCGTTTCCAACGAAGGCCACAAGATATCAGAATATCCACTTACAGAATTGACAAACAGACTGTTTCCTAACTGCTCTATGAAAAGAAAGGTTAAACTCTGTGAGTTGAACGAACACATCACAACGCAGTTTGTGGGAATGATTCTGTCTAGTTTTGAAACGAAGATATTTCCTTTTCTGCCATTGACCTTAAAGCCCTTGAAATCTACACTTGCAAATTGCACAAATAGAGTGTTTCAAATCTGCTCTGTCTAAGGGAACGTTCATCTCTGTGAGTTGAATGCACACAACACAAGGAAGTTACTGGGAATTCTTCTGTCTAGCCTTAAATGAAAAAACCCCGTTTCCATCGAAGGCCTCTAAGTGGTCAAAATATCCACGTGCAGACTTTACAAACAGAGTGTTTCCAAACTACTGAATGAAAAGAAAAGTTAAACTCTGAGAGTTGAACGCACACATCACAGAGCAGTTTCTGACAATGATTCTGTCTAGTTTCTATAGGAAGATATTTCCTATTCCACCATTGACCTCAAAGCGGCTGAAATCTCCACTTGCAAATTCCACAAAAAGACTGTTTCAAGACTGTTCTGTGTAAAGGATCATTCAACTCTGTGAGTTGAATACACACAACACAAGGAAGTTACTGAGAATTCTTCTTTCTAGCAGAATATGAAGAAATCCCGTTTCCAACGAAAGCTTCAAGGATGTCTGAATATCCACTTGCATACTTTACAAAGAGAGTGTTTCCTAACTGCTCTATGAAAAGAAAGGTTAAACTCTGTGAGTTGAACGCACACATCACAAAGGAGTTTCTCAGAATCATTCTGTCTAGTCTTTATACGAAGATATTTCGTTTTCTACCATTGACCTCAAAGCGGCTGAAATCTCCACTTGCAAATTCCACAAAAAGAGTGTTTCAAGTCTGCTCTCTGTAAAGGATCGTTCAACTCTGTGAGTTGAATACACACAACACAAGGAAGTTACTGAGAATTATTCTGTCTAGCCTTACATGAAAAAAACCCGTTTCCAATGAAGGCCTCTAAGTGGTCAAATTATCCACGTGCAGACTTTACAAACAGAGTGTTTCCAAACTGCTGAATGAAAAGAAAACTTAAACTCTGAGAGTTGAACGCACACATCGCAGAGCAGTTTCTGAGAATGATTCTGTCTAGTTTTTATACGAAGATATTTCCTTTTCTGCCTTTGGCCCCAAAGCGCTTGAAGTCTCCACTTACAAATTCCACAAAAACAGTGTTTCAAATCTGCACTCTCTAAATGATAGTTCAACTCTGTCAGTTGAATACACACAACACAAGAAAGTTACTGAGAATTCTTCTGTCTAGCCTTATATGAAAAAAACCCGTTTCCAACGAAGGCCTCTAAGTGGTCAAATTATCCACGTGCAGACTTTACAAACAGAGTGTTTCCAAACTGCTGAATGAACAGAAAAGTTAAACTCTGAGAGTTGAACGCACACATCACAGAGCAGTTTCTGAGAATGATTCTGTCTAGTTTTTACATGAAGATATTTCCTTTTCTACCATTGACCCCAAAGCGGCTGAAATCTCCACTTACAAATTCCACAAAAAGAGTGTCTCAAGTCTGCTCTGTGTAAACGATCGTTAAACTCTGTGAGTTGAATACACACAACACAAGGAAGTTTCTGAGAATTCTTCTGTCTAGCATAGTATGAAGAAATCCCGTTTCCAACGAAGGCCTCAAAGAGGTCTGAATATCCACTTGCAGAGTTTACAAACAGAGTGTTTCCTAACTGCTCTATGAAAAGAAAGTTTAAACTCTGTGAGTTGAACGCACACATCACAAAGAAGGTTCTGAGAATCATTCTGTCTAGTTTTTCTACGAAGATATTTCCTTTTCTGCCTTTGGCCTCAAAGCGCTTGAAATCTCCACTTGCAAATTCCACAAAAAGAGTGTTTCAAATCTGCTCTGTGTAAAGGATCGTTCAACTCTGTGAGTTGAACACACACAACACAAGGAAGTTACTGGGAATTCTTCTGTCTAGCAGAATATGAAGAAATCCCGTTTCCAACGAAGGCTTCAAAGAGGTCTGAATATCCGCTTGCAGACTTTACAAACAGAGTGTTTCCTAACTGCTCTATGAAAAGAAAGTTTAAACTCTGTGAGTTGAGCGCACACATCACAAAGGAGTTTCTGAGAATCATTCTGTCTAGTTTTTATACGAAGATATTTCCTTTTCTACCATTGACCTCAACGCGGCTGAAATCTCCACTTGCAAATTCCACAAAAAGAGTGTTTCAAGTCCACTCTGTGTAAAGGATCGTTCAACTCTGTGAGTTGAATACACACAGCACAAGGAAGTTACTGAGAATTCTTCTGTCTAGCCTTACATGAAAAAAACCCGTTTCCAAGGAAGGCCTCTAAGTGGTCAAATTATCCACGTGCAGACTTTACAAACAGAGTGTTTCCAAACTGCTGAATGAAAAGCAAAGTTAAACTCTGAGAGTTGAACGCACACATCGCAGAGCAGTTTCTGAGAATGATTCTGTCTAGTTTTTATACGAAGATATTTCCTTTTCTGCCTTTGGCCTCAAAGCTCTTGAAATCTCCATTTGCAAATTCCACAAAAAGAGTGTTTCAAATCTGCTCTGTGTAAATGAAAGTTCAACTCTGTGAGTTGAACACACACAACACAAGGAAGTTACTGGGAATTCTTCTGTCTAGCATAATATGAAGAAATCCCGTTTCCAACGAAGGCCTCAAAGAGGTCTGAATATCCACTTGCAGACTTTACAAACGGAGTGTTTCCTAACTGCTCTATGAAAAGAAAAGTTAAACTCTGTGAGTTGAACGCACACATCACAAAGGAGTTTCTGAGAATCATTCTGTCTAGTCTTTATACGGAGATATTTCCTTTTCTACCGTTGACCTCAAAGCGGCTGAAATCTCCACTTGCAAATTCCACAAAAAGAGTGTTTAAAGTCTGCTCTGTGTAAAGGATCGTTCAACTCTGTGAGTTGAATACACACAACACAAGGAAGTTAGTGAGAATTCTTCTGTCTAGCATAATATGAAGAAATCCCGTTTCCAACGAAGGCCTCAAGGAGGTCTGAATATCCACTTGCAGGCTTTACAAACAGAGTGTTTCCTAACTGCTCTATGAAAAGAAAAGTTAAACTCTGTGAGTTGAACGCACACATCACAAAGTAGTTTCTCAGAATCATTCTGTCTAGTTTTTATACGAAGATATTTCCTTTTCTACCATTGACCTCAAAGCGGCTGAAATCTCCACTTGCAAATTCCACAAAAAGAGTGTTTCAAATCTGCTCTGTGTAAACCATCGTTCAACTCTGTGAGTTGAATACACACAACACAAGGAAGATTGTGAGAATTCTTCTGTCTAGCAGAATATGAAGAAATCCCGTTTCCAACGAAGGCCACAAGATGTCAGAATATCCACTTACAGACTTTACAAATAGAGTTTTTCCTAACTGCTCTATGAACAGAAAGGTTAAACTCTGTGAGTTGAACGAACACATCACAACGCAGTTTGTGGGAATGATTCTGTCTAGTTTTCAAACGAAGATATTTCCTTTTCTGCCATTGACCTTAAAGCGCTTGAAATCTCCATTTGCCAATTGCACAAAAAGAGTGTTTCAAATCTGCTCTGTCTAAGGGAACGTTCAACTCTGTGAGTTGAATGTACACAACACAAGGAAGTTACTGGGAATTCTTGTGTCTAGCCTTACATGAAAAAAACCCGTTTCCAACGAAGGCCTCTAAGTAGTCAAATTATCCACGTGCAGACTTTACAAACAGAGTGTTTCCAAACTGCTGAATGAAAAGAAAAGTTGAACTCGGAGAGTTGAACGCACACATCGCAGAGCAGTTTCTGAGAATGATTCTGTCTACTTTTTATACGAAGATATTTCGTTTTCTGCCTTTGGCCCCAAAGCACTTGAAATCTCCACTTGCAAATTCCACAAAAACAGTGTTTCAAATCTGCTCTCTCTAAATGAAAGTTCAACTCTGTCAGTTGAATACACACAACACAAGGGAAGTTACTGAGAATTCTTCTGTCTAGCCTTATATGAAAAAAACCCGTTTCCAACGAAGGCCTCAAAGAGGGCTGAATATCCACTTGCAGACTTTACAAGCAGAGTGTTTCCTAACTGCTCTATGAAAAGAAAGGTTAAACTCTGTGAGTTGAACGCACACATCACAAAGGAGTTTCTGAGAATCATTACTGTGTAGTTTTTATAGGAAGATATTTCCTTTTCTACCTTTGACTTCAAAGCGGCTGAAATCTCCACTTGCAAATTCCACAAAAAGAGTGTTACAAGTCTGCTCTGTGTAAAGGATCGTTCAACTCTGTGAGTTGAATACACACAACACAAGGAAGTTACTGAGAATTCTTTCTGTCTAGCCTTATATGAACAAAACCCGTTTCCAACGAACGCCTCAAAGAGGTCTCAATATCCACTTGCAGACTTTACAAACAGAGTGTTTCCTAACTGCTCTATGAAAAGAAAGGTTAAACTCTGTGAGTTGAACGTACACATCACAAAGGAGTTTCTGAGAATCATTCTGTCTAGTTTTTATACGAAGATATTTCCTTTTCTACCATGGACCTCAAAGCGGCTGAAATCTCCACTTGCAAATTCCACAAAAAGAGTGTTTCAAGTCTGCTCTGTGTAAAGGATCGTTCAACTCTGTGAGTTGAATACACACAACACAAGGAAGATTCTGAGATTTCTTCTGTCTAGCAGAATATGAAGAAATCCCGTTTCCAACGAAGGCCTCAAGGAGGTCTGAATATCCACTTGTAGACTTTACAAACAGAGTGTTTCCTAACTGCTCTATGAACAGAAAGGTTAAACTCTGTGAGTTGAACGAACACATCACAACGCAGTTTGTGGGAATGATTCTGTCTAGTTTTGAAACGAAGATATTTCCTTTTCTGCCATTGACCTTAAAGCACTTGAAATCTCCACTTGCCAATTGCACAAAAAGAGTGTTTCAAATCTGCTCTGTCTATGGGAACGTTCAACTCTGTGAGTTGAATGTACACAACACAAGGAAGTTACTGGGAATTCTTCTGTCTAGCCTTACAAGAAAAAAACCCGTTTCCAACGAAGGCCTCTAAATGGTGAAAATATCCACGTGCAGACTTTACAAACAGAGTGTTTCCAAACTGCTGAATGAAAAGAAAAGTTAAACTCTGAGAGTTGAACGCACACATCGCAGAGCAGTTTCTGAGAATGATTCTGTCTAGTTTTTATACGAAGATATTTCCATTTCTGCCTTTGGCCCCAAAGCGCTTGAAATCTCCACTTGCAAATTCCACAAAAACAGTGTTACAAATCTGCTCTCTCTAAATGAAAGTTCAACTCTGTCAGTTGATTACACACAACACAAGGAAGTTACTGAGAATTCTTCTGTCTAGCAGAATACGAAGAAATCCCGTTTCCAACGAAGGCCTCAAAGAGGTCTGACATATCCACTTGCAGACTTTACAAACAGAGTGTTTCCTAACTGCTCTATGAAAAGAAAAGTTAAACTCTGTGAGTTGAACGCACACATCACAAAGGAGTTTCTGAGAATCATTCTGTCTAGTTTTTATACGAAGATATTTCCTTTTCTACCATTGACCTCAACGCGGCTGAAATCTCCACTTGCAAATTCCACAAAAAGAGTGTTTCAAGTCTGCTCTGTGTAAAGGATCGTTCAACTCTGTGAGTTGAATACACACAACACAAGGAAGTTACTGAGAATCTTCTGTCTAGCCTTACATGAAAAAAACCAGTTTCCAACGAAGGCCTCTAAGTAGTCAAATTATCCACGTGCAGATTTTACAAACAGAGTGTTTCCAAACTGCTGAATGAAAAGAAAAGTTAAACTCTGAGAGTTAAACGCACACATCGCAGAGCAGTTTCTGAGAATGATTCTGTCTAGTTTTTATACGAAGATATTTCCTTTTCTGCCTTTGGCCTCAAAGCGCTTGAAATCTCCATTTGCAAATTCCACAAAAAGAGTGTATCAAATCTGCTCTGTGTAAATGAAAGTTCAACTCTGTGAGTTGAACACACACAACACAAGGAAGTTACTGGGAATTCTTCTGTCTAGCCTTATATGAAAAAAACCCGTTTCCAACGAAGGCCTCAAAGAGGTCTGAATATCCACTTGCAGACTTTACAAACAGAGTGTTTCCTAACTGCTCTATGAAAAGAAAGGTTAAACTCTGTGACTTGAACGCACACATCACAAAGGAGTTTCTGAGTATCATTCTGTCTAGTTTCTATAGGAAGATATTTCCTATTCTACCATTGACCTCAAAGCGGCTGAAATCTCAACTTGCAAATTCCACAAAAAGAGTGTTTCAAGTCTGCTCTCTGTAAAGGATCGTTCAACTCTGTGAGTTGAATACACACAACACAAGGTAGTTACTGAGAATTCTTCTGTCTAGCAGAATATGAGGAAATCCCGTTTCCAACGAAGGCCTCAAGGAGGTCTGAATATCCACTTGCAGACTTTACAAACAGAGTGTTTCCTAACTGCTCTATGAAAAGAAAGGTTAAACTCTGTGAGTTGAATGCACACATCACAAAGGAGTTTCTGAGAATCATTCTGTCTAGTTTCTATAGGAAGATATTTCCTATTCTACCATTGACCTCAAAGCGGCTGAAATCTCCACTTGCAAATTCCACCAAAAGGGTGTTTCAAGTCTGCTCTGTGTAAAGGATCGTTCAACTCTGTGAGTTGAATAGACACAACACAAGGAAGATACTGAGAATTCTTCTGTCTAGCATAATATGAAGAAATGCCGTTTCCAACGAAGGCCTCAAAGGGGTCTGAATATCCACTTGCAGACTTTATAAACGGAGTGTTTACTAACTGCTCTATGAAAAGAAAGGTTAAACTCTGTGAGTTGAACACACACATCACAAAGGAGTTTCTGAGAATCATTCTGTCTAGTCTTTATACGAAGATATTTCTTTTTCTACCATTGACCTCAAAGCGGCTAAAATCTCCACTTGCAAATTCCACAAAAAGAGTGTTTCAAGTCTGCTCTGTGTAAAGGATCGTTCAACTCTGTGAGTAGAATACACACAACACAAGGAAGTTACTGAGAATTCTTCTGTCTAGCCTTATATGAAAAAAACCCGTTTCCAACGAAGGCCTCAAAGAGGTCTGAATATCCACTTGCAGACTTTACAAACAGAGTGTTTCCTAACTGCTCTATGAAAAGAAAGGTTAAACTCTGTGAGTTCAACGCACACATCACAAAGGAGTTTCTGAGAATCATTCTGTCTAGTCTTTATACGAAGATATTTCCTTTTCTACCATTGACCACAAAGCGGCTGAAATCTCCACTTGCAAATTCCACAAAAAGAGTGTTTCAAGTCTGCTCTGTGTAAAGGATCATTCAACTCTGTGAGTTGAATACACACAACACAAGGAAGTTACTGAGAATTCTTCTGTCTAGCCTTATATGAAAAAAACCCGTTTCCAACGAAGGCCTCAAAGAGGTCTGAATATCCACTTGCAGACTTTACAAACAGAGTGTTTCCTAACTGCTCTATGAAAAGAAAGGTTAAACTGTGTGAGTTGAACACACACATCACAAAGGAGTTTCTGAGAATCATTCTGTCTAGTTTTTATAGGAAGATATTTCCTTTTCTACCTTTGACTTCAAATCTGCTGAAATCTCCACTTGCGAATTCCACAAAAAGAGTGTTACAAGTCTGCTCTGTGTAAAGGATCGTTCAACTCTGTGAGTTGAATACACACAACACAAGGAAGTTACTGAGAATTCTTCTGTCTAGCATAATATGAAGAAATCCCGTTTCCAACGAAGGCCTCAAGGAGGTCTGAAAATCCACTTGCACACTTTACAAACAGAGTGTTTCCTAACTGCTCTATGAAAAGAATGGTTAAACTCTGTGAGTTAAACGCAGACATCACAAAGGAGTTTCTGAGAATCACTCTGTCTAGTTTTTATACGAAGATATTTCCTTTTCTACCATTGACCTCAAAGCGGCTGAAATCTCCACTTGCAAATACCAGAAAAAGAGTGTTTCAAGTCTGCTCTGTGTAAAGGATCGTTGAAATCTGTGAGTTGAATACACACAACACAATGAAGTTACTGAGAATTCTTCTGTCTAGCACAGTATGAAGAAATCCCGTTTCCAGCGAAGGCCTCAAAGAGGTCTGAATATCCACTTGCAGAGTTTACAAACAGAGTGTTTCCTAACTGCTCTATGAAAAGAAAAGTTAAACTCTGTGAGTTGAACGCACACATCACAAAGAAGTTTCTGAGAATCATTCTGTCTAGTTTCTATAGGAAGATATTTCCTATTCTACCTTTGACCACAAAGCGGCTGAAATCTCCACTTGCAAATTCCACAAAAAGAGTGTTTCAAGTCTGCTCTGTGTAAAGGATCGTTGAACTCTGTGAGTTGAATACACACAACACAAGGAAGTTACTGAGAATTCTTCTGTCTAGCAGAATATGAAGAAATCCCGTTTCCAACGAAGGCCACAAGATGTCAGAATATCCACTTACAGACTTTACAAACAGAGTGTTTCCTAACTGCTCTATGAACAGAAAGGTTAAACTCTGTGAGTTGAACAAACACATCACAATGCAGTTTGTGGGAATGATTCTGTCTAGTTTTGAAACGACGATATTTCCTTTTCTGCCATTGACCTTAAAGCGCTTGAAATCTCCATTTGCCAATTGCACAAAAAGAGTGTTTCAAATCTGCTCTGTCTAAGGTAACGTTCAACTCTGTGAGTTGAATGTACACAACACAAGGAAGTTACTGGGAATTCTTCTGTCTAGCCTTACATGAAAAAAACCCGTTTCCAACGAAGGCCTCTAAGTGGTCAAGTTATCCACGTGTAGACTTTACAAACAGAGTGTTTCCAAACTGCTGAATGAAAAGAAAAGTTAAACTCTGAGAGTTGAACGCACACATCGCAGAGCAGTTTCTGAGAATGATTCTGTCTAGTTTTGAAACGAAGTTATTTCCTTTTCTGCCTTTGGCCTCAAAGCGCTTGAAATCTCCACTTGCAAATTCCACAAAAAGAGTGTTTCAAATCTTCTCTGTGTAAATGAAAGTTCAACTCTGTGACTTGAACACACACAACACAAGGAAGTTACTGGGAATTCTTCTGTCTAGCAGAATATGAAGAAATCCCGTTTCCAACGAAGGCCTCAAAGAGGTCTTAATATCCACTTGCAGACTTTACAAACTGAGTGTTTCCTAACTGCTCTATGAAAAGAAAGGTTAAACTCTGTGAGTTGAACGCACACATCCCAAAGGAGTTTCTGAGAATCATTCTGTCTAGTTTTTCTACGAAGATGTTTCCTTTTCTACTATTGACCTCAAAGCGGCTGAAATCTCCTATTGCAAATTCCACAAAAAGAGTGTTTCAAGTCTTCTCTGTGTAAAGGATCGTTCAACTCTGTGAGTTGAATACACACAACACAAGGAAGTTACTGAGAATTCTTCTGTCTAGCAGAATATGAAGAAATCCCGTTTCCAACGAAAGCCTCAAAGAGGTCTGAATATCCACTTGCAGACTTTACAAACAGAGTGTTTCCTAACTGCTCTATGAAAAGAAAGGTTAAACTCTGTGAGTTGAACGCACATATCACAAAGGAGTTTCTGAGAATCATTCTGTCTAGTTTCTATAGGAAGATATTTCCTATTCTACCATTGAACAAAAAGCGGCTGAAATCTCCACCTGCAAATTCCACAAAAAGAGTGTTTCAAGTCTGCTCTGTGTAAAGGATCGTTGAAATCTGTGAGTTGAATACACACAACACAAGGAAGTTACTGAGAATTCTTCTGTCTATCAGAATATGAAGAAATCCCGTTTCCAACGAAGGCCTCAAAGAGGTCTGAATATCCACTTGCAGACTTTACAAACAGAGTGTTTCCTAACTGTTCTATGAAAAGAAAAGTTAAACACTGTGAGTTGAACGCACACATCACAAAGGAGTTTCTGAGAATCATTCTGTCTAGTTTTTCTACGATGATATTTCCTATTCTACCATTGACCTCAAAGCGGCTGAAATCTCCACTTGCAAATTCCACAAAAAGAGTGTTTCAAGTCTGCTCTGTGTAAAGGATCGTTCAACTCTGTGAGTTGAATACACACAAAAAAAGGAAGTTACTGAGAATTCCTCTGTCTAGCAGAATATGAAAAAATCCCGTTTCCAACGAAGGCCACAAGATGTCAGAATATCCACTTACAGAATTGACAAACAGACTGTTTCCTAACTGCTCTATGAAAAGAAAGGTTAAACTCTGTGAGTTGAACGAACACATCACAACGCAGTTTGTGGGAATGATTCTGTCTAGTTTTGAAACGAAGATATTTCCTTTTCTGCCATTGACCTTAAAGCGCTTGAAATCTCCACTTGCCAATTGCACAAAAAGAGTGTTTCAAATCTGCTCTGTCTAAGGGAACGTTCAACTCTGTGAGTTGAATGTACACAACACAAAGAAGTTACTGCGAATTCTTCTGTCTAGCCTTACAAGAATAAAACCCGTTTCGAACGAAGGCCTCTAAGTGGTCAAAATATCCACGTGCAGACTTTACAAAGAGAGTGTTTCCAAACTGCTGAATGAAAAGAAAAATTAAACTCTGAGAGTTGAATGCACACATCGCAGAGCAGTTTCTGAGAATGATTCTGTCTAGTTTTTATACGAAGATAATTCCTTTTCTGCCTTTGGCCTCAAAGCGCATGAAATCTCCATTTGCAAATTCCACAAAAAGAGTGTTTCAAATCTGCTCTGTGTAAATGAAAGTTCAACTCTGTGAGTTGAACACACACAACACAAGGAAGTTACTGGGAATTCTTCTGTCTAGCATCATATGAAGAAATCCCCTTTCCAACGAAGGCCTCAAAGAGGTCTGTATATCCACTTGCAGACTTTACAAACAGAGTGTTTCCTAACTGCTCTATGAAAAGAAAGGTTAAACTGTGTGAGTTGAACGCACACATCACAAAGGAGTTTCTGAGAATCATTCTGTCTAGTTTCTATAGGAAGATATTTCTTATTCTACCATTGACCTCAAAGCGGCAGAAATCTCCACTTGCAAATTTCACAAAAAGAGTGTTTCAAGTCTGCTCTTTGTAAAGGATCGTTCAACACTGTGAGTTGAATACACACAACACAAGGAAGTTACTGAGAATTCTTCTGTCTAGCCTTACATGAAAAAAAACCCGTTTCCAACGAAGGCCTCTAAGTGGTCAAAATATCCACGTGCAGTCTTTACAAACAGAGTGTTTCCAAACCGCTGAATGAAAAGAAAAGTTAAACTCTGAGACTTGAACGCACACATCACGCAGCAGTTTACTGAGAATGATCTGTCTAGTTTTTATACGAAGATATTTCCTTTTCTGCCTTTGGCCTCAAAGCGCTTGAAATCTCCACTTGCAAATTCCACAAAAAGAGTGTTTCAAATCTGCTCTGTGTAAATGAAAGTTCAACTCTGTGAGTTGAACACACACAACACAAGGAAGTTACTGGGAATTCTTCTGTCTAGCATAGTATGAAGAAATCCCGTTTCCAACGAAGGCCTCAAAGAGGTCTGAATATCCACTTGCAGAGTTTACAAACAGAGTGTTTCCTAACTGCTCTATGAAAAGAAAGGTTAAACTCTGTGAGTTGAACGCACACATCACAAAGAAGTTTCTGAGAATCACTCTGTCTAGTTTTTATACGAAGATATTTCCTTTTCTACCATTGACCTCAAAGCGGCTGAAATCTCCACTTGCAAATTCCACCAAAAGAGTGTTTCAAATCTGCTCTGTGTAAACCATCGTTCAACTCTGTGAGTTGAATACACACAACACAAGGGAAGATTCTGAGAATTCTTCTGTCTAGCAGAATATGAAGAAATCCCGTTTCCAACGAAGTCCTCAAGGAGGTCTGAATACCCACTTGCAGACTTTACAAACAGAGTGTTTCCTAACTGCTCTATGAACAGAAAGGTTAAACTCTGTGAGTTGAACGAACACATCACAACGCAGTTTGTGGGAATGATTCTGTCTAGTTTTGAAACGAAGATATTTCCTTTTCTGCCATTGACCTTAAAGCGCTTGAAATCTACACTTGCAAATTGCACAAATAGAGTGTTTCAAATCTGCTCTGTCTAGGGGAACGTTCAACTCTGTGAGTTGAATGCACACAACACAAGGAAGTTACTGGGAATTCTTCTGTCTAGCCTTACATGAAAAAAACCCGTTTCCAACGAAGGCCTCTAAGGGGTCAAAATATCCTCGTGCAGACTTTACAAACAGAGTGTTTCCAACCCGCTGAATGAAAAGAAAAGTTAAACTCTGAGAGTTGAACGCACACATCACGCAGCAGTTTCTGAGAATGATTCTGTCTAGTTTTTATACGAAGATATTTCCTTTTCTGCCTTTGGCCCCAAAGCGCTTGAAATCTCCACTTGCAAATTCCACAAAAACAGTGTTTCAAATCAGCTCTCTCTAAATGAAAGTTCAACTGTGTCAGTTGAATACACACAACACAAGGAAGTTACTGAGAATTCTTCTGTCTAGCATAATATGAAGAAATCCCGTTTCCAACGAAGGCCTCAAAGAGGTCTGAATATCCACTTGCAGACTTTACAAACAGAGTGTTTCCTAACTGCTCTATGAAAAGAAAAGTTAAACTCTGTGAGTTGAACACACACATCACAAAGGATTTTCTGAGAATCATTCTGCCTAGTTTTTCTACGAAGATATTTCCTTTTCTACTATTGACCTCAAAGCGGCTGAAATCTCCACTTGCAAATTCCACAAAAAGAGTGTTTCAAGTCTGCTCTGTGTAAAGGATCGTTCAACTCTGTGAGTTGAATACACTCAACACAAGGAAGTTACTGAGAATTCTTCTGTATAGCAGAATATGAAGAAATCCCGTTTCCAACGAAGGCCACAAGATGTCACAATATCCACTTACAGAATTTACAAACAGACTGTTTCCTAACTCCTCTATGAAAACAAAGGTTAAACTCTGTGAGTTGAACGAACACATCACAACGCAGTTTGTGGGAATTATTCTGTCTAGTTTTTATAGGAAGATATTTCCTTTTCTACCTTTGACTTGAAAGCGGCTGAAATCTCCACTTGCAAATTCCACAAAAAGAGTGTTACAAGTCTGCTCTGTGTAAAGGATCGTTCAACTCTGTGAGGTGAATACACACAACACAAGGAAGTTACTGAGAATTCTCTGTCTAGCCTTACATGAAAAAAACCCGTTTCCAACGAAGGCCTCTAAGTGGTCAAGTTATCCACGTGCAGACTTTACAAACAGAGTGTTTCCAAACTGCTGAATGAAAAGAAAAGTTAAACTCTGAGAGTTGAACGCACACATCGCAGAGCAGTTTCTGAGAAGATTCTCTGTCTAGTTCCTATAGGAAGATATTTCCTATTCTACCATTGACCTCAAAGCGGCTGAAATCTCCACTTGCAAATTCCACAAAAAGAGTGTTTCAAGTCTGCACTGTGTAAAGGATCGTTCAACTCTTTGAGTTCAATACACACAACACAATGAAGTTTCTGAGAATTCTTCTGTCTAGCAGAATATGAAGAAATCCCGTTTCCAACGAAAGCCTCAAAGAGGTCTGAATATCCACTTGCAGACTTTACAAACAGAGTGTTTCCTAACTGCTCTATGAAAAGAAAGGTTAAACTCTGTGAGTTGAATGCACACATCATAAAGGAGTTTCTGAGAATCATTCTGTCTAGTTCTTATACGAAGATATTTCCTTTTCTACCATTGACCTCAAAGCGGCTGAAATCTCCACTTGCAAATTCCACAAAAAGAGTGTTTCAAGTCTGCTCTGTGTAAAGGATCGTTCAACTCTGTGAGTTGAATACACACAACACAAGGAAGTTACTGAGAATTCTTCTGTCTAGCAGAATATGAAGAAATCCCGTTTCCAACGAAGGCCACAAGATGTCAGAATATCCACTTACAGACTTTACAAACAGAGTGTTTCCTAACTGCTCTATGAACAGAAAGGTTAAACTCTGTGAGTTGAACGAATACATCACAACGCAGTTTGTGGGAATGATTCTGTCTAGTTTTGAAACGAAGATATTTCCTTTTCTGCCATTGACCTTAAAGCGCTTGAAATCTACACTTGCAAATTGCACAAATAGAGTGTTTCAAATCTGCTCTGTCTAAGGGAACGTTCAACTCTGTGAGTTGAATGCACACAACACAAGGAAGTTACTGGGAATTCTCTGTCTAGCCTTACAAGAAAAAAACCCGTTTCCAACGAAGGCCTCTAAATGGTCAAAATGTCCACGTGCAGACTTTACAAACAGAGTGTTTCCAAACTGCTGAATGAAAAGAAAAGTTAAACTCTGAGAGTTGAACGCACACATCGCAGAGCAGTTTCTGAGAATGATTCTGTCTAGTTTTTATACGAAGACATCTCCTTTTCTGCCTTTGGCCTCAAAGCGCTTGAAATCTCCACTTGCAAATTCCACAAAAAGAGTGTTTCAAATCTGCTCTGTGTAAATCAAAGTTTAACTCTGTGAGTTGAACACACACAACACAAGGAAGTTACTGGGAATTCTTCTGTCTAGCATAATATGAAGAAATCCCGTTTCCAACGAAGACCTCAAAGAGGTCTGAATATCCACTTGCACACTTTACAAACAGAGTGTTTCCTAACTGCTCTATGAGAAGAAAAGTTAAACTCTGTGAGTTGAACGCACACATCACAAAAGATTTTCTGAGAATCATTCTGTGTAGTCTTTATACGAAGATATTTCCTTTTCTACCATTGACCTCAAAGCGGCTGAAATCTCCACTTGCAAATTCCACAAAAAGTGTGTTTCAAGTCTGCTCTGTGTAAAGGATCGTTCAACTCTGTGAGTTGAATACACACAACACAAGGAAGTTACTGAGAATTCTTCTGTCTAGCAGAATATGAAGAAATCCCGTTTCCAGCGAAGGCCACAAGATGTCAGAATATCCACTTACAGACTTTACAAACAGAGTGTTTCCTAACTGCTCTATGAACAGAAAGGTTAAACTCTGTGTGTTGAACGCACACATCACAAAGGAGTTTATGGGAATCATTCTGTCTAGTTTTGAGACGAAGATATTTCCTTTTCTGCCATTGACCTTAAAGCGCTTGAAATCTACACTTGCAAATTGCACAAATAGAGTGTTTCAAATCGGCTCTGTCTAAGGGAACGTTCAACTCTGTGAGTTGAATGCACACAACACAAGGAAGTTACTGGGAATTCTTCTGTCTAGCCTTACAGGAAAAAAACCCGTTTCCAACGAAGGCCTGTAAGTGGTCAAAATATCCACGTGCAGACTTTACAAACAGAGTGTTTCCAAACTGCTGAATGAAAAGAAAAGTTAAACTCTGAGAGTTGAATGCACACATCGCAGAGCAGTTTCTGAGAATGATTCTGTCTAGTTTTTATACGAAGATATTTCCTTTTCTGCCTTTGGCCCCAAAGTGCTTGAAATCTCCACTTGCAAATTCCACAAAAACAGTGTTTCAAATCTGCTCTCTCTAAATGAAAGTTCAACTCTGTCAGTTGAATAAACACAACACAAGGAAGTTACTGAGAATTCTTCTGTCTAGCAGAATATGAAGAAATCCCGTTTCCAACGAAGGCCTCAAAGAGGTCTGAATATCCACTTGCAGACTTTACAAACAGAGTGTTTCCTAACTGCTCTATGAACAGAAAGGTTAAACTCTGTGAGGTGAACGCACACATCACAAAGGAGTTTCTGAGAATCATTCTGTCTAGTTTTTATAGGAAGATATTCCCTTTTCTACCTTTGACTTCAAAGCGGCTGAAATCTCCACTTGCAAATTCCACAAAAAGAGTGTTTCAAATCTGCTCTGTGTAAACAATCGTTCAACTGTGTGAGTTGAATACACACAACACAAGGAAGATTCTGAGAATTCTTCTGTCTAGCAGATTATGAAGAAATCCCGTTTCCAACGAAGGCCACAAGATGTCAGAATATCCACTTACAGAATTGACAAACAGACTGTTTCCTAACTGCTCTATGAAAAGAAAGGTTAAACTCTGTGAGTTGAACGAACACATCACAACGCAGTTTGTGCGAATGATTCTGTCTAGTTTTTATACGAAGATATTTCTTTTTCTACCATTGATCTCAAAGCGGCTGAAATCACCACTTGCCAATTGCACAAAAAGAGTGTTTCAAATCTGCTCTGTCTAAGGGAACGTTCAACTCTGTGAGTTGAATGTACACAACACAAGGAAGTTACTGGGAATTCTTCTGTCTAGCCTTACATGAAAAATCCCGTTTCCAACGAAGGCCTCTAAGTGGTCAAATTATCCACGTGCAGACTTTAAAAACAGAGTGTTTCCAAACTGCTGAATGAAAAGAAAAGTTAAACTCTGAGAGTTGAACGCACACATCACAGAGCAGTTTCTGAGAATGATTCTGTGTAGTTTTTATACGAAGATATTTCCTTTTCGGCCTTTGGCCTCAAAGCGCTTGAAATCTCCACTTGCAAATTCCACAAAAAGAGTGTTTCAAATCTGCTCTGTGTAAATGAAAGTTCAACTCTGTGAGTTGAACACACACATCACAAGGAAGTTACTGGGAATTCTTGTGTCTAGCATAATATGAAGAAATCCCGTTTCCAACGAAGGCCTCAAGGAGGTCTGAATATCCACTTGCAGACTTTACAAACAGAGTGTTTCCTAACTGCTCTATGGAAAGAAAGGTTAAACTCTGTGAGTTGAACGCACACATCACAAAGGAGTTTCTGAGAATCATTCTGTCTAGTTTTTATACGAAGATATTTCCTTTTCTACCATGGACCTCAAAGCGGCTGAAATCTCCACTTGGAAATTCCACAAAAAGAGTGTTTCAAGTCTGCTCTGTGTAAAGGATCGTTCAACTCTGTGAGTTGAATACACACAACACAAGGAAGATTCTGAGAATTCTTCTGTCTAGCAGAATATGAAGAAATCCCGTTTCCAACGAAGGCCTCAAGGATGTCTGAATATCCACTTGCAGACTTTACAAACAGAGTGTTTCCTAACTGCTCTATGAAAAGAAAGGTTAAACTCTGTGAATTGAACGCACACATCACAAAGGAGTTTATGAGAATCATTCTGTCTAGTCTTTATACGAAGATATTTCCTTTTCTACCATTGACCTCAAAGCGGCTGAAATCTCCACTTGCAAATTCCACAAAAAGAGTGTTTCAAGTCTGCTCTGTGTAAAGGATGGTTCAACTCTGTGAGTTGAATACACAGAACACAAGGAAGTTACTGAGAATTCTTATGTCTAGCAGAATATGAAGAAATCCCGTTTCCAACGAAGGTCACAAGATGTCAGAATATCCACTTAAAGAATTTACAAACAGACTGTTTCCTAACTGCTCTATGAAAAGAAAGGTTAAACTCTGTGAGTTGAACGAACACATCACAACGCAGTTTGTGGGAATGATTCTGTCTAGTTTTTATACGAAGATATTTCCTTTTCTACCATTGACCTCAAAGCGGCTGAAATCACCACTTGCCAATTGCACAAAAAGAGTGTTTCAAATCTGCTCTGTCTAAGGAAACGTTCAACTCTGTGAGTTGAATGTACACAACACAAGGAAGTTACTGGGAATTCTTCTGTCTAGCCTTACAGGAAAAAAACCCGTTTCCAACGAAGACCTCTAAGTGGTCAAAATATCCACGTGCAGACTTTACAAACAGAGTGTTTTCAAACTGCTGAATGAAAAGAAAAGTTAAACTCTGAGAGTTGAACGCACACATCGCAGAGCAGTTTCTGAGAATGATTCTGTCTAGTTTTGAAACGAAGATATTTCCTTTTCTGCCTTTGGCCTCAAAGCGCTTGAAATCTCCACTTGCAAATTCCATAAAAAGAGTGTTTCAAATCTGCTCTGTGTGAATGAAAGTTCAACTCTGTGAGTTGAATACACACAACACAAGGAAGTTACTGAGAATTCTTCTGTCTAGCAGAATATGAAGAAATCCCGTTTCCAACGAAAGCCTCAAAGATGTCTGAATATCCACTTGCAGACTTTACAAAGAGAGTGTTTCCTAACTGCTCTATGAAAAGAAAGGTTAAACTCTGTGAGTTGAACGCACACATCACAAAGGAGTTTCTGAGAATCATTCTGTCTAGTTTCTATAGGAAGATATTTCCTTTTCTACCATTGACCTCAAAGCGGCTGAAATCTCCACTTGTAAATTCCACAAAAACAGTGTTTCAATTCTGCTCTGTGTAAAGGATCGTTCAACTCTGTGAGTTGAATACACACAACACAAGGAAGTTACTGAGAATTCTTCTGTCTAGCCTTACATGAAAAAAACCCGTTTCCAACGAAGGCCTCTAAGTGGTCAAATTATCCACTTGCAGACTTTACAAACAGAGTGTTTCCAAACTGCTGAATGAAAAGAAAAGTTAAACTCTGAGAGTTGAACGCACACATCACAGAGCAGTTTCTGAGAATGATTCTGTCTAGTTTTTATACGAAGATATTTCCTTTTCTGCCTTTGGCCTCAAAGCGCTTGAAATCTCCAAATGCAAATTCCACAAAAAGAGTGTTTCAAATCTGCTCTGCGTAAATTAAAGTTCAACTCTGTGAGTTGAACACACACAACACAAGGAAGTTACTGGGAATTCTCCTTTCTAGCAGAATATGAAGAAATCCCGTTTCCAACGAAAGCCTCAAGGATGTCTGAATATCCACTTGCAGACTTTACAAACAGAGTGTTTCCCAACTGCTCTATGAAAAGAAAGGTTAAACTCTGTGAGTTGAACGCACACATCACAAAGGAGTTTCTGAGAATCATTCTGTCTAGTTTTTATACGAAGATATTTCCTTTTCTACCTTTGACCTCAAAGGGGCTGAAATCTCCACTTGCAAATTCCACAAAAAGAGTGTTTCTAGTCTGCTCTGTGTAAAGGATCGTTCAACTCTGTGAGTTGAATACACACAACACAAGGAAGTTACTGAGAATTCTTCTGTCTAGCCTTACATGAAAAAAACCCGTTTCCAACGAAGGCCTCTAAGTGGTCAAGTTATCCACGTGCAGACTTTACAAACAGAGTGTTTCCAAACTTATGAATGAAAAGAAAAGTTAAACTCTGAGAGTTGAACGCACACATCGCAGAGCAGTTTCTGAGAATGATTCTGTCTAGTTTTGAAACGAAGATATTTCCTTTTCTGCCTTTAGCCTCAAAGCGCTTGAAATCTCCACTTGCAAATTCCACAAAAACAGTGTTTCAAGTCTGCTCTGTGTAAAGGATCGTTCAACTCTGTGAGTTGAATACACACAACACAAGGAAGTTACTGAGAATACTTCTGTCTAGCACAGTAGGAAGAAATCCCGTTTCCAACGAAGGCCTCAAAGAGGTCTGAATATCCACTTGCAGACTTTACAAACAGAGTGTTTCCTAACTGCTCTATGAAAAGAAAGGTTAAACTCTGTGAGTTGAACGCACACGTCACAATGAAGTTTCTGAGAATCATTCTGTCTAGTTTTTATACGAAGATATTTCCTTTTCTACCATTGACCTCAAAGCGGCTGAAATCACCACTTGCCAATTGCACAAAAAGAGTGTTTCAAATCTGCTCTGTCTAAGGGAACGTTCAACTCTGTGAGTTGAATGTACACAACACATGGAAGTTCCTGGGAATTCTTCTGTCTAGCCTTACAAGAAAAAAACCCGTTTCCAACGAAGGCCTCTAAGTGGTCAAAATATCCACGCGCAGACTTTACAAACAGAGTGTTTCCAAACTGCTGAATGAAAAGAAAAGTTAAACTCTGAGAGTTGAACGCACACATCGCAGAGCACTTTCTGAGAATGATTCTGTCTAGTTTTGAAACGAAGATATTTCCTTTTCTGCCTTTGGCCTCAAAGCGCTTGAAATCTCCACTTGCAAATTCCACAAAAAGAGTGTTTCAAATCTGCTCTGTGTAAATGAAAGTTCAACTCTGTGAGTTGAACGCACACAACACAAGGAAGTTACTGGGAATTCTTCTCTCTAGCCTTATATGAAAAAAACCCGTTTCCAACGAAGGCCTCAAAGAGGTCTGAATATCCACTTGCAGACTTTAGAAACAGAGTGTTTCCTAACTGCTCTATGAAAAGAAAGGTGAAACTCTGTGAGTTGAACGCACACATCACAAAGGAGTTTCTGAGAATCATTCTGTCTAGTTTTTATACGAAGATATTTCCTTTTCTACCATTGACCTCAAGTCGGCTGAAATCTCCACTTGCAAATTCCACAAAAAGAGTGTTTGAAGTCTGCTCTGTGTAAATGATCATTGAACTCTGTGAGTTGAATACACACAACACAAGGAAGTTACTGAGAATTCTTCTGTCTAGCATAATATGAAGAAATCCCGTTTCCAACGAAGGCCTCAAAGAGGTCTGAATATCCACTTGCAGACTTTACAAACAGAATGTTTCCTAACTGCTCTATGAGAAGAAAGGTTAAACTCTGTGAGTTGAACGCACACATCACAAAGGAGTTTCTGAGAATCATTCTGTCTAGTTTTTATAAGAAGATATTTCCTTTTCTACCATTGACCTCAAGTCGGCTGAAATCTCCACTTGCAAATTCCACAAAAAGAGTGTTTCAAGTCTGCTCTGTGTAAAGGATCGTTGAACTCTGTGAGTTGAATACACACAACACAAGGAAGTTACTGAGAATTCTTCTGTCTAGCAGAATATGAAGAAATCCCGTTTCCAAAGAAGGCCACAAGATGTCAGAATATCCACTTACAGAATTTACAAACAGACTGTTTCCTAACTGCTCTATGAAAAGAAAGGTTAAACTCTGTGAGTTGAACGAACACCTCACAACGCAGTTTGTGGGAATGATTCTGTCTAGTTTTGAAACGAAGATATTTCCTTTTCTGCCATTGACCTTAAAGCGCTTGAAATCTCCACTTGCCAATTGCACAAAAAGAGTGTTTCAAATCTGCTCTGTCTAAGGGAACGTTCAACTCTGTGAGTTCAATGTACACAACACAAGGAAGTTACTGGGAATTCTTCTGTCTAGCCTCACATGAAAAAAACCCTTTTCCAATGAAGGCCTCTAAGTGGTCAAATTATCCACGTGCAGACTTTACAAACAGAGTGTTTCCAAACTGCTGAATGAAAAGAAAAGTTAAACTCTGAGAGTTGAACGCACACATCACAGAGCAGTTTCTGAGAATGATTCTGTCTAGTTTCTATAGGAAGATATTTCCTATTCTACCATTGACCTCATAGCGGCTGAAATCTCCACTTACAAATTCCACAAACAGAGTGTCTCAAGTCTGCTCTGTGTAAACGATCGTTCAACTCTGTGAGTTGAATACACACAACACAAGGAAGTTTCTGAGAATTCTTCTGTATAGCAGAATATGAAGAAATCCCGTTTCCAACGAAAGCCTCAAAGATATCTGAATATCCACTTGCAATCTTACAAACAGAGTGTTTCCTAACTGCTCTATGAAAAGAAAGGTTAAACTCTGTGAGTTGAACGCCCACATCACAAAGGAGTTTCTGAGAATCATTCTGTCTAGTTTTTATACGAAGATATCTCCTTTTCTAACATTGACCTCAAAGCGGCTGAAATCTCCACTTGCAAATTCCACAAAAAGAGTGTTTTAAGTCTGCTCTGTGTAAAGGATCGTTCAACTCTGTGAGTTGAATACACACAACACAAGGAAGTTACTGAGAATCCTTCTGTCTAGCAGAACATGAAGAAATCCCGCTTCCAACGAAGGCCTCAAAGAAGTCTGAATATCCACTTGCAGACTTTACAAACAGAGGGTTTCCCAACTGCTCTATGAAAAGAAAGGTTGAACTCTGTGAGTTGAACGCACACATCACAAAGGAGTTTCTGAGAATCATTCTGTCTAGTCTTTATACGAAGATATTTACTTTTCTACCATTGACCGCAAAGCGGCTGAAATCTCCACTTGCAAATTCCACAAAAAGAGTGTTTCAAGTCTGCTCTGTGTAAAGGATCATTCAGCTCTGTGAGTTGAATAAACACAACACAAGGAAGTTACTGAGAATTCTTCTGTCTAGCACAGTATGGAGAAATCCCGTTTCCAACGAAGGCCTCAAAGAGGTCTGAATATCCACTTGCAGAGTTTACAAACAGACTGTTTCCTAACTGCTCTATGAAAAGAAAGGTTAAACTCTGTGAGTTGAACGAACACATCACAACGCAGTTTGTGGGAATGATTCTGTCTAGTTTTGAAACGAAGATATTTCCTTTTCTACCATTGACCTTAAAGCGCTTGAAATCTACACTTGCAAATTGCACAAATAGAGTGTTTCAAATCTGCTCTGTCTAAGGGAACGTTCAACTCTGTGAGTTGAATGCACACAACACAAGGAAGTTACTGGGAATTCTTCTGTCTAGCCTTACATGAAAAAAAACCCGTTTCCAACGAAGGCCTCTAAGTGGTCAAAATATCCACGTGCAGTCTTTACAAACAGAGTGTTTCCAAACCGCTGAATGAAAAGAAAAGTTAAACTCGGAGAGTTGAACGCACACATCACGCAGCAGTTTCTGAGAATGATTCTGTCTAGTTTTTATACGAAGATATTTCCTTTTCTGCCTTTGGACTCAAAGCGCTTGAAATCTCTACTTGCAAATTCCACAAAAAGAGTGTTTCAAATCTGCTCTGTCTAAATGAAAGTTCAACTCTGTCAGTTGAATACACACAACACAAGGAAGTTACTGAGAATTCTTGTGTCTAGCATAGTATGAAGAAATCCCGTTTCCAACGAAGGCCTCAAAGAGGTCTGAATATCCACTTGCAGAGTTTACAAGCAGAGTGTTTCCTAACTGCTCTATGAAAAGAAAGGTTAAACTCTGTGAGTTGAACGCACACATCACAAAGAAGTTTCTGAGAATCATTCTGTCTAGTTTTTCTACGAAGATATTTCCTTTTCTACCATTGACCTCAAAGCAGCTGAAATCTCCACTTGCAAATTCCACAAAAAGAGTGTTTCAAGTCTGCTCTCTGTAAAGGATCGTTCAAATCTGTGAGTTGAATACACACAACACAAGGGAAGTTACTGAGAATTCTTCTGTCTAGCAGAATATGAAGAAATCCTGTTTCCAACGAAGGCCTCAAGGAGGTCTGAATATCCACTTGCAGACTTTACAAACAGAGTGTTTCCTAACTGCTCTATGAAAAGAAAGGTTAAACTCTGTGAGTTGAACGCACACATCACAAAGGACTTTCTGAGAATCATTCTGTCTAGTTTCTATAGGAAGATATTTCCTATTCTACCATTGACCTCAAAGCAGCTGAAATCTCCACTTGCAAATTCCACAAAAAGAATGTTTCAAGTCTGCTCTGTGTAAAGGATCGTTCAACTCTGGGAGTTGAATACACACAACACAAGGAAGTTACTGAGAATTATACTTTCTAGCAGAAAATGAAGAAATCCCGTTTCCAACGAAGGCCACAAGATGTCAGAATATCCACTTACAGACTTTACAAACACAGTGTTTCCTAACTGCTCTATGAACAGAAAGGTTAAACTCTGTGAGTTGAACGAACACATCACAACGCAGTTTGTGGGAATGATTCTGTCTAGTTTTTATACGAAGATATTCCCTTTTCTACCATTGACCTCAAAGCAGCTGAAATCACCACTTGCCAATTGCACAAAAAGAGTGTTTCAAATCTGCTCTGTCTAAGGGAACGTTCAGCTCTGTGAGTTGAATGTACACAACACAAGGAAGTTACTGGGAATTCTTCTGTCTATCCTTACATGAAAAAAACCCGTTTCCAACGAAGACCTCTAAGTGGTGAAATTATCCACGTGCAGACTTTACAAACAGAGTGTTTCCAAACTGCTGAATGAAAAGAAAAGTTAAACTCTGAGAGTTGAACGCACACATCGCAGAGCAGTTTCTGAGAATGATTCTGTCTAGTTTTTATACGAAGATATTTCCTTTTCTGCCTTTGGCCTCAAAGCGCTTGAAACCTCCACTTGCAAATTCCACAAAAAGAGTGTTTCAAATCTGCTCTGTGTAAATGAAAGTTCAACTCTGTGAGTTGAACACACACAACACAAGGAAGTTACTGGGAATTCTTCTTTCTAGCAGAATATGAAGAAATCCCGTTTCCAACGAAAGCCTCAAGGATGTCTGAATATCCACTTGCAGACTTTACAAACAGAGTGTATCCTAACTGCTCTATGAAAAGAAAGGTTAAACTCTGTGAGTTGATCGCACACATCACAAAGGAGTTTCTGAGAATCATTCTGTCTAGTCTTTATACGAAGATATTTACTTTTCTACCGTTGACCTCAAAGCGGCTGAAATCTCCACTTGCAATTTCCACAAAAAGAGTGTTTCAAGTCTGCTCTGTGTAAAGGATCATTCAACTCTGTGAGTTGAATAAACACAACACAAGGAAGTTACTGAGAATTCTTCTGTCTAGCAGAATATGAAGAAATCCCGTTTCCAACGAAGGCCACAAGATGTCAGAATATCCACTTACAGAATTTACAAACAGACTGTTTCCTAACTGCTCTATGAAAAGAAAGGTTAAACTCTGTAAGTTGAGCGAACACATCACAACGCAGTTTGTGGGAATGATTCTGTCTAGTTTTGAAATGAAGATATTTCCTTTTCTGCCGTTGACCTTAAAGCGCTTGAAATCTATACTTGCAAATTGCACAAATAGAGTGTTTCAAATCTGCTCTGTCTAAGGGAACGTTCAACTCTGTGAGTTGAATGCACACAACAGAAGGAAGTTACTGGGAATTCTTCTGTCTAGCCTTACATGAAAAAAAACCCGTTTCCAACGAAGGCCTCTAAGTGGTCAAATTATCCACGTGCAGACTTTACAAACAGAGTGTTTCCAAACCGCTGAATGAAAAGAAAAGTTAAACTCTGAGAGTTGAACGCACACATCACGCAGCAGTTTCTGAGAATGATTCTGTCTAGTTTTTATACGAAGATATTTCCTTTTCTGCCTTTGGCCCCAAAGCCCTTGAAATCTCCACTTGCAAATTCCACAAAAACAGAGTTTCAAATCTGCTCTCTCTAAATGAAAGTTCAACTCTGTCAGTTGAATACACACAACACAAGGAAGTTACTGAGAATTCTTCTGTCTAGCCTTATATGAAAAAAACCCGTTTCCAACGAAGGCCTCAAAGAGGTCTGAATATCCACTTGCAGACTTTCCAAACAGAGTGTTTCCTAACTGCTCTATGAAAAGAAATGTTAAACTCTGTGAGTTGAACACACACATCACAAAGGAGTTTCTGAGAATCATTCTGTCTAGTTTTTATAGGAAGATAATTCCTTTTCTACCTTTGACTTCAAAGCGGCTGAAATCTCCACTTGCAAATTCCACAAAAAGAGTGTTACAAGTCTGCTCTGTGTAAAGGATCGTTCAACTCTGTGAGTTGAATACACACAACACAAGGAAGTTACTGAGAATTCTTCTGTCTAGCCTTACATGAAAAAAACCCGTTTCCAACGAAGGCCTCTAAGTGGTCAAAATTTCCACGTGCAGACTTTACAAACAGAGTGTTTCCAAACCGCTGAATGAAAAGAAATGTTAAACTCTGAGAGTTGAACGCACACATCACGCAGCAGTTTCTGAGAATGATTCTGTCTAGTTTTTATACGAAGATATTTCCTTTTCTGCCTTTGGCCTCAAAGCGCTTGAAATCTCCACTTGCAAATTCCACAAAAAGAGTGTTTCAAATCTGCTCTGTGTAAACGAAAGTTCAACTCTGTGAGTGGAACACACACAACACAAGGAAGTTACTGGGAATTCTTCTCTCTAGCCTTATATGAAAAAAACCCGTTTCCAACGAAGGCCTCAAAGAGGTCTGAATATCCACTTGCAGACTTTAGAAACAGAGTGTTTCCTAACTGCTCTATGAAAAGAAAGGTTAAACTCTGTGAGTTGAACGCACACATCACAAAGGAGTTTCTGAGAATCACTCTGTCTAGTTTGTATAGGAAGATATTTCCTATTCTACCATTGACCTCAAAGCGGCTGAAATCTCCACTTGCAAATTCCACCAAAAGAATGTTTCAAGTCTGCTCTGTGTAAAGGATCGTTCAACTCTGTGAGTTGAATACACACAACACAAGGAAGTTACTGAGAATTCTTCTGTCTAGCCTTACATGAAAAAAACCCGTTTCCAACGAAGGCCTCTAAGTGGTCAAATTATCCACGTGCAGACTTTACAAACAGAGTGTTTCCAAACTGCTGAATGAAAAGAAAAGTTAAACTCTGAGAGTTAAACGCACACATCGCAGAGCAGTTTCTGAGAATGATTCTGTCAAGTTTTTATACGAAGATATTTCCTTTTCTGCCTTTGGCCTCAAAGCGCTTGAAATCTCCATTTGCAAATTCCACAAAAAGAGTGTTTCAAATCTGCTCTGTGTAAATGAAAGTTCAACTCTGTGAGTTGAAGACACACAACACAAGGAAGTTACTGGGAATTCTTCTGTCTAGCAGAATATGAAGAAATCCCGTTTCCAACGAAGGCCTCAAAGAGGTCTGAATATCCACTTGCAGACTTTACAAACAGAGTGTTTCCTAACTGCTCTATGAAAAGAAAGGTTAAACTCTGTGACTTGAACGCACACATCACAAAGGAGTTTCTGAGAATCATTTCTGTCTAGTTTTTATACGAAGATATTTCCTATTCTACCATTGACCTCAAAGCGGCTGAAATCTCCACTTGCAAATTCCACAAAAAGAGTGTTTCAAGTCTGCTCTGTGTAAAGGATCGTTGAACTCTGTGAGTTGAATACACACAACGCAAGGAAGTTTCTCAGAATACTTCTCTCTAGCAGAATATGAAGAAATCCCGTTTCCAATGAAGGCCACAAAGAGGTCTGAATATCCACTTGCAGACTTTACAAACAGAGTGTTTCCTAACTGCTCTATGAAAAGAAAGGTTAAACTCTGTGAGTTGAACGCCCACATCACAAAGGAGTTTCTGAGAATCATTCTGTCTAGTTTTTATACGAAGATATTTCCTTTTCTGCCTTTGGCCCCAAAGCGCTTGAAATCTCCACTTGCAAATTCCACAAAAACAGTGTTTCAAATCTGCTCTCTCTAAATGATAGTTCAACTCTGTCAGTTGAATACACACAACACAAGGAAGTTACTGAGAATTCTTTCTGTCTAGCATAATATGAAGAAATCCCCTTTCCAACGAAGGCCTCAAAGAGGTCTGAATATCCACCTGCAGACTTAACAAACAGAGTGTTTCCTAACTGCTCTATGAAAAGAAAGGTTAAACTCTGTGAGTTGAACGCACACAGCACAAAGGAGTTTCTGAGAATCATTCTGTCTAGTTTCCATAGGAAGATATTTCCTATTCTACCATTGACCTCAAAGCGGCTGAAATCTCCACTTGCAAATTCCACAAAAAGAGTGTTTCAAGTCTGCTCTGTGTAAAGGATCATTCAACTCTGTGAGTTGAATACACACAACACAAGGAAGTTTCTGAGAATTCTTCTGTCTAGCCTTACATGAAAAAAACCCGTTTCCAACGAAGGCCTCTAAGTGGTCACGTTATCCACGTGCAGACTTTACAAACAGAGTGTTTCCAAACTGCTGAATGAAAAGAAAAGTTAAACTCTGAGAGTTGAACGCACACATCGCAGAGCAGTTTCTGAGAATGATTCTGTCTAGTTTTTATACCAAGATAATTCCTTTTCTGCCTTTGGCCCCAAAGCGCTTGAAATCTCCACTTGCAAATTCCACAAAAACAGTTTTACAAATCTGCTCTCTCTAAATGAAAGTTCAACTCTGTCAGTTTAATACACACAACACAAGGAAGTTACTGAGAATTCTTCTGTCTAGCAGAATATGAAGAAATCCTGTTTCCAACGAAAGCCTCAAAGATGTCTCAATATCCACTTGCAGACTTTACAAACAGAGTGTTTCCTAACTGCTCTATGAAAAGAAAGGTTAAACTCTGTGAGTTGAACGCACACATCACAAAGGAGTTTCTGAGAATCATTCTGTCTAGTCTTTATATGAAGATAGTTTCCTTTTCTACCATTGACCTCAAAGCGGCTGAAATCTCCAGTTGCAAATTCCACAAAAAGAGTGTTTCAAGTCTGCTCTGTGTAAAGGATCGTTCAACTCTGTGAGTTGAATACACACAACACAAGGAAGTTACTGAGAATTCTTCTGTCTAGCAGAATATGAAGAAATCCCGTTTCCAACTGAAGGCCACAAGATGTCAGAATATCCACTTACAGACTTTACAAACAGAGTGTTTCCTAACTGCTCTATGAACAGAAAGGTTAAACTCTGTGAGTTGAACGAACACATCACAACGCAGTTTGTGGGAATGATTCTGTCTAGTTTTGAAACGAAGATATTTCCTTTTCTGCCGTTGACCTTAAAGAGCTTGAAAACTACACTTGCAAATTGCACAAATAGAGTGTTTCAAATCTGCTCTGTCTAAGGGAACGTTCAACTCTGTGAGTTGAATGCACACAACACAAGGAAGTTACGGGGAATTCTTCTGTCTAGCCTTACATGAAAAAATCCCGTTTCCAACGAAGGCCTCTAAGTGGTCAAAATTTCCACGTGCAGACTTTACAAACAGAGTGTTTCCAAACCGCTGAATGAAAAGAAAAGTTAAACTCTGAGAGTTGAACGCACACATCACGGAGCAGTTTCTGAGAATGATTCTGTCTAGTTTTTATACGAAGATATTTCCTTTTCTGCCTTTGGCCCCAAAGCGCTTGAAATCTCCACTTGCAAATTCCACAAAAACAGTGTTTCAAATCTGCTCTCTCTAAATGAAAGTTCAACTTTGTCAGTTGAATACACACAACACAAGGAAGTTAATGAGAATTCTTCTGTCTAGCACAGTATGAAGAAATCCCGTTTCCAACGAAGGCCTCAAAGAGGTGTGAATATCCACTTGTAGAGTTTACAAACAGAGTGTTTCCTAACTGCTCTATGAAAAGAAAGGTTAAACTCTGTGAGTTGAACGCACACATCACAAAGAAGTTTCTGAGAATCATTCTGTCTAGTTTTTATAGGAAGTTATTTCCTTTTCTACCTTTGACTTCAAAGTGGCTGAAATCTCCACTTGCAAATTCCACAAAAAGAGTGTTACAAGTCTGCTCTGTGTAAACGATCGTTCAACTCTGTGAGTTGAATACACACAACACAAGGAAGTTACTGAGAATTCTTCTGTCTAGCCTTACATGAAAAAAACCCGTTTCCAACGAAGGCCTCTAAGTGGTCAAGTTATCCACGTGCAGACTTTACAAACAGAGTGTTTCCAAACTGCTGAATGAAAAGAAAAGTTAAACTCTGAGAGTTGCACGCACACATCGCAGAGCAGTTTCTGAGAATGATTGTGTCTAGTTTTGAAACGAAGATATTTCCTTTTCTGCCGTTGACCTTAAAGCGCTTGAAATCTACACTTGCAAATTGCACAAATAGAGTGTTTCAAATCTGCTCTGTCTAAGGGAACGTTCAACTCTGTGAGTTGAATGCACACAACACAAGGAAGTTACTGGGAATTCTTCTGTCTAGCCTTACATGAAAAAAACCCGTTTCCAACGAAGGCCTCTAAGTGGTCAAATTATCCACGTGCAGACTTTAGAAACAGAGTGTTTCCAAACTGCTGAATGAAAAGAAAAGTTAAACTCTGAGAGTTGAACGCACACATCACAGAGCAGTTTTCTGAGAATGATTCTGTCTAGTTTTTATACGAAGATATTTCCTTTTCTGCCTTTGGCCCCAAAGCGCTTGAAATCTCCACTTGCAAATTCCACAAAAACAGTGTTTCAAATCTGCTCTCTCTAAATGAAAGTTCAACTCTTTGAGTTGAATACACACAACACAAGGAAGTTACTGAGAATTCTTCTGTCTAGCCTTAAATGAAAAAAACCCGTTTCCAACGAAGGGCTCAAAGAGGTCTGAATATCCACTTGCAGACTTTACAAACAGAGTGTTTCCTAACTGCTCTATGAAAAGAAAGGTTAAACTCTGTGAGTTGAACGCACACATCACAAAGAAGTTTCTGAGAATCATTCTGTCTAGTTTTTATACGAAGATATTTCCTTTTCTACTACTGACCACAAAGCGGCTGAGATCTCCATTTGCAAATTCCACAAAAAGAGTGTTTCAAGTCTGCTCTGTATAAAGGATCGTTGAACTCTTTGAGTTGAATACACACAACACAAGGAAGTTACTGAGAATTCTTCTGTCTAGCAGAATATGAAGAAATCCCGTTTCCAACGAAGGCCTCAAGGAGGTCTGAATATCCACTTGCAGACTTTACAAACAGAGTGTTTCCTAACTGCTCTATGAACAGAAAGGTTAAACTCTTTGAGTTGAACGCACACATCACAAAGGAGTTCATGAGAATCATTCTGTCAAGTTTTTATACGAAGATATTTCCTTTTCTACCATGGACCTCAAAGCGGCTGAAATCTCCACTTGCAAATTCCACAAAACGAGTGTTTCAAGTCTGCTCTGTGTAAAGGATCGTTCAACTCTGTGAGTTGAATACACACAACACAAAGAAGTTACTGAGAATTCTTCTGTCTAGTATTATATGAAGAAATCCCGGTTCCAGCGAAGGCCACAAAGAGGTCAGAATATCCACTTCCAGACTTTACAAACAGAGTGTTTCCTAACTGCTCTATGAAAAGAAAGGTTAAACTCTGTGAGTTGAACGCACCCATCACAACGCAGTTTGTGGGAATGATTCTGTCTAGTTTTGAAACGAAGATATTTCCTTTTCTGCAATTGCCCTTAAAGCGCTTGAAATCTCCACTTGCAAATTGCACAAAAAGAGTGTTTCCAATCTGCTCTGTCTAAAGGAACGTTCAACTCTGTGAGTTGAATGCACACAACACAAGGAAGATACTGGGAATTCTTCTGTCTAGCCTTATATGAAAAAAACCCGTTTCCAACGAAGGCCTCTAAGTGGTCAAATTATCCACGTGCAGACTTTACAAACAGAGTGTTTCCAAACTGCTGAATGAAAAGAAAAGTTAAACTCTGAGAGTTGAACGCACACATCGCAGAGCAGTTTCTGAGAATGATTCTGTCTAGTTTCTATAAGAAGATATTTCCTATTCTACCATTCACCTCAAAGCGGCTGAAATCTCCACTTGCAAATTCGACAAAAAGAGTGTTTCAAGCCTGCTCTCTGTAAAGGATCCTTCAACTCTGTGAGTTGAATACACACAACACAAGGAAGTTACTGAGAATTATTCTGTCTTGCATAATATGAAGAAATCCCGTTTCCAACGAAGGCCTCAAAGAGGTCTGAATATCCACTTGCAGACTTTACAAACAGAGTGTTTCCTAACTGCTCTATGAGAAGAAAAGTTAAACTCTGTGAGTTGAACGCACACATCACAAAAGATTTTCTGAGAATCATTCTGTCTAGTTTCTATAGGAAGATATTTCCTATTCTACCATTGACCTCAAAGCGGCTGAAATCTCCACTTGCAAATTCCACAAAAAGAGTGTTTCAACTCTGCTCTGTGTAAAGGATCGTTCAACTCTGTGAGTTGAATACACACAACACAAGGAAGTTACTGAGAATTCTTCTGTCTAGCATAATATGAAGAAATCCCGTATCCAACGAAGGCCTCAAGGAGGTCTGAATATCCACTTGCAGACTTTACAAACAGAGTGTTTCCTAACTGCTCTATGAAAAGAAAGGTTAAACTCTGTGAGTTGAACGCACACATCACAAAGGAGTTTCTGAGAATCATTCTGTCTAGTTTTTATACGAAGATATTTCCTTTTCTACCATTGACCTCAAAGCGGCTGAAATCTCCACTTGCAAATTACACAAAAAGAGTGTTTCAAGTCTACTCTGTGTAAAGCATCGTTCAACTCTGTGAGTTGAAAACACAAAACACAAGGAAGTTTCTGAGAATTCTTCTGTCTAGCAGAATATGAAGAAATCCCGTTTCCAACGAAGGCCACAAGATGTCAGAATATCCACTTACAGAATTTACAAACAGACTGTTTCCTAACTGCTCTATGAAAAGAAAGGTTAAACTCTGTGAGTTCAACGAACACATCACAACGCAGTTTGTGGGAATGATTCTGTCTAGTTTTTATACGAAGGTATTTCCTTTTATACCATTGACCTCAAAGCGGCTGAAATCACCACTTGCCAATTGCACAAAAAGAGTGTTTCAAATCTGCTCTTTCTAAGGGAACGTTCAACTCTGTGAGTTGAATGTACACAACACAAGGAAGTTACTGGGAATTCTTCTGTCTAGCCTTACATGAAAAAAACCCGTTTCCAACGAAGGCCTCTAAGTGGTCAAAATATCCACGTGCAGACTTTACAAACAGAGTGTTTCCAAACCGCTGAATGAAAAGAAAAGTTAAACTTTGAGAGTTGAACGCACGCGTCACGCAGCAGTTTCTGAGAATGATTCTGTCTAGTTTTTATACGAAGATATTTCCTTTTCTGCCTTTGGCCGCAAAGCGCTTGAAATCTCCACTTGCAAATTCCACAAAAACAGTGTTACAAATCTGCCCTCTCTAAATGAAAGTTCAACTCTGTCAGTTGAATACACACAACACAAGGAAGTTACTGAGAATTCTTCTGTCTAGCAGAATATGAAGAAATCCCGTTTCCAACGAAGGCCTCAAAGAAGTCTGAATATCCACTTGCAGACTTTAGAAACAGAGTGTTTCCCAACTGCTCTATTAAAAGAAAGGTTGAACTCTGTGAGTTGAACGCACACATCACAAAGGAGTTTCTGAGAATCATTCTGTCAAGTTTCTATACGAAGATATTTCCTTTTCTACCATTGACCTCAACGCGGCTGAAATCTCCACTTGCAAATTCCACAAAAAGAGTGTTTCAAGTCCGCTCTGTGTAAAGGGTCGTTCAACTCTGTGAGTTGAATACACACAACACAAGGAAGTTACTGAGAATTCTTCTGTCTAGCAGAGTATGAAGAAATCCCGTTTCCAACGAAAGCCTCAATGAGGTCTGAATATCCACTTGCAGAGTTTACAAACAGAGTGTTTCCTAACTGCTCTATGAAAAGAAAGGTTAAACTCTGTGAGTTGAACACACACATCACAAAGAAGATTCTGAGAATCATTTTGTCTAGTTTTTATACGAAGATATTTCCTTTTCTGCCTTTGGCCTCAAAGCGCTTGAAATCTCCAATTGCAAATTCCACAAAAAGAGTGTTTCAAATCTGCTCTTTGTAAATGAAAGTTCAACTCTGTGAGTTGAACACACACAACACAAGGAAGTTACTGGGAATCCTTCTGTCTAGCAGAATATGAAGAAATCCCGTTTCCAACGAAGGAGTCAAGGAGGTCTGAATATCCACTTGCAGACTTTACAAACAGAGTGTTTCCTAACTGCTCTATGAAAAGAAAAGTTAAACTCTGTGAGTTGAACGCACACATCACAAAGGAGTTTATGAGAATCATTCTGTCTAGTTTTTATACGAAGATATTTCCTTTTCTACCATTGACCTCAAAGCGGATGAAATCTACACTTGCAAATTCCACAAAAAGAGTGTTTCAAGTCTGCTCTGTGTAAAGGTTCGTTCAACTCTGTGAGTTGAATACACACAACACAAGGAAGTTACTGAGAATTCTTCTGTCTAGCATATTATGAAGAAATCCCGTTTCCAACGAAGGCCTCAAAGAGGTCTGAATATCCACTTGCAGACTTTACAAACAGAGTGTTTCCTAACTGCTCTATGAAAAGAAAGGTTAAACTCTGTGAGTTGAACGCACACATCACAAAGGAGTTTCTGAGAATCATTCTGTCTAGTTTTTATACCGAAGATATTTCCTTTTCTGCCTTTGGCCTCAAAGCGCTTGAAATCTCCACTTGCAAATTCCACAAAAAGAGTGTTTCAAATCTGCTCTGTGTAAATGAAAGTTCAACTCTGTGAGTTGAACACACACAACACAAGGAAGTTACTGGGAATTCTTCTGTCTAGCATAATATGAAGAAATCCCGTTTCCAACGAAGGCCTCAAAGGGGTCTGAATATCCACTTGCAGACTTTACAAACAGAGTGTTTCCTAACTGCTCTATGAAAAGAAAAGTTAAACTCTGTGAGTTGAACGCACACATCACAAAGGATTTTATGATAATCATTCTGTCTAGTTTTTATAGGAAGATATTTCCTTTTCTACCTTTGACTTCAAAGCGGCTGAAATCTCCACTTGGAAATTCCAGAAAAAGAGTGTTACAAGTCTGCTCTGTGTAAAGGATCGTTCAACTCTGTGAGTTGAATACACACAACACAAGGAAGTTACTGAGAATTCTTCTGTCTAGCAGAATATGAAGAAATCCCGTTTCCAACGAAGGCCTCAAGGAGGTCTCAAAATCCACTTGCAGACTTTACAAACAGAGTGTTTCCTAACTGCTCTATGAACAGAAAGGTTAAACTCTGTGAGTTGAACGAACACATCACAACGCAGTTTGTGGGAATGATTCTGTCTAGTTTTGAAACGAAGATATTTCCTTTTCTGCCATTGACCTTAAAGCGCTTGAAATCTACACTTGCAAATTGCACAAATAGAGTGTTTCAAATCTGCTCAGTCTAAGGGAACGTTCAACTCTGTGAGTTGAATGCACACAACACAAGGAAGTTACTGGGAATTCTTCTGTCTAGCCTTACAGGAAAGAAAACCGTTTCCAACGAAGGCCTCTAAGTGGTCAAAATATCCACGTGCAGACTTTACAAACAGAGTGTTTCCAAACTGCTGAATGAAAAGAAAAGTTAAACTCTGAGAGTTGAACGCACACATCGCAGAGCAGTTTCTGAGAATGATTCTGTCTAGTTTTTATACGAAGATATTTCCTTTTCTGCCTTTGGCCTCAAAGCGCTTGAAATCTCCATTTGCAAATTCCACAAAAAGAGTGTTTCAAATCTGCTCTGTGTACATGAAAGTTCAACTCTGTGAATTGAACACACACAACACAAGGAAGTTACTGGGAATTCTTCTGTCTAGCAGAATATGAAGAAATCCCGTTTCCAACGAAAGCCTCAAGGATGTCTGAATATCCACTTGCAGACTTTACAAACAGAGTGTTTCCTAACTGCTCTATGAAAAGAAAGGTTAAACTCTGTGAGTTGAACGCACACATCACAAAGGAGTTTCTGAGAATCATTCTGTCTAGTTTCTATAGGAAGATATTTCCTATTCTACCATTGACCTCAAAGCGGCTGAAATCTCCACTTGCAAATTCCACAAAAAGACTGTTTCAAGTCTGCTCTGTGTAAAGGATCGTTCAACTCTGTGAGTTGAATACACACAACACAAGGAAGTTACTGAGAATTCTTCTGTCTAGCCTTATATGAAAAAATCCCGTTTCCAACGAAGGCCTCAAAGAGGTCTGAATATCCACTTGCAGACTTTACAAACAGAGTGTTTCCTAACTGCTCTATGAAAAGAAAGGTTAAACTCTGTGAGTTGAACGCACACATCACAAAGGAGTTTCTCAGAATCATTCTGTCTAGTTTTTATACGAAGATATTTCCTTTTCTACCATTGACCTCAAAGCGGCTGAAATCTCCACTTGCAAATTCCACAAAAAGAGTGTTTCAAGTCTGCTCTGTTTAAAGGATCGTTCAACTCTGTGAGTTGAATACACAAAACACAAGGGAAGTTTCTGAGAATTCTTCTGTCAGCAATAATATGAAGAAATCCCGTTTGCAACGAAGGCCTCAAAGAGGTTTGAATATCCACTTGCAGAGTTTACAAACAGAGTGTTTCCTAACTACTCTATGAAAAGAAAGGTTAAACCCTGTGAGTTGAACGCACACATCCTAAAGGAGTTTCTGAGAATCATTCTGTCTAGTTTTTATACGAAGATATTTCCTTTTCTACCATTGACCTCAAAGCGGCTGAAATCACCACTTGCCAATTGCACAAAAAGAGTGTTTCAAATCTGCTCTGTCTAAGGGAACGTTCAACTCTGTGAGTTGAATGTACACAACACAAGGAAGTTACTGGGAATTCTTCTGTCTAGCCTTACATGAAAAAAACCCGTTTCCAACGAAGGCCTCTAAGTGTTCAAATTATCCACGTGCAGACTTTACAAACAGAGTGTTTCCAAACTGCTGAATGAAAAGCAAAGTTAAACTCTGAGAGTTGAACGCACACATCGCAGAGCAGTTTCTGAGAATGATTCTGTCCAGTTTTTATACGAAGATATTTCTTTTTCTGCCTTTGGCCTCAAAGCGCTTGAAATCTCCATTTGCAATTTCCACAAAAAGAGTGTTTCAAATCTGCTCTGTGTAAATGAAATTTCAACTCTGTGAGTTGAACACACACAACACAAGGAAGTTACTGAGAATTCTTCTGACTAGCCTTATATGGAAAAAACCCGTTTCCAACGAAGGCCTCAAAGAGGTCTGAATATCCACTTGCAGACTTTACAAACAGAGTGTTTCCTAACTGCTCTATGAAAAGAAAGGTTAAACTCTGTGAGTTGAACGCACACATCACAAAGGAGTTTCTGAGAATCATTCTGTCTAGTCTTTATACGAAGATATTTCCTTTTCTTCCATTGACCTCAAAGCGGCTGAAATCTCCACTTGCAAATTCCACAAAAAGAGTGTTTAAAGTCTGCTCTCTGTAAAGGATCGTTCAACTCTGTGAGTTGAATACACACAACACAAGGAAGTTACTGAGAATTCTTCTGTCTAGCCTTACAGGAAAAAAACCCGTTTCCAACGAAGGCCTCTAAGTGGTCAAATTATCCACGTGCAGACTTTACAAACAGAGTGTTTCCAAACTGCTGAATGAAAAGCAAAGTTAAACTCTGAGAGTTGAACGCACACATCGCAGAGCAGTTTCTGAGAATGATTCTGTCTAGTTTTTATACGAAGATATTTCGTTTTCTGCCTTTGGCCACAAAGCGCTTGAAATCTCCACTTGCAAATTCCACAAAAACAGTGTTTCAAATCTGCTCTCTCTAAATGAAAGTTCAACTCTGTCAGTTGAATACACACAACACAAGGGAAGTTACTGAGAATTCTTCTGTCTAACAGAATATGAAGAAATCCCGTTTCCAACGAAGGCCTCAAAGAGGTCTGAATATCCACTTGCAGACTTTACAAACAGAGTGTTTCCTAACTGCTCTATGAAAAGAAAGGTTAAACTCTGTGACTTGAACGCACACATCACAAAGGAGTTTCTGAGAATCATTCTGTCTAGTTTTTCTACGAAGATATTTCCTTTTCTACTATTGACCTCAAAGCTGCTGAAATCTCCACTTGCAAATTCCACAAAAAGAGTGTTTCAAGTCTGCTCTGTGTAAAGGATCGTTCAACTCTGTGAGTTGAATACACACAACACAAGGAAGTGACTGAGAATTCTTCTGTCTAGCATAGTATGGAGAAATCCCGTTTCCAACGAAGGCCTCAAAGAGGTCTGAATATCCACTTGCAGACTTTACAAACAGAGTGTTTCCTAACTGCTCTATGAAAAGAAAGGTTAATCTCTGTGAGTTGAACACACACATCACAAAGGAGTTTCTGAGAATCATTCTGTCTAGTTTTTATACGAAGATATTTCCTTTTCTGCCTTTGGCCTCAAAGCGCTTGAAATCTCCATTTGCAAATTCCACAAAAAGAGTGTTTCAAATCTGCTCTGTGTAAATGAAAGTTCAACTCTGTGAGTCGAACACACACAACACAAGGAAGTTACTGGGAATTCTTCTGTCTAGCAGAATATGAAGAAATCCCGTTTCCAACGAAGGCCTCAAGGAGGTCTGAATATCCACTTCCAGACTTTACAAACAGAGTGTTTCCTAACTGCTCTATGAAAAGAAAAGTTAAACTCTGTGAGTTGCACGCACACATCACAAAGGAGTTTCTGAGAATCATTCTGTCTAGTTTTTATAGGAAGATATTTCCTTTTCTACCTTTGACTTCAAAGAGGCTGAAATCTCCACTTGCAAATTCCACAAAAAGAGTGTTACAAGTCTGCTCTGTGTAAAGAATCGTTCAACTCTGTGAGTTGAATACACACAACACAAGGAAGTTACTGAGAATTCTTCTGTCTAGCATAGTATGAAGAAATCCCTTTTACAACGAAGGCCTCAAAGAGGTCTGAATATCCACTTGCAGAGTTTACAAACAGAGTGTTTCCTAACTGCTCTATGAAAAGAAAGGTTAAACTCTGTGAGTTGAACGCACACATCACAAAGAAGTTTCTGAGAATCATTCTGTCTAGTTTTTATACGAAGATATTTCCTTTTCTACCATTGACTTCAAAGCGGCTGAAATCTCCACTTGCAAATTCCACAAAAAGAGTGTTTCAAGCCTGCTCTGTGTAAAGGATCGTTCAACTCTTTGAGTTGAATACACACAACACAAGGAAGATTCTGAGAATTCTTCTTTCTAGCAGAATATGAAGAAATCCCGTTTCCAACGAAGGCCACAAGATGTCAGAATATCCACTTACAGAATTGACAAACAGACTGTTTCCTAACTGGTCTATGAAAAGAAAGGTTAAACTCTGTGAGTTGAACGAACACATCACAACGCAGTTTGTGGGAATGATTCTGTCTAGTTTTTATACGAAGATATTTCCTTTTCTACCATTGACCTCAAAGCGGCTGAAATCACCACTTGCCAATTCCACAAAAAGAGTGTTTCAAATCTGCTCTGTCTAAGGGAACGTTCAACTCTGTGAGTTGAATGTACACAACACAAGGAAGTTACTGGGAATTCTTCTGTCTAGCCTTACATGAACAAAACCCGTTTCCAACGACGGCCTCTAAGTGGTCAAGTTATCCACGTGCAGACTTTACAAACAGAGTGTTTCCAAACTGCTGAATGAAAAGAAAAGTTAAACTCTGAGAGTTGAACGCACACATCGCAGAGCAGTTTCTGAGAATGATTCTGTCTAGTTTTTATACAAAGATATTTCCTTTTCTGCCTTTGGCCTCAAAGCGCTTGAAATCTCCATTTGCAAATTCCACAAAAAGAGTGTTTCAAATCTGCTCTGTGTAAATGAAAGTTCAACTCTGTGAGTCGAACACACACAACACAAGGAAGTTACTGGGAATTCTTCTGTCTAGCAGAATATGAGGAATTCCCGTTTCCAACGAAGGCCTCAAGGAGGTCTGAATATCCACATGCAGACTTTACAAACACAGTGTTTCCTAACTGCTCTATGAAAAGAAAGGTTAAACTCTGTGCGTTGAACGCACACATCACAAAGGAGTTTATGAGAATCATTCTGTCTAGTTTTTATAGGAAGATATTTCCTTTTCTACCTTTGACGTCAAAGCGGCTGAAATCTCCACTTGCAAATTCCACAAAAAGAGTGTTACAAGTCTGCTCTGTGTAAAGGATCGTTCAACTCTATGAGTTGAATACACACAACACAAGGAAGTTACTGAGAATTCTTCTGTCTAGCATAGTATGAAGAAATCCCGTTTCCAACGAAGGCCTCAAAGAGGTCTGAATATCCACTTGCAGAGTTTACAAACAGAGTGTTCCCTAACTGCTCTATGAAAAGAAAGGTTAAACTCTGTGAGTTGAACGCACACATCACAAAGAAGTTTCTGAGAATCATTCTGTCTAGTTTTTATACGAAGATATTTCCTTTTCTACCATTGACCTCAAAGCGGCTGAAATCTCCACTTGCCAATTCCACAAAAAGAGTGTTTCAAGTCTACTCTGTGTAAAGGTTCGTTCAACTCTGTGAGTTGAAAACACACAACAAAAGGAAATTTCTGAGAATTCTTCTGTCTAGCAGAATATGAAGAAATCCCGTTTCCAACGAAAGCCTCAAAGATGTCTGAATATCCACTTGCAGACTTTACAAACAGAGAGTTTCCTAATTGCTCTATGAAAAGAAAGGTTAAACTCTGTGAGTTGAACGCACACAGCACAAAGGAGTTTCTGAGAATCATTCTGTCTAGTTTTTATAGGAAGATATTTCCTTTTCTACCTTTGACTTCAAAGCGGCTGAAATCTCCACTTGCAAATTCCACAAAAAGAGTGTTACAAGTCTGCTCTGTGTAAAGGATCGTTCAACTCTGTGAGTTGAATACACACAAAACAAGGAAGTTATTGAGAATTCTTCTGTCTAGCAGAATATGAAGAAATCCCGTTTCCAACGAAGGCCTCAAGGAGGTCTGAATATCCACTTGCAGACTTTACAAACAGAGTGTTTCCTAACTGCTCTATGAACAGAAAGGTAAAACTCTGTGAGTTTAACGCACACATCACAAAGGAGTTTCTGAGAATCATTCTGTCTAGTCTTTGTACGAAGATATTTCCTTTTCTACCATTGACCTCAAAGCGGCTGAAATCTCCACTTGCAAATTCCACAAAAAGAGTGTTTAAAGTCTGCTCTCTGTAAAGGATCGTTCAACTCTGTGAGTTGAATACACAGAACACAAGGAAGTTACTGAGAATTATCTGTCTAGCAGAATATGAAGAAATCCCGTTTCCAACGAAGGCCACAAGATGTCAGAATATCCACTTACAGAATTTACAAACATAGTGTTTCCTAACTGCTCTATGAAAAGAAAGGTTAAACTCTGTGAGATGAACGAACACATCACAACGCAGTTTGTGGGAATGATCTCTGTCTAGTTTTGAAACGAAGATATTTCCTTTTCTGCCATTGACCTTAAAGCGCTTGAAATCTACACTTGCAAATTGCACAAATAGAGTGTTTCACATCTGCTCTGTCTAAGGGAACGTTCAACTCTGTGAGTTGAATGCACACAACACAAGGAAGTTACTGGGAATTCTTCTGTATAGCCTTACATGAAAAAAAACCCGTTTCCAACGAAGGCCTCTAAGTGGTCAAAATATCCACGTGCAGACTTTACAAACAGAGTGTTTCCAAACCGCTGAATGAAAAGAAAAGTTAAACTCTGAGAGTTGAACGCACACATCACGCAGCAGTTTCTGAGAATGATTCTGTCCAGTTTTTATACGAAGATATTTCCTTTTCTGCCCTTGGCCCCAAAGCGCTTGAAATCTCCACTTGCAAATTCCACAAAAACAGTGTTTCAAATCTGCTCTCTCTAAATGAAAGTTCAACTCTGTCAGTTGAATACACACAACACAAGGAAGTTACTGAGAATTCTTCTGTCTAGCATAATATGAAGAAATCCCGTTTCCAACGAAGACCTCTAAGAGGTCTGAATATCCACTTGCAGACTTTACAAACAGAGTGTTTCCTAACTGCTCTATGAGAAGAAAAGTTAAACTCTGTGAGTTGAACGCACACATCACAAAAGATTTTCTGAGAATCATTCTGTCTAGTCTTTATTCGAAGATATTTCCTTTTCTACCATTGACCTCAAAGCGGCTGAAATCTCCACTTGCAAATTCCACAAAAAGAGTGTTTCAAGTCTGCTCTGTGTAAAGGATCGTTCAACTCTGTGAGTTGAATACACACAACACAAGGAAGTTACTGAGAATTCTTCTGTCTAGCAGAATATGAAGAAATCCCGTTTCCAACGAAGGCCGCAAGATGTCAGAATATCCACTTACAGACTTTAGAAACAGAGTGTTTCCTTACTGCTCTATGAACAGAAAGGTTAAACTCTGTGAGTTGAACGAACACATCACAACGCAGTTTGTGGGAATGATTCTGTCTAGGTTTGAAACGAAGATATTTCCTTTTCTGCCGTTGACCTTAAAGCGCTTGAAATCTACACTTGTAAATTGCACAAATAGAGTGTTTCAAATCTGCTCTGTCTAAGGGAACGTTCAACTCTGTGAGTTGAATGCACACAACACAAGGAAGTTACTGGGAATTTCTTCTGTCTATCCTTACATGAAAAAAACCCGTTTCCAACGAAGGCCTCTAAGTGGTCAAAATATCCACGTGCAGACTTTACAAACAGAGTGTTTCCAAACCGCTGAATGAAAAGAAAGGTTAAACTCTGAGAGTTGAACGCACACATCACGCAGCAGTTTCTGAGAATGATTCTGTCTAGTTTTTATACGAAGATATTTCCTTTTCTGCCTTTGGCCCCAAAGCGCTTGAAATCTCCACTTGTAAATTCCACAAAAACAGTGTTTCAAATCTGCTCTCTCTAAATGAAAGTTCAACTCTGTCAGTTGAATACACACAACACAAGGAAGTTACTGAGAATTCTTCTGTCTAGCATACTATGAAGAAATCCCGTTTCCAACGAAGGCCTCAAAGAGGTCTATATATCCACTTGCAGAGTTTACAAACAGAGTGTTTCCTAACTGCTCTATGAAAAGAAAGGTTAAACTCTGTGAGTTGAACGCACACATCACAAAGAAGTTTCTGAGAATCATTCTGTCTAGTTTTTATACGAAGATATTTCCTTTTCTACCATTGACCTCAAAGCGGCTGAAATCTCCACTTGCAAATTCCACAAAAAGAGTGTTTCAAGTCTGCTCTGTGCAAAGGATCGTTCAACTCAGTGAGATGCATACACACAACACAAGGAAGTTACTGAGAATTCTTCTGTCTAGCATAATATGAAGAAATCCCGTTTCCAACGAAGGCCTCAAGGAGGTCTGAATATCCACTTGCAGACTTTACAATCAGAGTGTTTCCTAACTGCTCTATGAAAAGAAAGGTTAAACTCTGTGAGTTGAACGCACACATCACAAAGGAGTTTCTTAGAATCATTCTGTCTAGTTTCTATAGGAAGATATTTCCTATTCTACCATTGACCTCAAAGCGGCTGAAATCTCCACTTGCAAATTCCACAAAAAGAGTGTTTCAAGTCTGCTCTCTGTAATGGATCGTTCAAATCTGTGAGTTGAATACACACAACACAAGGAAGTTACTGAGAATTATTCTTTCTAGCAGAATATAAAGAAATCCCGTTTCCAACGAAAGCCTCAAGGATGTCTGAATATCCACTTGCAGACTTTACAAACAGAGTGTTTCCTAACTGCTCTATGAAAAGAAAGGTTAAACTCTGTGAGTTGAACGCACACATCACAAAGGAGTTTCTGAGAATCATTCTGTCTAGTTTTTATATGAAGATATTTCCTATTCTACCATTGACCTCAAAGCGGCTGATATCTCCACTTGCAAATTCCACAAAAAGAGTGTTTCAAGTCTGCTCTGTGTAAAGGATCGTTCAACTCTGTGAGTTGAATACACACAACACAAGGAAGTTACTGAGAATTCTTCTGTCTAGCAGAATATGAAGAAATCCCGTTTCCAACGAAGGCCTCAAGGAGGTCTGAATATCCACTTGCAGACTTTACAAACAGAGTGTTTCCTAACTGCTCTATGAACAGAAAGGTTAAACTCTGTGAGTTGAACGAACACATCACAGCGCAGTTTGTGGGAATGATTCTGTCTAGTTTTGAAAAGAAGATATTTCTTTTTCTGCCGTTGACCTTAAAGCGCTTGAAATCTACACTTGCAAATTGCACAAATAGAGTGTTTCAAATCTGCTCTGTCTAAGGGAACGTTCAACTCTGTGAGTTGAATGCACACAACCCAAGGAAGTTACTGGGAATTCTTCTGTCTAGCCTTACATGAAAAAAACCCGTTTCCAACGAAGGCCTCTAAGTGGTCAAATTTTCCACGTGCAGACTTTACAAACAGAGTGTTTCCAAACCGCTGAATGAAAAGAAAAGTTAAACTCTGAGAGTTGAACGCACACATCACGCAGCAGTTTCTGAGAATGATTCTGTCTAGTTTTTATACGAAGATATTTCCTTTTCTGCCTTTGGCCCCAAAGCGCTTGAAATCTCCACTTGCAAATTCCACAAAAACAGAGTTTCAAATCTGCTCTCTCTAAATGAAAGTTCAACTCTGTCAGTTGAATACACACAACACAAGGAAGTTACTGAGAATTCTTCTGTCTAGCATAATATGGACAAATCCCGTTTCCAAAGAAGGCCTCAGGGAGGTCTGAATATCCACTTGCAGACTTTACAAACAGAGTGTTTCCTAACTGCTCTATGAAAAGAAAGGTTAAACTCTGTGAGTTGAACGCACACATCACAAAGGAGTTTCTGAGAATCATTCTGTCTAGTTTTTATACGAAGATATTTCCTTTTCTACCATGGACCTCAAAGCGGCTGAAATCTCCACTTGCAAATTCCACAAAAAGAGTGTTTCAAGTCCGCTCTGTGTAAAGGATCGTTCAACTCTGTGAGTTGAATACACACAACACAAGGAAGATTCTGAGAATTCTTCTGTCTAGCAGAATATGAAGAAATCCCGTTTCCAACGAAGGCCACAAGAGGTCAGAATATCCACTTACAGACTTTACAAACAGACTGTTTCCTAACTGCTCTATGAAAAGAAAAGTTAAACTCTGTGAGTTGGACGAACACATCACAACGCAGTTTGTGGGAAGGATTCTGTCTAGTTTTGAAACGAAGATATTTCCTTTTCTGCCATTGACCTTAAAGCGCTTGAAATCTACACTTGCAAATTCCACAAATAGAGTGTTTCAAATCTGCTCTGTCTAAGGGAACGTTCAACTCTGTGAGTTGAATGCACACAACACAAGGAAGTTACTGTGAATTCTTCTGTCTAGCCTTACATGAAAAAAACCCGTTTCCAACGAAGGCCTCTAAGTGGTCAAAATAACCACGTGCAGACATTACAAACAGAGTGTTTCCAAACCGCTGAATGAAAAGAAAAGTTAAACTCTGAGAGTTGGACGCACACATCACGCAGGAGTTTCTGAGAATGATTCTGTCTAGTTTTTATACGAAGATATTTCCTTTTCTGCCTTTGGCCCCAAAGCGCTTGAAATCTCCACTTGCAAATTCCACAAAAACAGTGTTTCAAATCTGCTCTCCCTAAATGAAAGTTCAACTCTGTCAGTTGAATACACACAACACAAGGAAGTTACTGAGAATTCTTCTGTCTAGCCTTATATGAAAAAAACCCGTTTCCAACGAAGGCCTCAAAGAGGTCTGAATATCCACTTGCAGACTTTACAAACAGAGTGTTTCCTAACTGCTCTATGAAAAGAAAGGTTAAACTCTGTGAGTTGAACGCACACATCACAAAGGAGTTTCTGGGAATCAGTCTGTCTAGTCTTTATATGAAGATAGTCTCCTTTTCTACCATTGACCTCAAAGCGGATGAAATCTCCACTTGCAAATTCCACAAAAAGAGTGTTTCAAGTCTGCTCTGTGTAAAGGATCATTCAACTCTGTGAGTTGAATACACACAACACAAGGAAGTTACTGAGAATTCTTCTGTCTAGCCTTACAGGAAAAAAACCCGTTTCCAACGAAGGCCTCTAAGTGGTCAAAATATCCACGTGCAGACTTTACAAACAGAGTGTTTCCAAACAGCTGAATGAAAAGAAAAGTTAAACTCTGAGAGTTGAACGCACACATCGCAGAGCAGTTTCTGAGAATGATTCTGTCTAGTCTTTATACGAAGATATTTCCTTTTCTACCATTGACCTCAAAGCGGCTGAAATCTCCACTTGCAAATTCCACAAAAAGAGTGTTTCAAGTCTGCTCTCTGTAAAGGATCGTTCAACTCTGTGAGTTGAATACACAGAACAAAAGGAAGTTACTGAGAATTATTCTGTCTAGCATAATATGAAGAAATCCCGTTTCCAACGAAGGCCTCAAGAGGTCTGAATATCCACTTGCAGACTTTACAAACAGAGTGTTTCCAAACAGCTGAATGAAAAGAAAAGTTAAACTCTGAGAGTTGAACGCACACATCACGCAGCAGTTTCTGAGAATGATTCTGTCTAGTTTTGAAACGAAGATATTTCCTTTTCTGCTGTTGACCATAAAGCGCTTGAAATCTACACTTGCAAATTGCACAAATAGAGTGTTTCAAATCTGCTCTGTCTAAGGGAACGTTCAACTCTGTGTGTTGAATGCACACAACACAAGGAAGTTACTGGGAATTCTTCTGTCTAGCCTTACATGAAAAAAACCCGTTTCCAACGAAGGCCTCTAAGTGGTCAAGTTATCCACGTGCAGACTTTACAAACAGAGTGTTTCCAAACTGCTGAATGAAAAGGAAATTTAAACTCTGAGAGTTGAACGCACACATCGCAGAGCAGTTTCTGAGAATGATTCTGTCTAGTTTTTATACGAAGATATTTCCTTTTCTGCCTTTGGCCCCAAAGCGCTTGAAATCTCCACTTGCAAATTCCTCAAAAACAGTGTTTCAAATCTGCTCTCTCTAAATGAAAGTTCAACTCTGTCAGTTGAATACACGCCACACAAGGAAGTTACTGAGAATTCTTCTTTCTAGCAGAATATGAAGAAATCCCGTTTCCAACGAAGGCCTCAAAGAGGTCTGAATATCCACTTGCAGACTTTACAAACAGAGTGTTTCCTAACTGCTCTATGAAAAGAAAGGTTAAACTCTGTGAGTTGAACGCACACATCACAAAGGAGTTTCTGAGAATCGTTCTGTCTAGTCTTTATACGAAGATATTTCCTTTTCTACCATTGACCTCAAAGCGGCTGAAATCTCCACTTGCAAACTCCACAAAAAGAGTGTTTCAAGTCTGCTCTGTGTAAAGGATCGTTCAACTCTGTGAGTTGAATACACACAACACAAGGAAGTTACTGAGAATTCTTCTGTCTAGCAGAATATGAAGAAATCCCGTTTCCAACGAAGGCCACAAGATGTCTGAATATCCACTTACAGACTTTACAAACAGAGTGTTTCCTAACTGCTCTATGAACAGAAAGGTTAAACTCTGTGAGTTGAACGAACACATCACAACGCAGTTTCTGGGAATGATTCTGTCTAGTTTTGAAACCAAGATATTTCCTTTTCTGCCGTTGACCTTAAAGAGCTTGAAAACTACACTTGCAAATTGCACAAATAGAGTGTTTCAAATCTGCTCTGTCTAAGGGAACGTTCAACTCTGTGAGTTGAATGCACACAACACAAGGAAGTTACTGGGAATTCTTCTGTCTAGCCTTACATGAAAAAAACCCGTTTCCAACGAAGGCCTCTAAGTGGTCACAATTTCCACGTGCAGACTTTACAAACAGAGTGTTTCCAAACCGCTGAATGAAAAGAAAAGTTAAACTCTGAGAGTTGAACGCAAACATCACGCAGCAGTTTCTGAGAATGATTCTGTCTAGTTTTTATACGAAGGTATTTCCTTTTCTGCCTTTGGCCCCAAAGCGCTTGAAATCTCCACTTGCAAATTCCACAAAAACAGTGTTTCAAATCTGCTCTCTCTAAATGAAAGTTCAACTCTGTCAGTTGAATACACACAACACAAGGAAGTTACTGAGAATTCCTCTGTCTAGCAGAATATGAAGAAATCCCGTTTCCAACGAAGGCCTCAAAGAGGTCTGAATATCCACTTGCAGACTTTACAAACAGAGTGTTTCCTAACTGCTCTATGAAAAGAAAGGTTAAACGCTGTGAGTTGAACGCACACATCAAAAAGCAGTTTCTGAGAATCATTCTGTATAGTTTTTCTTCGAAGATATTTCCTATTCTACCATTGACCTCAAAGCGGCTGAAATCTCCACTTGCAAATTCCACAAAAAGAGTGTTTCAAGTCTGCTCTCTGTAAAGGATCATTCAACTCTGTGAGTTGAATACACACAACACAAGGAAGTTACTGAGAATTCTTCTGTCTAGCAGAATATGAAGAAATCCCGTTTCCAACGAAGGTCTCAAAGAGGTCTGAATATCCACTTGCAGACTTTACAAACAGAGTGTTTCCTAACTGCTGTATGAAAAGAAAGGTTAAACTCTGTGAGTTGAACGCACACATCACAAAGGAGTTTCTGAGAATCGTTCTGTCTAGTTTCTATAGGAAGATATTTCCTATTCTACCATTGACCTCAAAGCGGCTGAAATCTCCACTTGCAAATTCCACAAAAAGAGTGTTTCAAGACTGTTCTGTGTAAAGGATCATTCAAGTCTCTGAGTTGAATACACACAACACAAGGAAGTTACTGAGAATTCTTCTGTCTAGCAGAATATGAAGAAATCCCGTTTCCAACGAAGGCCTCAAAGAGGTCTGAATATCCACTTGCAGACTTTACAAACAGAGTGTTTCCTAACGGCTCTATGAAAAGAAAAGTTAAACTCTGTGAGTTGAACGCACACATCACAAAGGAGTTTCTGAGAATCATTCTGTCTAGTTTTGAAACGAAGATATTTCCTTTTCTGCCATTGACCTTAAATTGCTTGAAATCTCCACTTGCCAATTGCACAAAAAGAGTGTTTCAAATCTGCTCTTTCTAAGGGAACGTTCAACTCTGTGAGTTGAATGTACACAACACAAGGAAGTTACTGGGAATTCTTCTGTCTAGCCTTACATGAAAAAAACCCGTTTCCAACGAAGACCTCTAAGTGGTCAAATTATCCACGTGCAGACTTTACAAACAGAGTGTTTCCAAACTACTGAATGAAAAGATAAGTTAAACTCTGAGAGTTGAACGCACACATCGCAGAGCAGTTTCTGAGAATGATTCTGTCTAGTCTTTAGAGGAAGATATTTCCTTTTCTACCATTGACCTCAAAGCGGCTGAAATCTCCACTTGCAAATTCCACAAAAAGAGTGTTTCAAGTCTGCTCTCTGTAAAGGATCGTTCAACTCTGTGAGTTGAATACACACAACACAAGGAAGTTACTGAGAATTCTTCTGTCTAGCAGAATATGAAGAAATCCCGTTTCCAACGAAGGCGTCAAAGAGGTCTGAATATCCACTTGCAGACTTTACAAACAGAGTGTTTCCTAACTGCTCTATGAAAAGAAAAGTTAAACTCTGTGAGTTGAACGCACACATAACAAAGGAGTTTCTGAGAATCATTCTGTCTAGTTTTTATACGAAGATATTTCCTTTTCTACCATTGACCTCAACGCGGCTGAAATCTCCACTTGCAAATTCCACAAAAAGAGTGTTTCAAGTCTGCTCTGTGTAAAGGATCGTTCAACTCTGTGAGTTGAATACACACAACACAAGGGAAGTTACTGAGAATTCTTCTGTCTAGCAGAATATGAAGAAATCCCGTTTCCAACGAAGGCCACAAGATGTCAGAATATCCACTTACAGACTTTCCAAACAGAGTGTTTCCTAACTGCTCTATGAACAGAAAGGTTAAACTCTGTGAGTTGAACGAACACATCACATCGCAGTTTGTGGGAATGATTCTGTCTAGTTTTTATACGAAGATATTTCCTTTTCTACCATTGACCTCAAAGAGGCTGAAATCACCACTTGCCAATTGCACAAAAAGAGTGTTTCAAATCTGCTCTGTCTAAGGGAACGTTCAACTCTGTGAGTTGAATGTACACAACACAAGGAAGTTACTGGGAATTCTTCTGTCTACCCTTACATGAAAAAAACCCGTTTCCAACGAAGGCCTCTAAGTGGTCAAAATATCCACGTGCAGACTTTACAAACAGAGTGTTTCCAAACTGCTGAATGAAAAGAAAAGTTAAACTCTGAGAGTTGAACGCACACTTCACAGAGCATTTTCTGAGAATGATTCTGTCTAGTTTTGAAACGGAGATATTTCCTTTTCTGCCTTTGGCCTCAAAGCGCTTGAAATCTCCACTTGCAAATTCCACAAAAAGAGTGTTTCAAATCTGCTCTGTGTAAATGAAAGTTCAACTCTGTGATTTGAACACACACAACTCAAGGAAGTTACTGGGAATTCTTCTGTCTAGCAGAATATGAAAAAATCCCGTTTCCAACGAAGGCCTCAAAGAGGTCTGAATATCCACTTGCAGACTTTACAAACAGAGTGTTTCCTAACTGCTCTATGAAAAGAAAAGTTGAACTCTGTGAGTTGAACGCACACATCACAAAGGAGTTTCTGAGAATCATTCTGTCTAGTCTTTATACAAAGATATTTCCTTTTCTACCATTGACCTCAAAGCGGCTGAAATCTCCACTTGCAAATTCCACAAAAAGAGTGTTTCAAGTCTGCTCTGTGTAAAGGATCGTTCAACTCTGTGAGTTGAATACACACAACACAAGGAAGTTACTGAGAATTCTTCTGTCTAGCAGAATATGAAGAAATCCCGTTTCCAACGAAGGCCACAAGATGTCAGAATATCCACTTACAGAATTTTCAAACAGACTGTTTCCTAACTGCTCTATGAAAAGAATGGTTAAACTCTGTGAGTTGAACGAACACATCACAACGCAGTTTGTGGGAATGATTCTGTCTAGTTTTGAAACGAAGATATTTCCTTTTCTGCCGTTGACCTTAAAGCGCTTGAAATCTACACTTGCAAATTGCACAAATAGAGTGTTTCAAATCTGCTCTGTTTAAGGGAACGTTCAACTCTGTTAGTTGAATGCACACAACACAAGGAAGTTACTGGGAATTCTTCTGTCTAGCCTTACAGGAAAAAAACCCGTTTCCAAAGAAGGCCTCTAAGTGGTCAAAATATCCACGTGCAGACTTTACAAACAGAGTGTTTCCAAACTGCTGAATGAAAAGAAAAGTTAAACTCTGAGAGTTGAATGCACACATCGCAGAGCAGTTTCTGAGAATGATTCTGTCTAGTTTTGAAACGAAGATATTTCCATTTCTGCCTTTGGCCTCAAAGCGCTTGAAATCTCCACTTGCAAATTCCACAAAAAGAGTGTTTCAAATCTGCTCTGTGTAAATGAAAGTTCAACTCTGTGAGTTGAACACACACAACACAAGGAAGTTACTGGGAATTCTTCTGTCTAGCCTTATATGAAAAAAACCCGTTTCCAACGAAGGCCTCAAAGAGGTCTGAATATCCACTTGCAGACTTTACAAACAGAGTGTTTCCTAACTGCTCTATGAAAAGTAAGGTTAAACTCTGTGAGTTGAACACACACATCACAAAGGAGTTTCTGAGAATCATTCTGTCTAGTTTTTATAGGAAGATATTTCCTTTTCTACCTTTGACTTCAAAGCGGCTGAAATCCCCACTTGCAAATTCCACAAAAAGAGTGTTACAAGTCTGCTCTGTGTAAAGGATCGTTCAACTCTGTGAGTTGAATACACACAACACAAGGAAGTTACTGAGAATTCTTCTGTCTAGCAGAATATGAAGAAATCCCGTTTCCAACGAAGGCCACAAGATGTCAGAATATCCACTTACAGAATTTACAAACAGACTGTTTCCTAACTGGTCTATGAAAAGAAAGGTTAAACTCTGTGAGTTGAACGAACACATCACAACGCAGTTTGTGGGAATGATTCTGTCTAGTTTTTATACGAAGATATTTCCTTTTCTACCATTGACCTCAAAGCGGCTGAAATCACCACTTGCCAATTGCACAAAAAGAGTGTTTCAAATCTGCTCTGTCTAAGGGAACGTTCAACTCTGTGAGTTGAATGTACACAACACAAGGAAGTTACTGGGAATTCTTCTGTCTAGCCTTACATGAAAAAAACCCGTTTCCAACGAAGGCGTCTAAGTGGTCAAAATATCCACGTGCAGACTTTAGAAACAGAGTGTTTCCAAACCGCTGAATGAAAAGAAAAGTTAAACTCTGAGAGTTGAACGCACACATCACGCAGCAGTTTCTGAGAATGATTCTGTCTAGTTTTTATACGAAGATATTTCCTTTTCTGCCTTTGGCCTCAAAGCGCTTGAAATCTCCACTTGCAAATTCCACAAAAAGAGTGTTTCAAATCTGCTCTGTGTAAATCAAAGTTCAACTCTGTGAGTTGAACACACACAACAGAAAGAAGTTACTGGGAATTCTTCTGTCTAGCAGAATATGAAGAAATCCCGTTTCCAACGAAGGCCTCTAGGAGGTCTGAATATCCACATGCAGACTTTACAAACAGAGTGTTTCCTAATGGCTCTATGAAAAGAAAAGTTAAACTCTGTGAGTTGAACGCACACATCACAAAGGAGTTTCTGAGAATCGTTCTGTCTAGTTTTTATAGGAAGATATTTCCTTTTCTACCTTTGACTTGAAAGCGGCTGAAATCTCCACTTGCAAATTCCACAAAAAGAGTGTTACAAGTCTGCTCTGTGTAAAGGGTCGTTCAACTCTGTGAGTTGAATACACACAACACAAGGAAGTTACTGAGAATTCTTCTGTCTAGCATAATATGAAGAAATCCCGTTTCCAACGAAGACCTCAAAGAGGTCTGAATATCCACTTGCAGACTTTACAAACAGAGTGTTTCCTAACTGCTCTACGAGAAGAAAAGTTAAACTCTGTGAGTTGAACGCACACATCACAAAAGATTTTCTGAGAATCATTCTGTCTAGTTTTTATACGAAGATATTTCCTTTTCTACCATGGACCTCAAAGCGGCTGAAATCTCCACTTGCAAATTCCACAAAAAGAGTGTTTCAAGTCTGCTCTGTGTAAAGGATCGTTCAACTCTGTGAGTTGAATACACACAACAGAAGGAAGATTCTGAGAATTCTTCTGTCTAGCAGAATATGAAGAAATCCCGTTTCCAACGAAGGCCACAAGATGTCAGAATATCCACTTACAGACTTTACAAACAGTGTGTTTCCTAACTGCTCTATGAACGGAGAGGTTAAACTCTGTGAGTTGAACGAACACATCACAACGCAGTTTGTGGGAATGATTCTGTCTAGTTTTTATACGAAGATATTTCCTTTTCTACCATTGACCTCAAAGCGGCTGAAATCACCACTTGCCAATTGCACAAAAAGAGTGTTTCAAATCTGCTCTCTCTAAGGAAACGTTCAACTCTGTGAGTTGAATGTACACAACACAAGGAAAGTTACTGGGAATTCTACCGTCTAGCCTTACAGGAAAAAAACCCGTTTCCAACGAAGGCCTCTAAGTGGTCAAAATATCCACGTGCAGACTTTACAAACAGAGTGTTTCCAAACTGCTGAATGAAAAGAAAAGTTAAACTCTGAGAGTTGAACGCACACATCGCAGAGCAGTTTCTGAGAATGATTCTGTCTAGTTTTTATACGAAGATATTTCCTTGTCTACCATTGACCTCAAAGCGGCAGAAATCTCCACTTGCAAATTCCACAAAAAGAGTGTTTCAAGTCTGCTCTGTGTAACGGATCGTTGAACTCTGTGAGTTGAATACACACAACACAAGGAAGTTACTGAGAATTCTTCTGTCTAGCATAATATGAAGAAATCCCGTTTCCAACGAAGGCTTCAAAGAGGTCTGAATATCCACTTGCAGACTTTACAAACAGAGTGTTCCCTAACTGCTCTATGAAAAGAAAGGTTAAACTCTGTGAGTTGAGCGCACACATCACAAAGAAGTTTCTGAGAATCATTCTGTCTAGTTTTTATACGAATATATTTCCTTTTCTACCATTGACCTCAAAGCGGCTGAAATCTCCACTTGCAAATTCCACAAAAAGAGTGTTTCAAGTCTGTTCTGCGTAAAGGATCATTCAACTCTGTGAGTTGAATACACAAAACACAAGGAAGTTACTGAGAATTCTTCCGTCTAGGAGAATATGAAGAAATCCCGTTTCCAACGAAGGCCACAAGATGTCAGAATATCCACTTACAGAATTGACAAACAGACTGTTTCCTAACTGCTCTATGAAAAGAAAGGTTAAACTCTGTGAGTTGAACGAACACATCACAACGCAGTTTGTGGGAATGATTCTGTCTAGTTTTGAAACGACGATATTTCCTTTTCTGCCATTGACCTTAAAGCGCTTGAAATCTCCATTTGCCAATTGCACAAAAAGAGTGTTTCAAATCTGCTCTGTCTAAGGTAACGTTCAACTCTGTGAGTTGAATGTACACAACACAAGGGAAGTTACTGGGAATTCTTCTTTCTAGCCTTACAGGAAAAAAACCCGTTTCCAACGAAGGCCTCTAAGTGGTCAAAATATCCACGTGCAGACTTTACAAACAGAGTGTTTCCAAACTGCTGAATGAAAAGAAAAGTTAAACTCTGAGAGTTGAACGCACACATCGCAGAGCAGTTTCTGAGAATGATTCTGTCTAGTTTTATACGAAGATATTTCCTTTTCTGCGTTTGGCCCCAAAGCGCTTGAAATCTCCACTTGCAAATTCCACAAAAACAGTGTTTCAAATCTGCTCTCTCTACATGAAAGTTCAACTCTGTCAGTTGAATACACACAACACAAGGAAGTTACTGAGAATTCTTCTGTCTAGCATAATATGAAGAAATCCCGTTTCCAACGAAGGCCTCAAGGAGGTCTGAATATCCACTTGCAGACTTTACAAACAGAGTGTTTCCTAACTGCTCTATTAAAAGAAAGGTTAAACTCTGTGAGTTGAATGCACACATCACAAAGGAGTTTCTGAGAATCATTCTGTATAGTTTCTATAGGAAGATATTTCTTATTCTACCATTGAACTCAAAGCGGCTGAAATCTCCACTTGCAAATTCCACAAAAAGAGTGTTTCAAGTCTGCTCTGTGTAAAGGATCGTTCAACTCTGTGAGTTGAATACACACAACACAAGGAAGTTAATGAGAATTCTTCTGTCTAGCATAATATGAAGAAAACCCGTTTCCAACGAAGGCCTCAAGGAGGTCTGAATATCCACTTGCAGACGTTACAAACAGAGTGTTTCCTAACTGCTCTATGAAAAGAAAGGTTAAACTCTGTGAGTTGAACGCCACATCACAAAGGAGTTTCTCAGAATCATTCTGTCTACTCTTTATACGAACATAGTTTCCTTTTCTACCTTTGACCTCAAAGCGGCTGAAATCTCCACTTGCAAATTCCACAAAAAGTGTGTTTCAAGTCTGCTCTGTGTAAAGGATCGTTCAACTCTTTGAGTTGAATACACACAACACAAGGAAGTTACTGAGAATTCTTCTGTCTATCAGAATATGAAGAAATCCCGTTTCCAAAGAAGGCCTCAAGGAGGTCTGAATATCCACTTGCAGACTTTACAAACAGAGTGTTTCCTAACTGCTCTATGAACAGAAAGGTTAAACTCTGTGAGTTGAACGCACACATCACAAAGGAGTTTTTGAGAATCATTCTGTCTAGTTTTTATACGAAGATATTTCCTTTTCTACCATTGACCTCAACGCGGCTGAAATCTCCACTTGCAAATTCCACAAAAAGAGCGTTTCAAGTCTGCTCTGTGTAAAGGATCGTTCAACTCTGTGAGTTGAATACACACAACACAAGGAAGTTACTGAGAATTTTTCTGTCTAGCAGAATATGAAGAAATCCCGTTTCCAACGAAGGCCTCAAGGAGGTCTGAATATCCACTTGCAGAATTTACAAACAGAGTGTTTCCTAACTGCTCTATGAAAAGAAAGGTTAAACTCTGTGAGTTGAACGCACACATCACAAAGGAGTTTATGAGAATCATTCTCTCTAGTTTCTATAGGAAGATATTTCCTATTCTAACATTGACCTCAAAGCGGCTGAAATCTCCACTTGCAAATTCCACAAAAAGAGTGTTTCCAGTCTGCTCTGTGTAAAGGATCGTTCAACTCTGTGAGTTGAATACACACAACACAAAGAAGTTACTGAGAATTCTTCTGTCTAGCAGAATATGAAGAAATCCCGTTTAAAACGAAGGCCACAAGATGTCAGAATATCCACTTACAGACTTTACAAACAGAGTGTTTCCTAACTGCTCTATGAACAGAAAGGTTAAACTCTGTGAGTTGAACGAACACATCACAACGCAGTTTGTGGGAATGATTCTGTCTAGTTTTGAAACGAAGATATTTCCTTTTCTGCCATTGACCTTAAAGCGCTTGAAATCTACACTTGCAAATTACACAAATAGAATGTTTCAAATCTGCTCTGTCTAAGGGAACGTTCAACTCTGTGAGTTGAATGCACACAACACAAGGAAGTTACTGGGATTTATTCTGTCTAGCCTTACAGGAAAAAAACCCGTTTCCAACGAAGGCCTCTAAGTGGTCAAATATCCACGTGCAGACTTTACAAACAGAGTGTTTCCAAACTGCTGAATGAAAAGAAAAGTTAAACTCTGAGAGTTGAACGCACACATCGCAGAGCAGTTTCTGAGAATGATTCTGTCTAGTTTTTATACGAAGATATTTCCTTTTCTGCCTTTGGCCCCAAAGCGCTTGAAATCTCCACTTGCAAATTCCACAAAAACAGTGTTTCAAATCTGCTCTCTCTAAAGGAAAGTTCAACTCTGTCAGTTGAATACACACAACACAAGGAAGTTACTGAGAATTCTTCTGTCTAGCCTTATATGAAAAAAACCCGTTTCCAACGAAGGCCTCAAAGAGGTCTGAATATCCACTTGCAGACTTTACAAACAGAGTGTTTCCTAACTGCTCTATGAAAAGAAAGGTTAAACTCTGTGAGTTGAACACACACAGCACAAAGGAGTTTCTGAGAATCATTCTGTCTAGTTTTTATACGAAGATATTTCCTATTCTACCATTGACCTCAAAGCGGCAGAAATCTCCACTTGCAAATTCCACAAAAAGAGTGTTTCAAGTCTGCTCTGTGTAAAGGATCGTTCAACTCTGTGAGTTGAATACACACAACACAAGGAAGTTACTGAGAATTCTTCTGTCTAGCAGAATATGAAGAAATCCCGTTTCCAACGAAGGCCACAAGATGTCAGAATATCCACTTACAGACTTTACAAACAGAATGTTTCCTAACTGCTCTATGAACAGAAAGTTTAAACTCTGTGAGTTGAACGAACACATCACAACGTAGTTTGTGAGAATGATTGTCTGTCTAGTTTTGAAACGAAGATATTTCCTTTTCTGCCATTGACCTCAAAGCGCTTGAAATCTACACTTGCAAATTGCACAAATAGAGTGTTTCAAATCTGGTCTGTCTAAGGGAACGTTCAACTCTGTGAGTTGAATGCACACAACACAAGGAAGTTACTGGGAATTCTTCTGTCTAGCCTTACATGAAAAAAAACCCGTTTCCAACGAAGGCCTCTAAGTGGTCAAAATATCCACGTGCAGACTTTACAAACAGAGTGTTTCCAAACCGCTGAATGAAAAGAAAAGTTAAACTCTGAGAGTTGAACGCACACATCACGCAACAGTTTCTGAGAATGATTCTGTCTAGTTTTTATACGAAGATATTTCCTTTTCTGCCTTTGGCCTCAAAGCGCTTGAAATCTCCACTTGCAAATTCCACAAAAAGAGTGTTTCAAATCTGCTCTGTGTAAATGAGAGTTCAACTCTGTGAGTTGAACACACACAACACAAGGAAAGTTACTGGGAATTCTTCTGTCTAGCAGAACATGAAGAAATCCCGTTTCCAACGAAGGCCTCAAAGTTGTCTGAATATCCACTTGCAGACTTTACAAACAGAGTGTTTCCTAACTGCTCTATGAAAAGAAAGGTTAAACTCTGTGAGTTGAACGCACACATCACAAAGGAGTTTCTGAGAATCATTCTGTCTAGTCTTTATAGGAAGATATTTACTTTTCTACCATTGACCACAAAGCGGCTGAAATCTCCACTTGCAAATTCGACAAAAAGAGTGTTTCAAGCCTGCTCTCTGTAAAGGATCCTTCAACTCTGTGAGTTGAATACACACAACACAAGGAAGTTACTGAGAATTATTCTGTCTAGCAGTAATATGAAGAAATCCCGTTTCCAACGAAGGCCTCAAGGAGGTCTGAATATCCACTTGCAGACTTTACAAACAGAGTGTTTCCTAACTGCTCTATGAACAGAAAGGTTAAACTCTGTGAGTTGAACGAACACATCACAACGCAGTTTGTGGGAATGATTCTGTCTAGTTTTTATAGGAAGATATTTCCTTTTCTACCATTGACCTCAAAGCGGCTGAAATCACCACTTGCCAATTGCACAAAAAGAGTGTTTCAAATCTGCTCTGTCTAAGGGAACGTTCAACTCTGTGAGTTGAATGTACACAACACAAGGAAGTTACTGGGAATTCTTCTGTCTAGCCTTACATGAAAAAAACCCGTTTCCAACGAAGGCCTCTAAATGGTCAAAATATCCACGTGCAGACTTTACAAACAGAGTGTTTCCAAACTGCTGAATGAAAAGAAAAGTTAAACTCTGAGAGTTGAACGCACACATCGCAGAGCAGTTTCTGAGAATGATTCTGTCTAGTCTTTATACGGAGATATTTCCTTTTCTACCGTTGACCTCAAAGCGGCTGAAATCTCCACTTGCAAATTCCACAAAAAGAGTGTTTCAAGTCTGCTCTGTGTAAAGGATCGTTCAACTCTGTGAGTTGAATACACACAACACAAGGAAGTTAGTGAGAATTCTTCTGTCTAGCAGAATATGAAGAAATCCCATTTCCAACGAAGGCCTCAAGGAGGTCTGAATATCCACTTGCAGACTTTACAAACAGAGTGTTTCCTAACTGCTCTACGAAAAGAAAGGTTAAACTCTGTGAGTTGAACGCACACATCACAAAGGAGTTTCTGAGAATCATTCTGTCTAGTTTCTATAGGAAGATATTTCCTATTCTACCATTGACCTCAAAGCGGCTGAAATCTCCACTTGCAAATTCCACAAAAAGAGTGTTTCAAGTCTGCTCTCTGTAAAGGATCGTACAACTCTGAGTTGAATACCCACAACAAAAGGAAGTTACTGAGAATTATTCTGTCTAGCCTTACATGAAAAAAACCCGTTTCCAACGAAGGCCTCTAAGTGGTCAAATTATCCACGTGCAGACTTTACAAACAGAGTGTTTCCAAACTGCTGAATGAAAAGAAAAGTTAAACTCTGAGAGTTGAACGCACACATCACAGAGCAGTTTCTGAGAATGATTCTGTCTAGTTTTTATACGAAGATATTTCCTTTTCTGCCTTTGGCCTCAAAGCGCTTGAAATCTCCATCTGCAAATTCCACAAAAAGAGTGTTTCAAATCTGCTCTGTGTAAATGAAAGTTCAACTCTGTGAGTTGAACACACACAACACAAGGAAGTTACTGGGAATTCTTCTGTCTAGCCTTAGATTAAAAAAACGTGTTTCCAACGAAGGCCTCAAAGAGGTCTGAATATCCACTTGCAGACTTTACAAACAGAGTGTTCCCTAACTGTTCTATGAAAAGAAAGGTTAAACTCTGTGAGTTGAACACACACATCACAAAGGAGTTTCTGAGAATCATTCTGTCTAGTTTCTATAGGAAGATATTTCCTATTCTACCATTGACCTCAAAGCGGCTGAAATCTCCACTTGCAAATTCAACAAAAAGAGTGTTTCAAGTCTGCTCTGTGTAAAGGACCGTTCAACTCTGTGAGTTGAATACACACAACACAAGGGAAGTTACTGAGAATTCTTCTGTCTAGCATAATATGAAGAAATAACGTTTCCAACGAAGGCCTCAAAGAGGTCTGAATATCCACTTGCAGACTTTACAAACAGAGTGTTTCCTAACTGCTCTATGAACAGAAAAGTTAAACTCTGTGAGTTGAACGCACACATCACAAAGGATTTTCTGAGAATCATTCTGTCTAGTTTTTATACGAAGATATTTCCTTTTCTACCATGGACCTCAAAGCGGCTGAAATCTCCACTTGCAAATTCCACAAAAAGAGTGTTTCAAGTCTGCTCTGTGTAAAGGATCGTTCAACTCTGTGAGTTGAATACACACAACACAAGGAAGATTCTCAGAATTCTTCTGTCTAGCAGAATATGAAGAAATCCCGTTTCCAACGAAGGCCACAAGATGTCAGAATATCCACTTACAGACTTTACAAACAGTGTGTTTCCTAACTGCTCTATGAACGGAAAGGTTAAACTCTGTGAGTTGAATGAACACATCACAACGCAGTTTGTGGGAATGATTCTGTCTAGTTTTGAAACGAAGATATTTCCTTTTCTGCCATTGACCTTAAAGCGCTTGAAATCTCCATTTGCCAATTGCACAAAAAGAGTGTTTCAAATCTGCTTTGTCTAAGGGAACGTTCAACTCTGTGAGTTGAATGTACACAACACAAGGAAGTTACTGGGAATTCTTCTGTCTAGACTTACATGAAAAAAACCCGTTTCCAACGAAGGCCTCTAAGTGGTCAAGTTATCCACGTGCAGACTTTACAAACAGAGTGTTTCCAAACTTCTGAATGAAAAGAAAAGTTAAACTCTGAGAGTTGAACGCACACATCGCAGAGCAGTTTCTGAGAATGATTCTGTCTCGTTTTTATACGAAGATATTTCCTTTTCTGCCTTTGGCCTCAAAGCGCTTGAAATCTCCATTTCAAATTCCACAAAAAGAGTGTTTCAAATCTGCTCTGTGTAAATGAAAGTTCAACTCTGTGAGTTGAACACACACAACACAAGGAAGTTACTGGGAATTCTTCTGTCTAGCATAATATGAAGAAATCCCGTTTCCAACGAAGGCCTTAAGGAGGTCTGAATATCCACTTGCAGAATTTACAAATAGAGTGTTTCCTAACTGCTCTATGAAAAGAAAGGTTAAACTCTGTGAGTTGAACGCACACATCACAAAGGAGTTTCTGAGAATCATTCTGTCAAGTTTTTATAGGAAGATATTTCCTTTTCTACCTTTGACTTCAAAGCTGCTGAAATCTCCACTTGCAAATTCCACAAAAAGAGTGTTACAAGTCTGCTCTGTCTAAGGGAACGTTCAACTCTGTGAGTTGAATGTACACAACACAAGGAAGTTACTGGGAATTCTTCTCTCTAGCAGAATATGAAGAAAACCCGTTTCCAACGAAGGCCTCAAAGAGGTCTGAATATCCACTTGCAGACTTTACAAACAGAGTGTCTCCTAACTGCTCTATGAAAAGAAAGGTTGAACTCTGTGAGTTGAACGCACACATCACAAAGGAGTTTCTGAGAATCATTCTGTCTAGTTTTTATACGAAGATATTTCCTTTTCTACCATGGACCTCAAAGCGGCTGAAATCTCCACTTGCAAATTCCACAAAAAGAGTGTTTCAAGTCTGCTCTGTGTAAAGGATCGTTCATCTCTGTGAGTTGAATACACACAACACAAGGAAGTTTCTGAGAATTCTTCTGTCTAGCAGAATATGAAGAAATCCCGTTTCCATCGAAGGCCACAAGATGTCAGAATATCCACTTTCAGACTTTACAAACAGAGTGTTTCCTAACTGCTCTATGAACAGAAAGGTTAAACTCTGTGAGTTGAACGAACACATCACAACGCAGTTTGTGGGAATGATTCTGTCTAGTTTTTATACGAAGATATTTCCTTTTCTACCATTGACCTCAAAGCGGCTGAAATCACCACTTGCCAATTGCAGAAAAAGAGTATTTCAAATCTACTCTGTCTAAGGGAACGTTCAAATGTGTGAGTTGAATGTACGCAACACAAGGAAGTTCCTGGGAATTCTTCTGTCTAGCCTTACAAAAAAAAACCCGTTTCCAACGAAAGCCTCTAAATGGTCAAAATATCCACGTGCAGACTTTACAGAGTGTTTCCAAACTGCTGAATGAAAAGAAAAGTTAAACTCTGAGAGTTGAACGCACACATCGCAGAGCAGTTTCTGAGAATGATTCTGTCTAGTTTTTATACGAAGATATTTCCTTTTCTGCCTTTGGCCCCAAAGCGCTTGAAATCTCCAATTGCAAATTCCACAAAAACAGTGTTTCAAATCTGCTCTCTCTAAATGAAAGTTCAACTCTGTCAGTTGAATACACAAAACACAAGGAAGTTACTGAGAATTCTTCTGTCTAGCCTTATATGAAAAAAAACCGTTTCCAACGAAGGCCTCAAAGAGGTCTGAATATCCACTTGCAGACTTTACAAACAGAGTGTTTCCTAACTGCTCTATGAAAAGAAAGGTTAAACTCTGTGAGTTCAACGCACACATCACAAAGGAGTTTCTGAGAATCATTCTGTCTAGTTTTTATACGAAGATATTTCCTTTTCTACCATTGACCTCAAAGCGGATGAAATCTCCACTTGCAAATTCCACAAAAAGAGTGTTTCAAGTCTACGCTGTGTAAAGGATCGTTCAACTCTGTGAGTTGAAAACACACAACACAACGAAGTTTCTGAGAATTCTTCTGTCTAGCCTTACATGAAAAAAACCCGTTTCCAACAAAGGCCTCTAAGTGGTCAAATTATCCAAGTGCAGACTTTACAAACAGAGTGTTTCCAAACTGCTGAATGAAAAGAAAAGTTAAACTCTGAGAGTTGAACGCACACATCGCAGAGCAGTTTCTGAGAATGATTCTGCCTAGTTTTTATACGAAGATATTTCCTTTTCTGCCTTTGGCCTCAAAGCGCTTGAAATCTCCATTTGCAAATTCCACAAAAAGAGAGTTTCAAATCTGCTCTGTGTAAATGAGAGTTCATCTCTGTGAGTTGAACACACACAACACAAAGAAGTTACTGGGAATTCTTCTGTATAGCAGAATATGAAGAAATCCCGTTTCCAACGAAAGCCTCAAAGATGTCTGAATATCCACCTGCAGACTTTACAAACAGAGTGTTTCCTAACTGCTCTATGAAAACAAAGGTTAAACTCTGTGAGTTGAACGCACACATCACAAAGGAGTTTCTGAGAATCATTCTGTCTAGTTTCTATAGGAAGATATTTCTTATTCCACCATTGACCTCAAAGCGGCTGAAATCTCCACTTGCAAATTCCACAAAAAGAATGTTTCAAGTCTGCTCTGTGTAAAGGATCGTTCAACTCTGTGAGTTGAATACACACAACACAAGGAAGTTACTGAGAATTCTTCTGTCTAGCAGAATATGAAGAAATCCCGTTCCCAACGAAGGCCACAAGATGTCAGAATATCCACTTACAGACTTTACAAACAGAGTGTTTCCTAACTGCTCTATGAACAGAAAGGTTAAACTCTGTGAGTTGAACGAACACATCACAACGCAGTTTGTGGGAATGATTCTGTCTAGTTTTGAAACCAAGATATTTCCTTTTCTGCCGTTGACCTAAAAGAGCTTGAAAACTACACTTGCAAATTGCACAAATAGAGTGTTTCAAATCTGCTCTGTCTAAGGGAACGTTCAACTCTGTGAGTTGAATGCACACAACACAAGGAAGTTACTGGGAATTCTTCTGTCTAGCCTTACATGAAAAAAACCCGTTTCCAACGAAGGCCTCTAAGTGGTCAAAAGTTCCACGTGCAGACTTTACAAACAGAGTGTTTCCAAACCGCTGAATGAAAAGAAAAGTTAAACTCTGAGAGTTGAACGCACACATCACGCAGCAGTTTCTGAGAATGATTCTGTCTAGTTTCTATAGGAATATATTTCCTATTCTACCATTGACCACAAAGAGGCTGAAATCTCCACTTGCAAATTCCACAAAAAGAGTGTTTCAAGTCTGCTCTGTGTAAAGGATCGTTCAAATCTGTGAGTTGAATACACACAACACAAGGAAGTTACTGAGAATTCTTCTGTATAGCAGAATATGAAGAAATGCAGTTTCCAACGAAGGCCTCAAGGAGGTCTGAATATCCACTTGCAGACTTTACAAACAGAGTGTTTCCTAACTGCTCTATGAAAAGAAAGGTTAAACTCTGTGAGTTGAACGCACACATCACAAAGGAGTTTCTCAGAATCATTCTGTCTAGTTTTTATACGAAGATATTTCCTTTTCTAACATTGACCTCAAAGCGGCTGAAATCTCCACTTGCAAATATCCACAAAAAGAGTGTTTCAAGTCTGCTCTGTGTAAAGGATCGTTCAACTCTGTGAGTTGAATACACACAACACAAGGAAGTTACTGAGAATTCTTCTTTCTAGCAGAATATGAAGAAATCCCGTTTCCAACGAAAGCCTCAAGGATGTCTGAATATCCAGTTGCAGACTTTACAAACAGAGTGTTTCCTAACTGCTCTATGAAAAGAAAGGTTAAACCTTGTGTGTTGAACACACACATCACAAAGCAGTTTCTGAGAATCATTCTGTCTAGTTTCTATAAGAAGATATTTCCTATTCTACCATTGAACTCAAAGCGGCTGAAATCTCCACATGCAAATTCCACAAAAAGAGTGTTTCAAGTCTGCTCTGTGTAAAGGATCGTTCAACTCTGTGAGTTGAATACACACAACACAAGGAAGTTACTGAGAATTCTTCTGTCTAGCATAATAGGAAGAAATCCCGTTTCCAACGAAGGCCACAAGGAGGTCTGAATATCCACTTGCAGACTTTACAAACAGAGTGTTTCCTAACTGCTCTATGAAAAGAAAGGTTAAACTGTGTGAGTTGAACGCACACATCACAAAGGAGTTTCTGAGAATCATTGTGTCTATTTTCTATAGGAAGATATTTCCTATTCTACCATTGACCTCAAAGCGGCTGAAATCTCCACTTGCAAATTCCACAAAAAGAGTGTTTCAAGTCTGCTCTGTGTAAAGGATCGTTCAACTCTGTGAGTTTAATACACACAACACAAGGAAGTTACTGAGAATTCTTCTGTCTAGCCTTACATGAAAAAAACCTGTCTCCAACGAAGGCTTCTAAGTGGTCAAAATATCCACGTGCAGACTTTACAAACAGAGTGTTTCCAAACTGCTGAATGAAAAGAAAAGTTAAACTCTGAGAGTTGAACGCACACATCACAGAGCGGTTTCTGAGAATGATTCTGTCTAGTTTTTATACGAAGATATTTCCTTTTCTGCCTTTGGCCTCAAAGCGCTTGAAATCTCCATTTGCAAATTCCACAAAAAGAGTGATTCAAATCTGCTCTGTGTAAATGAAAGTTCAACTCTGTGAGTTGAACACACACAACACAAGGAAGTTACTGGGAAATCTTCTGTCTAGCAGAATATGAAGAAATCCCGTTTCCAACGAAGGCCTCAAACAGGTCTGAATATCCACTTGCAGACTTTACAAACAGAGTGTTTCCTAACTGCTCTATGAAAAGAAAAGTTAAACTCTGTGAGTTGAACGCACACATCACAAAGGAGTTTATGAGAATCATTCTGTCTAGTTTTTATACGAAGATAGTTTCCTTTTCTAACATTGACCTCAAAGCGGCTGAAATCTCCACTTGCAAATTCCACAAAAAGAGTGTTTTAAGTCTGCTCTGTGTAAAGGATCGTTCAAATCTGTGAGTTGAATACACACAACACAAGGAAGTTACTGAGAATTCTTCTGTCTAGCCTTACATGAAAAAAACCCGTTTCCAACGAAGGCCTCTAAGTGGTCAAAATATCCACGTGCAGACTTTACAAACAGAGTGTTTCCAAACTGCTGAATGAAACGAAAAGTTAAACTCTGAGAGTTGAACGCACACATCGCAGAGCAGTTTCTGAGAATGATTCTGTCTAGTTTTTATACGAAGATATTTCCTTTTCTGCCTTTGGCCTCAAAGCGCTTGAAATCTCCACCTGCAAATTCCACAAAAAGAGTGTTTCAAATCTGCTCTTTGTAAATGAAAGTTCAACTCTGTGAGTTGAACACACACAACACAAGGAAGTTACTGGGAATTCTTCTGTCTAGCAGAATATGAAGAAATCCCGTTTCCAACGAAGGCCTCAAACAGGTCTGAATATCCACTTGCAGACTTTACAAACAGAGTGTTTCCTAACTGCTCTATGAAAAGAAAGGTTAAACTCTGTGAGTTGAACGCACACATCACAAAGGAGTTTCTGAGAATCGTTCTGTCTAGTTCCTATAGGAAGATATTTCCTATTCTACCATTGACCTCAAAGCGGCTGAAATCTCCACTTGCAAATTCCACAAAAAGAGTGTTTCAAGTCTGCACTGTGTAAAGGATCGTTCAACTCTTTGAGTTGAATACACACAACACAAGGAAGTTTCTGATAATTCTTCTGTCTAGCATAATATGAAGAAATCCCGTTTCCAACGAAGGCCTCAAACAGGTCTGAATATCCACTTGCAGAGTTTACAAACAGAGTGTTTCCTAACTGCTCTATGAAAAGAAAGGTTAAACTCTGTGAGTTGAACGCACACATCACAAAGAAGTTTCTGAGAATCATTCTGTCTAGTTTTTATATGAAGATATTTCCTTTTCTACCGTTGACCTCAAAGCGGCTGAAATCTCCACTTACAAATTCCACAAAAAGAGTGTCTCAAGTCTGCTCTGTGTAAACGATCGTTCAACTCTGTGAGTTGAATACACACAACACAAGGAAGTTACTGAGAATTCTTCTGTCTAGCAGAATATGAAGAAATCCCGTTTCCAACGAAGGCCACAAGATGTCAGAATATCCACTTACAGAATTTACAAACAGACTGTTTCCTAACTGTTCTATGAAAAGAAAGGTTAAACTCTGTGAGTTGAACGAACACATCACAACGCAGTTTGTGGGAATGATTCTGTCTAGTTTTGAAACGAAGATATTTCCGTTTCTGCCATTGACCTTAAAGCGCTTGAAATCTCCACTTGCCAATTGCACAAAAAGAGTGTTTCAAATCTGCTCTGTCTAAGGGAACGTTCAACTCTGTGAGTTGAATGTACACAACACAAGGAAGTTACTGGGAATTCTTCTGTCTAGCCTTACATGAAAAAAACCCGTTTCCAACGAAGGCCTCTAAGTGGTCAAGTTATCCACGTGCAGACTTTACAAACAGAGTGTTTTCAAACTGCTGAATGAAAAGAAAAGTTAAACTCTGAGAGTTGAAAGCACACATCGCAGAGCAGTTTCTGAGAATGATTCTGTCTAGTTTTGAAACGAAGATATTTCCTTTTCTGCCTTTGGCCTCAAAGTGCTTGAAATCTCCACTTGCAAATTCCACAAAAAGAGTGTTTCAAATCTGCTCTGTGTAAATGAAAGTTCAACTCTGTGAGTTGAACACACACAACACAAGGAAGTTACTGGGAATTCTTCTCTATAGCAGAATATGAAGAAATCCCGTTTCCAACGAAGGCCTCAAGGAGGTCTGAATATCCACTTGCAGACTTTACAAACAGAGTGTTTCCTAACTGCTCTATGAAAAGAAAGGTTAAACTCTGTGAGCTGAACGCACACAGCAAAAAGGAGTTTCTGAGAATCATTCTGTCTAGTTTTTATACGAAGATATTTCCTTTTCTAAAATTGACCTCAAAGCGGCTGAAATCTCCACCCTGCCAATTCCACAAAAAGAGTGTTTCAAGTCTACTCTGTGTAAAGGATCGTTGAACTCTGTGAGTTGACCACACACAACACAACGAAGTTTCTGAGAATTCTTCTGTCTAGCAGAATATGAAGAAATCCCGTTTCCAACGAAAGCCTCAAAGATGTCTGAATATCCACTTGCAGACTTTACAAACAGAGTGTTTCCTAACTGCTCTATGAAAAGAAAGGATAAACTCTGTGAGTTGAACGCACACATCACAAAGGAGTTTCTGAGAATCATTCTGTCTAGTTTTTATACGAAGATATTTCCTTTTCTGCATTTGGCCCCAAAGCGGTTGAAATATACACTTGCAAATTCCACAAAAACAGTGTTTAAAATCTGCTCTATCTAAATGAGAGTTCAACTCTGTCAGTTGAATACACGCAACACAAGGAAGTTACTGAGAATTCTTCTGTCTAGCCTTATATGAAAAAAACCCGTTTCCAACGAAGGCCTCAAAGAGGTCTGAATATCCACTTGGAGACTTTACAAACAGAGTGTTTCCTAACTGCTCTATGAAAAGAAACGTTAAACTCTGTGAGTTGAAAGCACACATCACAAAGGAGTTTCTGAGAATCATTCTGTCTAGTTTTTATAGGAAGATATTTCCTTTTCTACCTTTGACTTCAAAGCGGCTGAAATCTCCACTTGCAAATTCCACAAAAAGAGTGTTACAAGTCTGCTCTGTGTAAAGGATCGTTCAACTCTGTGAGTTGAATACACACAACAGAAGGAAGTTACTGAGAATTCTTCTGTCTAGCCTTACATGAAAAAAACCCGTTTCCAACGAAGGCCTCTAAGTGGTCAAATTATCCACGTGCAGACTTTACAAACAGAGTGTTTCCAAACTGCTGAATGAAAAGAAAAGTTAAACTCTGAGAGTTGAACGCACACATCGCAGAGCAGTTTCTGGGAATGATTCTGTCTAGTTTTGAAACGAAGACATTTCCTTTTCTGCCTTTGGCCTCAAAGTGCTTGAAATCTCCATTTGCAAATTCCACAAAAAGAGTGTTTCAAATCTGCTCTGTGTAAATGAAAGTTCAACTCTGTGAGTTGAACACACACAACACAAGGAAGTTACTGGCAATTCTTCGGTCTAGCATAATATGAAGAAATCCCGTTTCCAACGAAGGCCTCAAAGAGGTCTGAATATCCACTTGCAGACTTTACAAACAGAGTGTTTCCTAACTGCTCTATGAAAAGAAAAGTTAAACTCTGTGAGTTGAACGCACACATCACAAAGGAGTTTCTGAGAATCATTCTGTCTACTTTCTATAGGAAGATATTTCCTATTCTACCATTGACCTCAAAGCGGCTGAAATCTCCACTTGCAAATTCCACAAAAGGAGTGTTTCAAGTCTGCTCTGTGTAAAGGATCGTGCAACTCTGTGAGTTGAAAACACACAACACAAGGAAGTTACTGAGAATTCTTCTGTCTAGCAGAATATGAAGAAATCCCGTTTCCAACAAAGGCCACAAGATGTCAGAATATCCACTTACAGACTTTACAAACAGAGTGTTTCCTAACTGCTCTATGAACAGAAAGTTTAAACTCTGTGAGTTGAACGAGCACATCCCAACGCAGTTTGTGGGAATGATTCTGTCTAGTTTTGAAACGAAGATATTTCCTTTTCTGCCATTGACCTTAAAGCGCTTGAAATCTACACTTGCAAATTGCACAAATAGAGTGTTTCAAATCTGCTCTGTCTAAGGGAACGTTCACCTCTGTGAGTTGAATGCACACAACACAAGGAAGTTACTGGGAATTCTTCTGTCTAGCCTTACAGGAAAAAAACCCGTTTCCAACGAAGGCCTCTAAGTGGTCAAAATAAACACGTGCAGACTTTACAAACAGAGTGTTTCCAAACTGCTGAATGAAAAGAAAAGTTAAACTCTGAGAGTTGAACGCACACATCGCAGAGCAGTTTCTGAGAATGATTCTGTCTAGTTTTTATACGAAGATATTTCCTTTTCTGCTTTTGGCCTCAAAGCGCTTGAAATCTCCATTTGCAAATTCCACAAGAAGAGTGTTTCAAATCTGCTCTGTCTAAATGAAAGTTCAACTCTGTCAGTTGAATACACACAACACAAGGAAGTTACTGAGAATTCTTCTGTCTAGCATAATATGAAGAAATCCCGTTTCCAACGAAGGCCTCAAAGAGGTCTGAATATCCACTTGCAGACTTTACAAACAGAGTGTTTCCTAACTGCTCTATGAGAAGAAAAGTTAAACTCTGTGAGTTAAACGCACACATCACAAAAGATTTTCTGAGAATCATTCTGTCTAGTTTTTATAGGAAGATATTTCCTTTTCTACCTTTGACTTCAAAGCGGCTGAAATCTCCACTTGCAAATTCCACAAAAAGAGTGTTACAAGTCTGCTCTGTATAAAGGATCGTTCAACTCTGTGAGTTGAATACACACAACACAAGGAAGTTACTGAGAATTCTTCTGTCTAGCAGAATATGAAGAAATCCCGTTTCCAACGAAGGCCTCAAAGAGGTCTGAATATCCACTTGCAGACTTTAGAAACAGAGTGTTTCCTAACTGCTCTATGAAAAGAAAGGTTAAACTCTGTGACTTGAACGCACACATCACAAAGGAGTTTCTGAGAATCATTCTGTCTTGTTTTTATACAAAGATATTTCCTTTTCTACCATTGACCTCAAAGGGGCTGAAATCTCCACTTGCAATTCCACAACAAGAGTGTGTCCAATCTGCTCTGTGTAAAAGATCGTTCAACTCTCTGAGTTGAATGCACACAACACAAGGAAGTTACTGAGAATTCTTCTGTATAGCAGAATATGAAGAAATCCCGTTTCCAACGAAAGCCTCAAAGAAGACTGAATATCCACTTGCAGACTTTACAAACAGAGTGTTTCCTAACTGCTCTATGAAAAGAAAGGTTAAACTCTGTGAGTTGAACGCACACATCACAAAGGAGTTTCTGAGAATCATTCTGTCTAGTTTCTATAGGAAGATATTTCCTATTCTACAATTGAACTCAAAGCGGCTGAAATCTCCACTTGCAAATTCCACAAAAAGAGTGTTTCAAGTCTGCTCTGTGTAAAGGATCGTTCAACTCTGTGAGTTGAATACACACAACACAAGGAAGTTACTGAGAATTCTTCTGTCTAGCATAATATGAAGAAATCCCGTTTCCAACGAAGGCCTCAAAGAGGTCTGAATATCCACTTGCAGACTTTACAAACAGAGTTTTTCCTAACTGCTCTATGAAAAGAAAAGTTAAACTGCTGTGAGTTGAACGCACACATCACAAAGGAGTTTATGAGAATCATTCTGTCTAGTTTTTATATGAAGATATTTCCTTTTCTACCAATGACCTCAAAGCGGCTGAAATCTCCACTTACAAATTCCACAAAAAGAGTGTCTCAAGTCTGCTCTGTGTAAACGATCGTTCAACTCTGTGAGTTGAATACACACAACACAAGGAAGTTTCTGAGAATTCTTCTGTCTAGCAGAATATGAAGAAATCCTGTTTCCAACGAAGGCCACAAGATGTCAGAATATCCACTTACAGAATTTACAAACAGACTGTTTCCCAACTGCTCTATGAAAAGAAAGGTTTAACTCTGTGAGTTGAACGCACACATCACAATGAAGTTTCTGAGAATCATTCTGTCTAGTTTTGAAACGAAGATATTTCCTTTTCTGCCATTGACCTTAAAGCGCTTGAAATCTACACTTGCAAATTGCACAAATAGAGTGTTTCAAATCTGCTCTGTCTAAGGCAACGTTCAACTCTGTGAGTTGAATGCACACAACACAAGGAAGTTACTGGGAATTCTTCTGTCTAGCCTTACAGGAAAGAAACCCGTTTCCAACGAAGGCCTCTAAGTGGTCAAAATATCCACGTGCAGACTTTACAAACAGAGTGTTTCCAAACTGCTGAATGAAAAGCAAAGTTAAACTCTGAGAGTTGAACGCACACATTGCAGAGCAGTTTCTGAGAATGATTCTGTCTAGTTTTTCTACGAAGATATATCCTTTTCTGCCTTTGGCCCCAAAGCGCTTGAAATCTCCACTTGCAAATTCCACAAAAACAGTGTTTCAAATCTGCTCTCTCCAAATGAAAGTTCAACTCTGTCAGTTGAATACACACAACACAAGGAAGTTACTGAGAATTCTTCTGTCTAGCAGAATATGAAGAAATCCCGCTTCCAACGAAGGCCTCAAAGAAGTCTGAATATCCACTTGCAGACTTTACAAACAGAGTGTTTCCCAACTGCTCTAGGAAAAGAAAGGTTGAACTCTGTGAGTTGAACGCACACATCACAAAGGAGTTTTTGAGAATCATTCTGTCTAGTTTCTATAGGAAGATATTTCCTATTCTAACATTGAACTCAAAGCGGCTGAAATCTCCACTTGCAAATTCCACAAAAAGAGAGTTTCAAGTCTGCTCTGTGTAAAGGATCGTTCAACTCTGTGAGTTGAATACACACAACACAAGGAAGTTACTGAGAATTCTTCTGTCTAGCCTTATATGAAAAAAACCCGTTTCCAACGAAGGCCTCAAGGAGGTCTGAATATCCACTTGCAGACTTTACAAACAGAGTGTTTCCTAACTGCTCTAAGAAAAGAAAGGTTATACTCTGTGAGTTGAACGCACACATCACAAAGGAGTTTCTGAGAATCATTCTGTCTAGTTTTTATACGAAGATATCTCCTTTTCAACCATTGACCTCAAAGCGGCTGAAATCTCCACTTGCAAATTCCCCAAAAAGAGTGTTTCAAGTCTGCTCTGTGTAAAGGATCGTTGAACTCTGTGAGTTGAATACACACAACACAAGGAAGTTACTGAGAATTCTTCTTTCTAGCAGAATATGAAGAAAACCCGTTTCCAACGAAAGCCTCAAGGATGTCTGAATATCCACTTGCAGACTTTACAAACAGAGTGTTTCCCAACTGCTCTATGAAAAGAAAGGTTGAACTCTGCGAGTTGAACGCACACATCACAAAGGAGTTTCTGAGAATCATTCTGTCTAGTTTCTATAGGAAGATATTTCCTATTCTACCATTGACCTCAAAGCGGCTGAAATCTCCACTTGCAAGTTCCACAAAAAGAGTGTTTCAAGTCTGCCCTGTGTAAAGGATCGTTCAACTCTGTGAGTTGAATACACACAACACAAGGCAGTTACTGAGAATTCTTATGTCTAGCATAATATGAAGAAATCCCGTTTCCAACGAAGGCCTCAAGGAGGTCTGAATATCCACTTGCAGACTTTACAAACAGAGTGTTTCCTAACTGCTCTATGATAAGAAAGGTTAAACTGTGTGAGTTGAACGCACACATCACAAAGGAGTTTCTCAGAATCATTCTGTCTAGTTTCTATAGGAAGATATTTCCTATTCTACCATTGACCTCAAAGCGCCTGAAATCTCCACTTGCAAATTCCACAAAAAGAGTGTTTCAAGTCTGCTCTCTGTAAAGGATCGTTCAACTCTGTGAGTTGAATACACACAAAACAAGGAAGTTACTGAGAATTATTCTGTCTAGCATAATATGAAGAAATCCCGTTTCCAACGAAGGCCTCAAAGGGGTCTGAATATCCACTTGCAGACATTACAAACAGAGTGTTTCCTAACTGCTCTATGAAAAGGAAAGTTAAACTCTGTGAGTTGAACGCACACATCACAAAGGAGTTTCTGAGAATCATTCTGTCTAGTTTCTATAGGAAGATATTTCCTATTCTACCATTGACCTCAAAGCGGCTGAAATCTCCACTTGCAAATTCCACACAAAGAGTGTTTCAAGTCTGCTCTGTGTAAAGGATCGTTCAACTCTGTGAGTTGAATACACACAACACAAGGAAGTTACTGAGAATTATTCTGTCTAGCCTTATATGAAAAAATCCCGTTTCCAACGAAGGCCTCAAAGAGGTCTCAATATCCACTTGCAGACTTTACAAACAGAGTGATTCCTAACTGCTCTATGAAAAGAAAGGTTAAACTCTGTGAGTTGAACACACACATCTCAAAGGAGTTTCTGAGAATCATTCTGTCTAGTTTCTATAGGAAGATATTTCCTATTCTACCATTGAACTCACAGCGGCTGAAATCTCCACTTGCAAATTCCACAAAAAGAGTGTTTCAAGTCTGCACTGTGTAAAGGATCGTTCAACTCTGTGAGTTGAATACACACAACACAAGGAAGTTACTGAGAATTCTTCTGTAGAGCAGAATATGAAGAAATCCCGTTTCCAACGAAGGCCTCAAGGAGGTCTGAATATCCACTTGCAGACTTTACAAACAGAGTGTTTCCTAACTGCTCTACGAAAAGAAAGGTTAAACTCTGTGAGTTGAACGCACACATCACAAAGGAGTTTCTGAGAATCATTCTCTCCAGTTTTTATACGAAGATATTTCCTTTTCTACCATTGACCTCAAAGCGGCTGAAATCTCCACTTGCAATTTCCACAAAAAGAGTGTTTCAAGTCTGCTCTGTGTAAAGGATCGTTCAACTCTGTGAGTTGAATACACACAACACAAGGAAGTTACTGAGAATTCTTCTGTCTAGCAGAATATGAAGAAATCCCGTTTCCAACGAAGGCCTCAAAGAGGTCTGAATATCCACTTGCAGACTTTACAGAGTGTTTCCTAACTGCTCTATGAAAAGAAAGGTTAAACTCTGTGAGTTGAAGGCACACATCACAAAGGAGTTTCTGAGAATCATTCTGTCTAGTTTCTATAGGAAGATATTTCCTATTCTACCATTGACCACATAGCGGCTGAAATCTCCACTTGCAAATTCCACAAAAAGAGTGTTTCAAGTCTGCTCTGTGTAAAGGATCGTTCAACTCTGTGAGTTGAATACACACAACACAAGGAAGTCACTGAGAATTCTTCTGTCTAGCATCATATGAAGAAATCCTGTTTCCAACGAAGGCCTCAAAGAGGTCTGAATATCCACTTGCAGACTTTATAAACAGAGTGTTTCCTAACTGCTCTATGAAAAGAAAGGTTAAACTCTGTGAGTTGAACGGCACACATCACGAAGGAGTTTCTGAGAATGATTCTGTCTAGTTTTTCTACGAAGATATTTCCTTTTCTACTATTGACCTGAAAGCGGCTGAAATCTCCACTTGCAAATTCCACAAAAAGAGTGTTTCAAGTCTGCTCTGTGTAAAGGATCGTTCAACTCTGTGAGTTGAATACACACAACACAAGGAAGTTGCTGAGAATTCTTCTGTCTAGCATAATATGAAGAAATCCCGTTTCCAACGAAGGCCTCAAAGAGGTCTGAATATCCACTTGCAGACTTTACAAACGGAATGTTTCCTAACTGCTCTATGAACAGAAAGGTTAAACTCTGTGAGTTGAACGCACACATCACAAAGGAGTTTCTGAGAATCATTCTGTCTAGTTTCTATAGGAAGATATTTCCTATTCTACCATTGACCACAAAGCGGCTGAAATCTCCACTTGCAAATTCCACAAAAAGAGTGTTTCAAGTCTGCTCTGTGTAAAGGATCATTCAACTCTGAGAGTTGAATACACAGAATACAAGGAAGTTACTGAGAATTTTTCTGTCTAGCGTAATATGAAGAAATCCCGTTTCCAACGAAGGCCTCAAAGAGGTCTGAATATCCACTTGCAGACATTACAAACAGAGTGTTTCCTAACTGCTCTATGAAAAGAAAGGTTAAACTCTGTGAGTTGAACGCACACATCACAAATGAGTTTCTGAGAATCATTCTGTCTAGTTTTTAAACGAAGATATTTCCTTTTCTACCATTGACCTCAAAGCGGCTGAAATCTCCACTTGCAAATTCCACAAAAAGAGTGTTTCAAGTCTACTCTGTGTAAAGCATCGTTCAAATCTGTGAGTTGAAAACACACAACACAAGGAAGTTTCTGAGAATTCTTCTGTCTAGCAGAATATGAAGAAATCCCGTTTCCAACGAAGGCCACAAGATGTCAGAATATCCACTTACAGAATTGACAAACAGACTGTTTCCTAACTGCTCTATGAAAAGAAAGGTTAAACTCTGTGAGTTGAACGAACACATCACAACGCAGATTGTGGGAATGATTCTGTCTAGTTTTGAAACGAAGATATTTCGTTTTCTGCCATTGACCTCAAAGCGCTTGAAATCTCCACTTGCCAATTGCACAAAAAGAGTGTTTCAAATCTGCTCTGTCTAAGGGAACGTTCAACTCTGTGAGTTGAATGTACACAACACAAGGAAGTTACTGGGAATTCTTCTGTCTAGCCTTACAGGAAAGAAACCCGTTTCCAACGAAGGCCCCTAAGTGGTCAAAATATCCACGTGCAGACTTTACAAACAGAGTGTTTCCAAACTGCTGAATGAAAAGAAAAGTTAAACTCTGAGAGTTGAACGCACACATCGCAGAGCAGTTTCTGAGAATGATTCTGTCTAGTTTTTATACGAAGATATTTCCTTTTTTGCCTTTGGCCTCAAAGCGCTTGAAATCTCCACTTGCAAATTCCACAAAAAGAGTGTTTCAAATCTGCTCTGTGTGAATGAAAGTTCAACTCTGTGAGTTGAACACACACAACACAAGGAAGTTACTGGGAATTCTTCTGTCTAGCAGAATATGAAGAAATCCCGTTTCCAACGAAAGCCTCAAAGAAGTCTGAATATCCACTTGCAGACTTTACAAACAGAGTGTTTCCTAACTGCTCTATGAAAAGAAAGGTTGAACTCTGTGAGTTGAACGCAGACATCACAAAGGAGTTTCTCAGAATCATTCTATCTAGTTTTTATAGGAAGATATTTCCTTTTCTACCTTTGACTTCAAAGCGGCTGAAATCTCCACTTGCAAATTCCACAAAAAGAGTGTTACAAGTCTGCTCTGTGTAAAGGATCGTTCAACTCTGTGAGTTGAATACACACAACACAAGGAAGTTACTGAGAATTCTTCTGTCTAGCATAGTATGAAGAAATACCGTTTCCAACGAAGGCCTCAAACAGGTCTGAATATCCACTTGCAGAGTTTACAAACAGAGTGTTTCCTAACTGCTCTATGAAAAGAAAGGTTAAACTCTGTGAGTTGAACGCACACATCACAAAGAAGTTTCTGAGAATCATTCTGTCTAGTTTCTATAAGAAGATATTTCCTATTCTACCATTGACCACAAAGCGGCTGAAATCTCCACTTGCAAATTCGACAAAAAGAGTGTTTCAAGCCTGCTCTCTGTAAAGGATCCTTCAACTCTGTGAGTTGAATACACACAACACAAGGAAGTTACTGAGAAGTATTCTCTCTAGCAGAATATGAAGAAATCCCGTTTCCAACGAAGGCCACAAGATGTCAGAATATCCACTTACAGAATTTACAAACAGACTGTTTCCTAACTGCTCTATGAAAAGAAAGGTTAAACTCTGTGAGTTGAACGAACACATCACAACGCAGTTTGTGGGAATGATTCTGTCTAGTTTTTATAGGAAGATATTTCCTTTTCTACCATTGACCTCAAAGCGGCTGAAATCACCACTTGCCAATTGCACAAAAAGAGTGTTTCAAATCTGCTCTGTCTAAGGGAACGTTCAACTCTGTGAGTTGAATGTACACAACACAAGGAAAGTTACTGGGAATTCTTCTGTCTACCCTTACATGAAAAAAACCCGTTTCCAAATAAGGCCTCTAAGTGGTCAAAATATCCACGTGCAGACTTTACAAACAGAGTATTTCCAAACTGCTGAATGAAAACAAAAGTTAAACTCTGAGAGTTCAACGCACACATCACAGAGCATTTTCTGAGAATGATTCTGTCTAGTTTTTATACGAAGATATTTCCTTTTCTGCCTTTGGCCCCAAAGCGCTTGAAATCTCCACTTGCAAATTCCACAAAAACAGTGTTTCAAATCTGCTCTCTCCAAATGAAAGTTCAACTCTGTTAGTTGAATACACACAACACAAGGAAGTTACTGAGAATTATTCTGTCTAGCAGAATATGAAGAAATCCTGTTTCCAACGAAGGCCTCAAAGGGGTCTGAATATCCACTTGCAGACTTTAAAACCAGAGTGTTTACTAACTGTTCTATGAAAAGAAAGGTTAAACTCTGTGAGTTGAACACACACATCACAAAGGAGTTTCTGAGAATCATTCTGTCTAGTTTCCATAGGAAGATATTTCCTATTCTACCATTGACCTCAAAGCGGCTGAAATCTCCACTTGCAAATTCCACAAAAAGAGTGTTTCAAGTCTGCTCTGTGTAAAGGATCGTTCAACTCTGTGAGTTGAATACACACAACACAAGGAAGTTACTGAGAATTATTCTGTCTCGCAGAATATGAAGAAATCCCGTTTCCAACGAAGGCCACAAGATGTCAGAATATCCACTTACAGACTTTACAAACAGAGTGTTTCCTAACTGCTCTATGAACAGAAAGGTTAAACTCTGTGAGTTGAACGAACACATCACAACGCAGTTTGTGGGAATGATTCTGTCTAGTTTTGAAACAAAGATATTTCCTTTTCTGCCATTGACCTTAAAGCGCTTGAAATCTACACTTGCAAATTGCACAAATAGAGTGTTTCAAATCTGCTCTGTCTAAGGGAACGTTCATCTCAGTGAGTTGAATGCACACAACACAAGGAAGTTACTGGGAATTCTTCTGTCTAGCCTTACAGGAAAAAAACCCGTTTCCAACGAAGTCCTCTAAGTGGTCAAGTTATCCACGTGCAGACTTTACAAACAGAGTGTTTCCAAACTGCTGAATGAAAAGAAAAGTTAAACTCTGAGAGTTGAACGCACACATCGCAGAGCAGTTTCTGAGAATGATTCTGTCTAGTTTTTATACGAAGATATTTCCTTTTCTACCTTTGGCCCCAAAGCGCTTGAAATCTCCACTTGCAAATTCCACAAAAACAGTGTTACAAATCTGCTCTCTCTAAATGAAAGTTCGACTCTGTCAGTTGAATACACACAACACAGGGAAGTTACTGAGAATTCTTCTGTCTAGCAGAATATGAAGAATTCCCGTTTCCAACGAAGGCCTCAAGGAGGTCTGAATATCCACTTGCAGACTTTACAAACAGAGTGTATCCTAACTGCTCTATGAAAAGAAAGGTGAAACTCTGTGAGTTGAATGCGCACATCACAAAGGAGTTTATGAGAATCATTCTGTCTAGTTTTTATACGAAGATATTTCCTTTTCTACCATTGACCTCAAAGCGGCTGAAATCTCCACTTGCAAATTCCTCAAAAAGAGTGTTTCTAATCTGCTCTGTGTAAAGGATCATTCAACTCTGTGAGTTGAATGCACACAACACAAGGAAGTTACTGAGAATTCTTCTGTCTAGCAGAATATGAAGTAATCCCGTTTCCAACGAAGGCCTCAAGGAGGTCTGAATATCCACTTGCAGACTTTACAAACAGAGTGTTTCCTAACTGCTCTATGAAAAGAAAGGTTAAACTCTGTGAGTTGAACGCACACATCACAAAGGAGTTCATGAGAATCATTCTGTCTAGTTTCTATAAGAAGATATTACCTATTCTACCATTGACCTCAAAGCGGCTGAAATCTCCACTTGCAAATTCGACAAAAAGAGTGTTTCAAGCCTGCTCTCTGTAAAGGATCCTTCAACTCTGTGAGTTGAATACACACAACACAAGGAAGTTACTGAGAATTATTCTTTCTAGCAGAATATGAAGAAATCCCGTTTCCAACGAAAGCCTCAAGGATGTCTGAATATCCACTTGCAGACTTTACAAACAGAGTGTTTCCCAACTGCTCTATGAAAAGAAAGGTTAAACTCTGTGAGATGAACGCACACATCACAAAGGAGTTTCTGAGAATCATTCTGTCTAGTTTCTATAGGAAGATATTTCCTATTCTACCATTGACCTCAAAGCGGCTGAAATCTCCACTTGCAAATTCCACAAAAAGAGTGTTTCAAGTCTGCTCTGTGTAAAGGATCGTTCAACTCTGTGTGTTGAATACACACAACACAAGGAAGTTACTGAGAATTGTTCTATCTAGCAGAATATGAAGAAATCCCGTTTCCAACGAAGGCCACAAGATGTCAGAATATCCACTTACAGACTTTACAAACAGAGTGTTTCCTAACTGCTCTATGAACAGAAAGGTTAAACTCTGTGAGTTGAACGAACACATCACAACGCAGTTTGTGGGAATGATTCTGTCTAGTTTTGAAACGAAGATATTTCCTTTTCTGCCGTTGACCTTAAAGAGCTTGGAAACTACACTTGCAAATTGCAGAAATAGAGTGTTTCAAATCTGCTCTGTCTAAGGGAACGTTCAACTCTGTGAGTTGAATGCACACAACACAAGGAAGTTACTGGGAATTCTTCTGTCTAGCCTTACATGAAAAAATCCCGTTTCCAACGAAGGCCTCTAAGTGGTCAAAATATCCACGTGCAGACTTTACAAACAGAGTGTTTCCAAACCGCTGAATGAAAAGAAAAGTTAAACTCTGAGAGTTGAACGCACACATCACGCAGCAGATTCTGAGAATGATTCTGTCTAGTTTTTATACGAAGATATTTCCTTTTCTGCCTTTGGCCCCAAAGCGCTTGAAATCTCCACTTGCAAATTCCAGAAAAACAGTGTTTCAAATCTGCTCTCTCTAAATGAAAGTTCAACTCTGTCAGTTGAATACACACAACACAAGGAAGTTACTGAGAATTCTTCTGTCTAGCATAATATGAAGAAATCCCGTTTCCAACGAAGGCCTAAAGGAGGTCTGAATATCCACTTGCAGAGTTTACAAACGGAGTGTTTCCCAACTGCTCTATGAAAAGAAAGGTTAAACTCTGTGAGTTGAACGCACACATCACAAAGGAGTTTCTCAGAATCATTCTGTCTAGTTTCTATAGGAAGATATTTCCTATTCTACCATTGACCCCAAAGCGGCTGAAATCTCCACTTGCAAATTCCACAAAAAGAATGTTTCAAGTCTGCTCTGTGTAAAGGATCGTTCAACTCTGTGAGTTGAATACACACAACACAAGGAAGTTACTGAGAATTCTTCTTTCTAGCAGAATATGAAGAAATCCCGTTTCCAACGAATGCCTCAAGGATGTCTGAATATCCACTTGCAGACTTTACAAACAGAGTGTTTCCCAACTGCTCTATGAAAAGAAAGGTTAAACTCTGTGAGTTGAACGCACACATCACAAAGGAGTTTCTGAGAATCATTCTGTCTAGTTTTTCTACGAAGCATATTTCCTTTTCTACTATTGACCTCAAAGCGGCTGAAATCTCCACTTGCAAATTCCACAGAAAGAGTGTTTCAAGTCTGCTCTGTGTAAAGGATCGTTCAACTCTGTGAGTTGAATACACACAACACAAGGAAGTTACTGAGAATTCTTCTGTCTAGCAGAATATGAAGAAATCCCGTTTCCAACGAAGGCCTGAAAGAGGTCTGAATATCCACTTGCAGACTTTACAAACAGAGTGCTTCCTAACTGCTCTATGAAAAGAAAGGATAAACTCTGTGAGTTGAACTCACACATCACAAAGGAGTTTCTGAGAATCATTCTGTCTAGTCTTTATACGAAGATATTTACTTTTCTACCATTGACTTCAAAGCGGCTGAAATCTCCACTTGCAAATTCCACAAAAAGAGTGTTTCAAGTCTGCTCTGTGTAGAGGATCATTCAACTCTGTGAGTTGAATAAACACAACACAAGGAAGTTACTGAGAATTCTTCTGTCTAGCAGAATATGAAGAAATCCCGTTTCCAACGAAGGCCTCAAGGAGGTCTGAATATCCACTTGCAGACTTTACGAACAGAGTGTTTCCTAACAGCTCTATGAACAGAAAGGTTAAACTCTGTGAGTTGAACGCACACATCACAAAGGAGTTTCTGAGAATCATTCTGTCTAGTCTTTATACGAAGATATTTACTTTTCTACCATTGACCTCAAAGCGGCTGAAATCTCCACTTGCAAATTCCACAAAAAGAATGTTTCAAGTCTGCTCTGTGTAAAGGATCATTCAACTCTGTGAGTTGAATACACACAACACAAGGGAAGTTACTGAGAATTCTTCTGTCTAGCAGAATATGAAGAAATCCCGTTTCCAACGAAGGCCACAAGATTTCAGAATATCCACTTACAGAATTTACAAACAGAGTGTTTCCTAAGTGCTCTATGAAAAGAAAGGTTAAGCTCTGTGAGTTGAACGAACACATCACAACGCAGTTTGTGGGAATGATTCTGTCTAGTTTTGAAACGAAGATATTCCCTTTTCTGCCATTGACCTTAAAGCGCTTGAAATCTACACTTGCCAATTGCACAAATAGAGTGTTTCAAATCTGCTCTGTCTAAGGGAACGTTCAACTCTGTGAGTTGAATGCACACAACACGAGGAAGTTACTGGGAATTCTTCTGTCTAGCCTTACATGAAAAAAAACCCGTTTCCAACGAAGGCCTCTAAGTGGTCAAAATATCCACGTGCAGACTTTACAAACAGAGTGTTTCCAAACCGCTGAATGAAAAGAAAAGTTAAACTCTGAGAGTTGAATGCACACATCACGCAGCAGTTTCTGAGAATGATTCTGTCTAGTTTTTATACGAAGATAATTCCTTTTCTGCCTTTGGCCTCAAAGCGCTTGAAATCTCCATTTGCAAATTCCACAAAAAGAGTGTTTCAAATCTGCTCTGTGTAAATGAAAGTTCAACTCTGTGAGTTGAACACACACAACACAAGGAAGTTACTGGGAATTCTTCTGTCTAGCATAATATGAAGAAATCCCGTTTCCAACGAAGGCCTCAAAGGGGTCTGAATATCCACTTGCAGACTTTATAAACAAAGTGTTTACTAACTGCTCTATGAAAAGAAAGGTTAAACTCTGTGAGTTGAACACACACATCACAAAGGAGTTTCTGAGAATCATTCTGTCTAGTCTTTATACGAAGATAGTTTCCTTTTCTACCATTGACCTCAAAGCAGCTGAAATCTCCACTTGCAAATTCCACAAAAAGAGTGTTTCAGGTCTGCTCTGTGTAAAGGATCATTCAACTCTGTGAGTTGAATACACACAACACAAGGAAGTTACTGAGAATTCTTCTGTCTAGCATAATATGAAGAAATCCCGTTTCCAACGAAGGCCTCAAAGTAGGTCTGAATATACACTTGCAGACTTTACAAACAGAGTGTTTCCTAACTGCTCTATGAGAAGAAAAGTTAAACTTTGTGAGTTGAACGCACACATCACAAAAGATTTTCTGAGAATCATTCTGTCTAGTTGTTATACGAAGATATTTCCTTTTCTACCATTGACCTCAAAGCGGCTGAAATCTCCACTTGCAAATTCCACCAAATGAGTGTTTCAAATCTGCTCTGTGTAAACCATCGTTCAACTCTGTGAGTTGAATACACACAACACAGGGAAGATTCTGAGAATTCTTCTGTCTAGCAGAATATGAAGAAATCCCGTTTCCAACGAAGGCCACAAGATGTCAGAATATCCACTTACAGAATTTTCAAACAGACTGTTTCCTAACTGCTCTATGAAAAGAAAGGTTTAACTCTGTGAGTTGAACGAACACATCACAACGCAGTTTGTGGGAATAATTCTGTCTAGTTTTGAAACGAAGATATTTCCTTTTCTGCCATTGACCTTAAAGCGCTTGAAATCTACACTTGCAAATTGCACAAATAGAGTGTTTCAAATCTGCTCTGTCTAAGGGAACGTTCATCTCTGTGAGTTGAATGCACACAACAAAAGGAAGTTACTGGGAATTCTTCTGTCTAGCCTTACATGAAAAAAAACACGTTTCCAACGAAGGCTTCTAAGTGGTCAAAATATCCACGAGGAGACTTTACAAACAGAGTGTTTCCAAACTGCTGAATGAAAAGAAAAGTTAAACTCTGAGAGTTGAACGCACACATCACAGAGCGGTTTCTGAGAATGATTCTGTCTAATTTTTATACTGAAGATATTTCCTTTTCTGCCTTTGGCCTCAAAGCGCTTGAAATCTCCACTTGCAAATTCCACAAAAAGAGTGTTTCCAATCTGCTCTGTGTAAATGAAAGTTCAACTCTGTGAGTTGAACACACACAACACAAGGAAGTTACTGGGAATTCTTCTGTCTAGCAGAATATGAAGAAATCCCGCTTCCAACGAAGGCCTCAAAGAAGTCTGAATATCCACTTGCAGACTTTACAAACAGAGTGTTTCCCAACTGCTCTATGAAAAGAAAGGTTGAACTCTGTGAGTTGAACGCACACATCACAAAGGAGTTTGCTGAGAATCATTCTGTCTAGTTTTTGTACGAAGATATTTCCTTTTCTACCCTTGACCTCAAAGCGGCTGAAATCTCCACTTGCCAATTCCACAAAAAGAGTGTTTCAAGTCTACTCTGTGTAAAGGATCGTTGAACTCTGTGAGTTGAAAACACACAACACCAGGAAGTTTCTGAGAATTCTTCTGTCTAGCAGAATATGAAGAAAACCCGTTTCCAACGAAAGCCTCAAAGATGTCTGAATATCCACTTGCAGACTTTACAAACAGAGTGTTTCCTAACTGCTCTATGAAAAGAAAGGTTAAACTCTGTGAGTTGAACGCACACAGCTCAAAGGAGTTTCTGAGAATCATTCTGTCTAGTTTCTTTAGGAAGATATTTCCTATTCTACCGTTGACCTCAAAGCGGCTGAAATCTCCACTTGCAAATTCCACAAAAAGAGTGTTTCAAGTCTGCTCTGTGTAAAGGATCGTTCAACTCTGTGAGTTGAATACACACAACACAAGGAAGTTACTGAGAATTCTTCTGTCTAGCCTTACAGGAAAAAACCCGTTTCCAACGAAGGCCTCTAAGTGGTCAAAATATCCACGTGCAGACTTTACAAACAGAGTGTTTCCAAACTGCTGAATGAAAAGAAAAGTTAAACTCTGAGAGTTGAACGCACACATCGCAGAGCAGTTTCTGAGAATGATTCTGTCTAGTTTTTATACGAAGATATTTCCTTTTCGGCCTTTGGCCTCAAAGCGCTTGAAATCTCCACTTGCAAATTCCACAAAAAGAGTGTTTCAAATCTGCTCTGTCTAAATGAAAGTTCAACTCTGTCAGTTGAATACACACAACACAAGGAAGTTACTGAGAATTCTTCTGTCTAGCAGAATATGAAGAAATCCCGTTTCCAACGAAGGCCTCAAAGAGGTCTGAATATCCACTTGCAGACTTTACAAACAGAGTGTTTCCCAACTGCTCTATGAAAAGGAAGGTTAAATTCTGTGAGTTGAACGCACACATCACAAAGGAGTTTCTGAGAATCATTCTGTCTAGTTTTTATACGAAGATATTTCCTTTTCTACCATTGACCTCAAAGCGGCTGAAATCCCCAATTGCAAATTCCACAAAAAGAGTGTTTCAAGTCTGCTCTGTGTAAAGGATCATTGAACTCTGTGAGTTGAATACACACAACACAAGGAAGTTACTGAGAATTCTTCTGTCTAGCATAATATGAAGAAAACCCGTTTTCAACGAAGGCCTCAAGGAGGTCTGAATATCCACTTGCAGACTTTACAAACAGAGTGTTTCCTAACTGCTCTATGAAAAGAAAGGTTAAACTCTGTGAGTTGAACGCATACATCACAAAGGAGTTTCTGAGAATCATTCTGTCTAGTTTTTATACGAAGATATTTCCTTTTCTGCCTTTGGCCTCAAAGCGCTTGAAATCTCCATTTGCAAATTCCACAAAAAGAGTGTTTCAAATCTGCTCTGTGTAAATGAAAGTTCAACTCACAGAGTTGAACACACACATCACAAGGAAGTTACTGGGAATTCTTCTGTCTAGCATAATATTAAGAAATCCCGTTTCCAACGAAGGCCTCAAAGGGGTCTGAATATCCACTTGCAGACTATATAAACAGAGTGTTTCCTAACTGCTCTATGAAAAGAAAAGTTCAACTCTGTGATTTGAACGCACACATCACGAAGGAGTTTAGGAGAATCATTCTGTCTAGTCTTTATACGAAGATATTTCCTTTTCTACCATTGACCTCATAGCGGCTGAAATCTCCACTTGCAAATTCCACAAAAAGAGTGTTTCAAGTCTGCTCTCTGTAAAGGATCGTTCAACTCTGTGAGTTGAATACACACAACACAAGGAAGTTACTGAGAATTATTCTGTCTAGCCTTACAGGAAAAAAACCCGTTTCCAACGAAGGCCTCTAAATGTTCAAAATATCCACGTGCAGACTTTACAAACAGAGTGTTTCCAAACTGCTGAATGAAAAGAAAAGTTAAACTCTGAGAGTTGAACGCACACATCGCAGAGCAGTTTCTGAGAATGATTCTGTCTAGTTTTTATACGAAGATATTTCCTTTTCTGCCTTTGGCCCCAAAGCACTTGAAATCTCCACTTGCAAATTCCACAAAAACAGTGTTTCAAATCTGCTCTCTCTAAATGAAAGTTCAACTCTGTCAGTTGAATACACACAACACAAGGAAGTTACTGAGAATTCTTCTGTCTAGCCTTATATGAAAAAACCCGTTTCCAACGAAGGCCTCAAAGAGGTCTGAATATCCACTTGCAGACATTACAAACAGAGTGTTTCCTAACTGCTCTATGAAAAGAAAGGTTAAACTCTGTGAGTTGAACACACACATCACAAAGGAGTTTCTGAGAATCATTGTGTCTAGTTTCTATAGGAAGATATTTCCTATTCTACCATTGACCTCAAAGCGGCTGAAATCTCCACTTGCAAATTCCACAAAAAGAGTGTTTCAAGTCTGCTCTGTGTAAAGGATCGTTCAACTCTGTGAGTTGAATACACACAACACAAGGAATTTACTGAGAATTCTTCTGTCTAGCAGAATATGAAGAAATCCCGTTTCCAGCGAAGGCCTCAAGGAGGTCTGAATATCCACTTGCAGACTTTACAAACAGGGTGTTTCCTAACTGCTCTATGAACAGAAAAGTTAAACTCTGTGAGATGAACGAACACATCACAACGCAGTTTGTGGGAATGATTCTGTCTAGTTTTGAAACGAAGATATTTCCTTTTCTGCCGTTGACCTTAAAGAGCTTGAAAACTACACTTGCAAATTGCACAAATAGAGTGTTTCAAATCTGCTCTGTCTAAGGGAACGTTCAACTCTGTGAGTTGAATGCACACAACACAAGGAAGTTACTGGGAATTCTTTCTGTCTAGCCTTACATGAAAAAAACCCGTTTCCAACGAAGGCCTCTAAGTGGTCAAAATATCCACGTGCAGACTTTACAAACAGAGTGTTTCCAAACCGCTGAATGAAAAGAAAAGTTAAACTCTGAGAGTTGAACGCACACATCATGCAGCAGTGTCTGAGAATGATTCTGTCTAGTTTTTATACGAAAGTATTTCCTTTTCTGCCTTTGGCCTCAAAGCGCTTGAAATCTCGACTTGCAAATTCCACAAAAAGAGTGTTTCAAATCTGCTCTGTCTGAAGGAAGGTTGAACTCTGTGAGTTGCATACACACGACACAAAGAAGTTACTGAGAAATATTCTGTCTAGCATAGTATGAAGAAATCCCGATTCCAACGAAGGCCTCAAAGAGGTCTGTATATCCACTTGCAGAGTTTACAAACAGAGTGTTTCCTAACTGCTCTATGAAAAGAAAGGTTAAACTCTGTGAGTTGAACGCACACATCACAAAGAAGTTTCTGAGAATCATTCTGTCTAGTTTTTATAGGAAGATATTTCCTTTTCTACATTTGACTTCAAAGCGGCTGAAATCTCCACTTGCAAATTCCACAAAAAGAGTGTTACAAGTCTGCTCTGTGTAAAGGATCGTTCAACTGTGTGAGTTGAATACACACAACACAAGGAAGTTACTGAGAATTCTTCTGTCTAGGCTTACAGGAAAAAAACCCGTTTCCAACGAAGGCCTCTAAGTGGTCAAAATATCCACGTGCAGACTTTACAAACAGAGTGTTTCCAAACTGCTGAATGAAAAGAAAAGTTAAACTCTGAGAGTTGAACGCACACATCGCAGAGCAGTTTCTGAGAATGATTCTGTCTAGTTTTTATACGAAGATATTTCCTTTTCTGCCTTTGGCCTCAAAGCGCTTGAAATCTCCACTTGCAAATTCCAGAAAAAGAGTGTTTCAAATCTGCTCTGTGTAAATGAAAGTTCAACTCTGTGAGTTGAACAGACACAACACAAGGAAGTTACTGGGAATTCTTCGGTCTAGCATAATATGAAGAAATCCCGTTTCCAACGAAGGCCTCAAAGAGGTCTGAATATCCACTTGCAGACTTTACAAACAGAGTGTTTCCTAACTGCTCTATGAACAGAAAGGTTAAACTCTGTGAGTTGAACGCACACATCACAAAGGAGTTTCTGAGAATCATTCTGTCTAGTTTTTATAGGAGGATATTTCCTTTTCTACCTTTGACTTCAAAGCGGCTGAAATCTCCACTTGAAAATTCCACAAAAAGAGTGTTACAAGCCTGCTCTGTGTAAAGGATCGTTCAACTCTGTGAGTGGAATACACACAACACAAGGAAGTTACTGAGAATTCTTCTGTCTAGCATAATATGTAGAAATCCCGTTTCCAACGAATGCCTCAAGGAGGTCTGAATATCCACTTGCAGACTTTACAAACAGAGTGTTTCCTAACTGCTCTATGAAAACAAAGGTTAAACTGTGTGAGTTGAACGCACACATCACAAAGGAGTTTCTGAGAATCATTCTGTCTAGTTTCTATAGGAAGATATTTCCTATTCTACCATTGACCTCAAAGCGGCTGAAATCTCCACTTGCAAATTCCACAACAAGAGTGTTTCAAGTCTACTCTGTGTAAAGCATCGTTGAACTCTGTGAGTTGAATACACACAACACAATGAAGTTACTGAGAATTCTTCTGTCTAGCAGAATATGAAGAAATCCCGTTTCCAACGAAGGTCACAAGATGTCAGAATATCCACTTACAGAATTTACAAACAGACTGGTTCCTAACTGCTCTATGAAAAGAAAGTTTAAACTCTGTGAGTTGAACGAACACATCACAACGCAGTTTGTGGGAATGATTCTGTCTAGTTTTGAAACGAAGATATTTCCTTTCCTGCCATTGACCTTAAAGCGCTTGAAATCTCCATTTGCCAATTGCACAAAAAGAGTGTTTCAAATCTGCTCTGTCTAAGGGAACGTTCAACTCTGTGAGTTGAATGTACACAACACAAGGAAGTTACTGGGAATTCTTCTGTCTAGCCTTACATGAAAAAAACCCGTTTCCAACGAAGGCCTCTAAGTGGTCAAATTATCCACGTGCAGACCTTACAAACAGAGTGTTTCCAAATTGCTGAATGAAAAGAAAAGTTAAACTCTGAGAGTTGAACGCACACATCACAGAGCAGTTTCTGAGAATGATTCTGTCTAGTTTTTATACGAAGATATTTCCTTTTCTGCCTTTGGCCTCAAAGCGCTTGAAATCTCCACTTGCAAATTCCACAAAAAGAGTGTTTCAAATCTGCTCTGTGTAAATGAAAGTTCAACTCTGTAAGTTGAACACACACAACACAAGGAAAGTTACTGGGAATTCTTCTGTATAGCAGAATATGAAGAAATCCCGTTTCCAACGAAAGCCTCAAAGATGTCTGAATATCCACTTGCAGACTTTACAAACAGAGTGTTTCCTAACTGCTCTATGAAAAGAAAAGTTAAACTCTGTGAGTTGAACGCACACATCACAAAGGAGTTTCTGAGAATCATTCTGTCTAGTTTCTAAAGGAAGATATTTCCTATTCTACCATTGACCTCAAAGCGGCTGAAATCTCCACTTGCAAATTCTACAAAAAGAGTGTTTCAAGTCTGCTCTGTGTAAAGGATCGTTCAACTCTGTGAGTTGAATACACACAACACAAGGAAGTTACTGAGAATTCTTCTGTCTAGCGTTACATGGAAAAAACCCGTTTCCAACGATGGCCTCTCAGTGGTCAAATTATCCAGCAGCAGACTTTTCAAACAGAGTGTTTCCAAACTGCTGAATGAAAAGGAAAGTTAAACTCTGAGAGTTGAACGCACACATCACAGAGCAGTTTCTGAGAATGATTCTGTCTAGTTTTTATACGAAGATATTTCCTTTTCTGCCTTTGGCCTCAAACCGCTTGAAATCTCCATTTGCAAATTCCACAAAAAGAGTGTTTCAAATCTGCTCTGTGTAAATGAAATTTCAACTCTGTGAGTTGAACACACACAACACATGGAAGTTACTGGGAATTCTTCTGTCTAGCATAATATGAAGAAATCCCGTTTCCAACGAAGGCCTCAAGGAGGTCTGAATATCCACTTGCAGACTTTACAAACAGAGTGTTTCCTAACAGCTCTATGAAAAGAAAGGTTAAACTGTGTGAGTTGAACGCACACATCACAAAGGAGTTTCTGAGAATCATTCTGTCTAGTTTCTATAGGGAGATACTTCCTATTCTACCATTGACCTCAAAGCGGCTGAAATCTCCACTTGCAAATTCCACAAAAAGAGTGTTTCAAGTATGCTCTGTGTAAAGGATCGTTCAACTCTGTGAGTTGAATACACACAACACAAGGAAGTTACTGAGAATTCTTCTGTCTAGCAGAATATGAAGAAACCCCGTTTCCAACGAAAGCCTCAAAGATGTCTGAATATCCACTTGCAGACTTTACAAACAGAGTGTTTCCTAACTGCTCTGAGAAAAGAAAGGTTAAACTCTGTGAGTTGAACGCACACATCACAAAGGAGTTTCTGAGAATCATTCTGTCTAGTTTCTATAGGAAGATATTTCCTATTCTACCATTGACTTCAAAGCGGCTGAAATCTCCACTTGCAAATTCCACAAAAAGAGTGTTTGAAGTCTGCTCTGTGTAAAGGATCGTTCAACTCTGTGAGTTGAATACACACAACACAAGGAAGTTACTGAGAATTCTTCTGTCTACCTGAACATGAAGAAATCCCGCTTCCAACGAAGGCCTCAAGGAGGTCTGAATATCCACTTGCAGACTTTACAAACAGAGTGTTTCCTAACTGCTCTATGAAAAGAAAGGTTAAACTCTGTGAGTTGAACGCACACATCACAAAGGAGTTTCTGAGAATCATTCTGTCTAGTTTCTATAGGAAGATATTTCCTATTCTACCATTGACTTCAAAGCGGCTGAAATCTCCACTTGCAAATTCCACAAAAACAGTGTTTCAAGTCTGCTCTGTGTAAAGGATCGTTCAACTCTGTGAGTTGAATACACACAACACAAGGAAGTTACTGAGAATTCTTCTTTCTAGCAGAATATGAAGAAATCCCGTTTCCAACGAAAGCCTCAAGGATGTCTGAATATCCACTTGCAGACTTTACAAACAGAGTGTTTCCTAACTGCTCTATGAAAAGAAAGGTTAAACTCTGTGAGTTGAACGCACACATCACAATGAAGTTTCTGAGAATCATTCTGTCTAGTTTTTATACGAAGATATTTCCTTTTCTACCATGGACCTCAAAGCGGCTGAAATCTCCACTTGCAAATTCCACAAAAAGAGTGTTTCAAGTCTGCTCTGTGTAAAGGATCGTTCAACTCTGTGCGTTGAATACACACAACACAAGGAAGATTCTGAGAGTTCTTCTGTCTAGCAGAATATGAAGAAATCCCGTTTCCAACGAAGGCCTCAAGGAGGTCTGAATATCCACTTGCAGACTTTACAAACAGAGTGTTTCCTAACTGCTCTATGAACAGTAAGGTTAAACTCTGTGAGTTGAACGCACACATCACAAAGGAGTTTCTGAGAATCATTCTGTCTAGTTTCTATAGGAAGATATGTCCTATTCTACCATTGACCTCAAAGCGGCTGAAATCTCCACTTGCAAATTCCACAAAAAGAGTGTTTCAAGTCTGCTCTGTGTAAAGGATCGTTCAACTCTGTGAGTTGAATACACACAACACAAGGAAGTTACTGAGAATTCTTCTGTCTAGCAGAATATGAAGAAATCCCGTTTCCAACGAAGGCCTCAAGGAGGTCTGAATATCCACTTGCAGACTTTACAAACAGAGTGTTTCCTAACTGCTCTATGAAAAGAAAGGTTAAAGTCTTTGAGTTGAATGCACACATCACAAAGGAGTTTATGAGAAACATTCTGTCTAGTATCTATAGGAAGATATTTCCTATTCTACCATTGACCTCAAAGCGGCTGAAATCTCCACTTGCAAATTCCAGAAAAAGAGTGTTTCAAGTCTGCTCTGTGTAAAGGATCGTTCAACTCTGTGAGTTGAATACACACAACACAAGGAAGTTTCTGAGAATTCTTCTGTCTAGCATAATATGAAGAAATCCCGTTTCCTACGTAGGCCTCAAAGAGGTCTGAATATCCACTTGCAGACTTTACAAACAGAGTGTTCCCTAACTGCTCTATGAAAAGAAAGGTTAAACTCTGTGAGTTGAACGCACACATCACAAAGGAGTTTCTGAGAATCATTCTGTCTAGTTTTTATAGGAAGATATTTCCTTTTCTACCTTTGACGTCAAAGCGGCTGAAATCTCCACTTGCAAATTCCACAAAAAGAGTGTTACAAGTCTGCTCTGTGTAAAGGATCGTTCAACTCTGTGAGTTGAATACACACAACACAAGGAAGTTGCTGAGAATTCTTCTGTCTAGCATAATATGAAGAAATCCCTTTTCCAAAGAAGGCCTCAAAGAGGTCTGAATATCCACTTGCAGACTTTACAAACAGAGTGTTTCCTAACGGCTCTATGAAAAGAAAAGTTAAACTCTGTGAGTTGAACGCACACATCACAAAGGAGTTTCTGAGAATCATTCTGTCTAGTTTCTATAGGAAGATATTTCCTATTCTACCATTGACCTCAAAGCGGCTGAAAACTCCACTTGCAAATTCCACAAAAAGAGTGTTTCAAGTCTGCTCTGTGTAAAGGATCGTTCAACTCTGTGAGTTGAATACACACAACACAAGGAAGTTACTGAGAATTCTTCTGTCTAGCAGACTATGAAGAAATCCCGTTTCCAACGAAGGCCACAAGATGTCAGAATATCCACTTACAGACTTTACAAACAGAGTGTTTCCTAACTGCTCTATGAACAGAAAGGTTAAACTCTGTGAGTTGAACGAACACATCACAACGCAGTTTGTGGGAATGATTCTGTCTAGTTTTGAGACGAAGATATTTCCTTTTCTGCCGTTGACCTTAAAGCGCTTGAAATCTACACTTGCAAATTGCACAAATAGAGTGTTTCAAATCTGCTCTGCCTAAGGGAACGTTCAACTCTGTGAGTTGAATGCACACAACACAAGGAAGTTACTGGGAATTCTTCTGTCTAGCCTTACATGAAAAAAACCCGTTTCCAACGAAGACCCCTAAGTGGTCAAAATATCCACGTGCAGACTTTACAAACTGAGTGTTTCCAAACTGGTGAATGAAAAGAAAAGTTAAACTCTGAGAGTTGAACGCACACATCACAGAGCAGTTACTGAGAATGATTCTGTCTAGTTTTTATACGAAGATATTTCCTTTTCTGCCTTTGGCCCCAAAGCGCTTGAAATCTCCACTTGCAAATTCCACAAAAACAGTGTTTCAAATCTCCTCTCTCTAAATGAAAGTTCAACTCTGTCAGTTGAATACACACAACACAAGGAAGTTACTGAGAATTCTTCTGTCTAGCATAATATGTAGAAATCCCGTTTCCAACGAAGGCCTCAAGGAGGTCTGAATATCCACTTGCAGACTTTACAAACAGAGTGTTTCCTAACTGCTCTATGAAAAGAAAGGTTAAACTCTGTGAGTTGAACGCAGACATCACGAAGGAGTTTCTGAGAATCACTCTGTCTAGTTTTTATAGGAAGATATTTCCTTTTCTACTTTTGACTTCAAAGCGGCTGAAATCTCCACTTGCAAATTCCACAAAAAGAGTGTTACAAGTCTGCTCTGTGTAAAGGATCGTTCAACTCTGTGAGTTGAATACACACAACACAAGGAAGTTACTGAGAATTCTTCTGTCTAGCAGAATATGAAGAAATCCCGTTTCCAACGAAGGCCTCAAAGAGGTCTGAATATCCACTTGCAGACTTTACAAACAGAGTGTTTCCTAACTGCTCTATGAAAAGAAAGGTTAAACTCTGTGAGTTGAACGCACACATCACAAAGGAGTTTCTGAGAATCAATCTGTCTAGTTTTTATACGAAGATATTTCCTTTTCTACCATGGACCTCAAAGCGGCTGAAATCTCCACTTGCAAATTCCACAAAAAGAGTGTTTCAAGTCTGCTCTGTGTAAAGGATCGTTCAACTCTGTGAGTTGAATAGACACAACACAAGGAAGATTCTGAGAATTCTTCTGTCTAGCAGAATATGAAGAAATCCCGTTTCCAACGAAGGCCACAAGATGTCAGAATATCCACTTACAGACTTTACAAACAGAGTGTTTCCTAGCTGCTCTATGAACAGAAAGGTTAAACTCTGTGAGTTGAACGAACACATCACAACGCAGTTTGTGGGAATGATTCTGTCTAGTTTTGAAACGAAGATATTTCCTTTTCTGCCATTGACCTTAAAGCGCTTGAAATCTACATTTGCAAATTGCACAAATAGAGTGTTTCAAATCTGCTCTGTCTAAGGGAACGTTCAACTCTGTGAGTTGAATGCACACAACACAAGGGAAGTTACTGGGAATTCTTCTGTCTAGCAGAATATGAAGAAATCCCGTTTCCAACGAAGGCCTGAAAGGGGTCTGAATATCCACTTGCAGACTTTATAAACAGAGTGTTTACTAACTGCTCTATGAAAAGAAAGGTTAAACTCTGTGAGTTGAACACACACATCACAAAGGAGTTTCTGAGAATCATTCTGTCTAGTTTCTATAGGAAGATATTTCCTATTCTACCATTGACCCAAAGCGGCTGAAATCTCCACTTGCAAATTCCACAAAAAGAGTGTTTCAAGTCTGCTCTCTGTAAAGGATCGTTCAACTCTGTGGGTTGAATACACACAACACAAGGAAGTTACTGAGAATTATTCTGTCTAGCAGAATATGAAGAAATCCCGTTTCCAACGAAGGCCTCAAAGAGGTCTGTATATCCACTTGAAGACTTTACAAACAGAGTGTTTCCTAACTGCTCTATGAAAACAAAAGTTAAACTCTGTGAGTTGAACGCACACATCACAAAGGAGTTTCTGAGAATCATTCTGTCTAGTTTCTATAGGAAGATATTTCCTATTCTACCATTGTCTTCAAAGCGGCTGAAATCTCCACTTGCAAATTCCACAAAAGGAGTGTTTCAAGTCTACTCTGTGTAAAGGATCGTTCAACTCTGTGAGTTGAATACACACAACACAAGGAAGTTACTGAGAATTCTTCTGTCTTGCAGAATATGAAGAAATCCCGTTTCCAACGAAGGCCTCAAAGAGGTCTGAATATCCACTTGTAGACTGTACAAACAGAGTGTTTCCCAACTGCTCTATGAAAAGAAAAGTTGAACTCTGTGAGTTGAACGAACACATCACAAAGGAGTTTCTGAGAATCATTCTGTCTAGTTTCTATAGGAAGATATTTCCTATTCTACCATTGACCTCAAAGCGGCTGAAATCTCCACTTTCAAATTCCACAAAAAGAGTGTTTCAAGTCTGCTCTGTGCAAAGGATCGTTCAACTCTGTGAGTTGAATACACACAACACAAGGAAGTTACTGAGAATTCTTCTGTCTAGCATAATATGAAGAAATCCCGTTTCCAACGAAGGCCTCAAGGAGGTCTGAATATCCACTTGCAGACTTTACAAACGGAGTGTTTCCTAACTGCTCTATGAAAAGAAAGGTTAAACTCTGTGAGTTGAACGCACACATCACAAAGGAGTTTCTGAGAATCATTCTGTCTAGTTTTTTTATGAAGATATTTCCTTTTCTACCATTGACCTCAAAGCGGCTGAAATCTCCACTTGCAAATTCCACAAAAAGAGTGTTTCTAATCTGCTCTGTGTAAAGGAACGTTCAACTCTGTGAGTTGAAAGTACACAACACAAGGAAGTTACTGAGAATTCTTCTGTCTAGCAGAATATGAAGAAATCCCGTTTCCAACGAAGGCCTCAAAGAGGTCAGAATATCCACTTGCAGACTTTACAAACAGAGTGTTTCCTAACTGCTCTATGAAAAGAAAGGTTAAACTCTGTGAGTTGAACGCACACATCACAAAGGAGTTTCTGAGAATCATTCTGTCTAGTTTTGAAACGAAGATATTTCCTTTTCTGCCATTGACCTTAAAGCGCTTGAAATCTCCACTTGCCAATTGCACAAAAAGAGTGTTTCAAATCTGCTCTGTCTAAGGGAACGTTCAACTCTGTGTGTTGAATGTACACAACACAAGGAAGTTACTGGGAATTCTTCTGTCTAGCCTTACATGAAAAAAACCCGTTTCCAACGAAGGCCTCTAAGTGGTCAAAATATCCACGTGCAGACTTTACAAACAGAGTGTTTCCAAACCGCTGAATGAAAAGAAAAGTTAAACTCTGAGAGTTGAACGCACACATCACGCAGCAGTTTCTTAGAATGATTCTGTCTAGTTTTTATACGAAGATATTTCCTTTTCTGCCTTTGGCCCCAAAGCGCTTGAAATCTCCAATTGCAAATTCCACAAAAACAGTGTTTCAAATCTGCTCTCTCTAAATGAAAGTTCAACTCTGTCCTTTGAATACACACAACACAAGGAAGTTACTGAGAATTCTTCTTTCTAGCAGAATATGAAGAAATCCCATTTCCAACGAAAGCCTCAAGGATGTCGGAATATCCACTTGCAGACTTTACAAACAGAGTGTTTCCCAACTGCTCTATGAAAAGAAAGGTTAAACTCTGTGAGTTGAACGCACACATCACAAAGGAGTTTCTGAGAATCATTCTGTCTTGTTTCCATACGAAGATATTTCCTTTTCTACCATTGACCTCAAAGCGGCTGAAATCTCCACTTGCAAATTCCACAAAAAGAGTGTTTCAAGTCTGCTCTGTGTAAAGGATCGTTCAATTCTGTGAGTTGAATACACACAACACAAGGAAGTTACTGAGAATTCTTCAGTCTAGCAGAATATGAAGAAATCCCTTTTCCAACGAAGGCCACAAGATGTCAGAATATCCACTTACAGAGTTTACAAACAGAGTGTTTCCTCACTGCTCTATGAACAGAAAGGTTAAACTCTGTGAGTTGAACGAACACATCACAACGCAGTTTGTGGGAATGATTCTGTCTAGTTTTGAAACGAAGATATTTCCTTTTTTGCCATTGACCTTAAAGCGCTTGAAATCTACACTTGCAAATTGCACAAATAGAGCGTTTCAAATCTGCTCTGTCTAAGGGAACGTTCATCTCTGTGAGTTGAATGCACACAACACAAGGAAGTTACTGGGAATGCTACCGTCTAGCCTTACGTGAAAAAAAACCCGTTTCCAACGAAGGCCTCTAAGTGGTCAAAATATCCACGTGCAGACTTTACAAACAGAGTGTTTCCAAACTGCTGAATGAAAAGAAAAGTTAAACTCTGAGAGTTGAACGCACACATCACAGAGCTGTTTCTGAGAATGATTCTGTCTAGTTTTTATAGGAAGATATTTCCTTTTCTGCCTTTGGCCTCAAAGCGCTTGAAATCTCCATTTGCAAATTCCACAAAAAGAGAGTTTCAAATCTGCTCTGTGTAAATGAGAGTTCATCTCTGTGACTTGAACACACACAACAAAAGGAAGTTACTGGGAATTCTTCTGTATAGCAGAATATGAAGAAATCCCGTTTCCAACGAAAGCCTCAAAGATGTCTGAATATCCACTTGCAGACGTTACAAACAGAGTGTTTCCTAACTGCTCTATGAAAAGAAAGGTTAAACTCTGTGAATTGAACGCACACATCACAAAGGAGTTTCTGACAATCATTCTGTCTAGTCTTTATACGAAGATAGTTTCCTTTTCTACCATTGACCTCAAAGCGGCTGAAATCTCCACTTGCAAATTCAACAAAAAGAGTGTTTCAAGTCTGCTCTCTGTAAAGGATCGTTCAACTCTGTGAGTTGAATACACACAACACAAGGAAGTTACTTGAGAATTATTGTGTCTAGCATAATATGAAGAAATCCCGTTTCCAACGAAGGCCTCAAGGAGGTCTGAATATCCACTTGCAGACTTTACAAACAGAGTGTTTCCTAACTGCTCTATGAAAAGAAAGGTTAAACTCTGTGAGTTGAACGCACACATCACAAAGGAGTTTCTCAGAATCATTGTGTCTAGTTTCTATAGGAAGATATTTCCTATTCTACCGTTGACCTCAAAGCGGCTGAAATCTCCAGTTGCAAATTCCACAAAAAGAATGTTTCAAGTCTGCTCTGTGTAAAGGATCGTTCAACTCTGTGAGTTGAATACACACAACACAAGGAAGTTACTGAGAATTCTTCTGTCTAGCAGAATATGAAGAAACCCCGTTTCCAACGAAGGCCTCAAAGAGTTCTGAATATCCACTTGCAGACTTTACAAACAGAGTGTTTCCTAACTGCTCTAAGAAAAGAAAACTTCAACTCTGTGAGTTGAACGCACACATCACAAAGGAGTTTCTGAGAATCATTCTGTCTAGTTTTTATACGAAGATATTTCCTTTTCTGCCTTTGGCCTCAAAGCGCTTGAAATCTCCACTTGCAAATTCCACAAAAAGAGTGTTTCAAGTCTGCTCTGTGTAAAGGATCGTTCTACTCTGTGAGTTGAATACACACAACACAAGGAAAGTTACTGAGAATTCTTCTGTCTAGCATAATATGAAGAAATCCCGTTTCCAACGAAGGCCTCAAAGAGGTCTGAATATCCACTTGCAGACTTTACAAACAGAGTGTTTCCTAACTGCTCTATGAGAAGAAAAGTTAAACTCTGTGAGTTGAACGCACACATCACAAAAGATTTTCTGAGAATCAATCTGTCTAGTTTTTATACGAAGATATTTCCTTTTCTACCATTGACCTCAAAGTGGCTGAAATCTCCACTTGCAAATTCCACAAAAAGAGTGTTTCTAATCTGCTCTGTGTAAAGGATCGTTGAACTCTGTGAGTTGAAAGCACACAACACAAGGAAGTTACTGAGAATTCTTCTGTCTAGCCTTATATGAAAAAAACCCGTTTCCAACGAAGGCCTCAAAGAGGTCTGAATATCCACTTGCAGACTATACAAACAGAGTGTTTCCTAACTGCTCTATGAAAAGAAAGGTTAAACTCTGTGAGTTGAACGCACACATCACAAAGGAGTTTCTGAGAATCATTCTGTCTAGTTTCTATAGGAAGATATTTCCTATTCTACCATTGAACTCAAAGCGGCTGAAATCTCCACTTGCAAATTCCACAAAAAGAGTATTTAAAGTCTGCTCTGTGTAAAGGATCGTTCAACTCTGTGAGTTGAATACACACAACACAAGGAAGTTACTGAGAATTCTTCTGTCTAGCAGAATATGAAGAAATCCCGTTTCCAACGAAGGCCTCAACGAGGTCTGAATATCCACTTGCAGACTTTACAAACAGAGTGTTTCCTAACTGCTCTATGAAAAGAAAGGTTAAACTCTGTGAGTTGAACGCACACATCACAAAGGAGTTTATGAGAATCATTCTGTCTAGTTTTTCTACGAATATATTTCCTTTTCTACTATTGACCTCAAAGCGGCTGAAATCTCCACTTACAAATTCCACAAAAAGAGTGTTTCAAGTCTGCTCTGTGTAAAGGATCGTTCAACTCTGTGAGTTGAATACACACAACACAAGGAAGTTACTGAGAATTGTTCTGTCTAGCAGAACATGAAGAAATCCCGCTTCCAACGAAGGCCTCAAAGAAATCTGAATATCCACTTGCAGACTTTACAAACAGAGTGTTTCCCAACTGCTCTATGAAAAGAAAGGTTGAACTCTGTGAGTTGAACGCACACATCACAAAGGAGTTTCTGAGAATCATTCTGTCTAGTTTCTATAAGAAGATATTTCCTATTCTACCATTGAACTCAAAGCGGCTGAAATCTCCACTTGCAAATTCCACAAAAAGAGTGTTTCAAGTCTGCTCTGTGTAAAGGATCGTTCAACACTGTGAGTTGAATACACACAACACAAGGAAGTTACTGAGAATTCTTCTTTCTAGCAGAATATGAAGAAATCCCGTTTCCAACGAAAGCCTCAAGGATGTCTGAATATCCACTTGCAGACTTTAGAAACAGAGTGTTTCCTAACTGCTCTATGAAAAGAAAGGTTAAACTCTGTGAGTTGAACGCACACATCACAAAGGAGTTTCTGAGAATCATTCTGTCTAGTCTTTATACGAAGATATTTCCTTTTGTACCATTGACCTCAATGCGGCTGAAATCTCCACTTGCAAATTCCACAAATAGAGTGTTTCAAGTCTGCTCTCTGTAAAGGATCGTTCAACTCTGTGAGTTGAATACACAGAACACAAGGAAGTTACTGAGAATTATTCTGTCTAGCATAATATGAAAAAATCCCGTTTCCAACGAAGGCCTCAAAGAGGTCTGAATATCCACTTGCAGACTTTACAAACAGAGTGTTTCCTAACTGCTCTATGAGAAGAAAAGTTAAACTCTGTGAGTTGAACGCACACATCACAAAAGATTTTCTGAGAATCATTCTGTCTAGTCTTTATACGAAGATATTTCCTTTTCTACCATTGACCTCAAAGCGGCTGAAATATCCAATTGCAAATTCCACAAAAAGAGTGTTTGAAGTCTGCTCTCTGTAAAGGATAGTTCAACTCTGTGAGTTGAATACACACAACACAAGGAAGTTACTGAGAATTCTTCTGTCTAGCACAATATGAAGAAATCCCGTTTAAAACGAAGGCCACAAGATGTCAGAATATCCACTTACAGACTTTACAAACAGAGTGTTTCCTAACTGCTCTATGAACAGAAAGGTTAAACTCTGTGAGTTGAACGAACACATCACAACGCAGTTTGTGGGAATGATTCTGTCTAGTTTTGAAACGAAGATATTTCCTTTTCTGCCATTGACCTTAAAGCGCTTGAAATCTACACTTGCAAATTGCACAAATAGAGTGTTTCAAATCTGCTCCGTCTAAGGGAACGTTCAACTCTGTGAGTTGAATACACACAACACAAGGAAGTTACTGGGAATTCTTCTGTCTAGCCTTACATGCAAGAAACCCGTTTCCAACGAAGGCCTCTAAGTGGTCAAAATATCCACGTGCAGACTTTACAAACAGAGTGTTTCCAAACCGCTGAATGAAAAGAAAAGTTAAACTCTGAGAGTTGAACGCACACATCACGCAGCAGTTTCTGAGAATGATTCTGTCTAGTTTTTATACGAAGATATTTCCTTTTCTACCTTTGGCCTCAAAGCGCTTGAAATCTCCACTTGCAAATTCCACAAAAAGAGTGTTTCAAATCTGCTCTGTGTAAATGAAAGTTCAACTCTGTGAGTTGAACACACACAACACAAGGAAGTTACTGGGAATTCTTCTGTCTAGCATAATATGAAGAAATCCCGTTTCCAACGAAGGCCTCAAAGAGGTCTGAATATCCACTTGCAGATTTTACAAACAGAGTGTTTCCTAACTGCTCTATGAAAAGAAAAGTTAAACTCTGTGAGTTGAACGCACACATCACAAAGGAGTTTCTGAGAATCATTCTGTCTACTTTTTATACGAAGATATTTCCTTTTCTACCATTGACCTCAAAGCGGCTGAAATCTCCACTTGCAAATTACACAAAAAGAGTGTTTCAAGTCTACTCTGTGTAAACCATCGTTCAACTCTGTGAGTTGAAAACACACAACACAAGGAAGTTTCTGAGAATTCTTCTGTCTAGCATAATATGAAGAAATCCCGTTTCCAACGAAGGCCTCAAGGAGGTCTGAATATCCACTTGCAGACTTTACAAACAGAGTGTTTCCTAACTGCTCTGTGAAAAGAAAGGTTAAACTCTGTGAGTTGAATGCACACATCGCAAAGGAGTTTCTGAGAATCATTCTGTCTAGTCTTTATACGAAGATATTTCCTTTTCTACCATTGACCTCAAAGCGGCTGAAATCTCCACTTGCAAATTCCACAAAAAGAGTGTTTCAAGTCTGCTCTGTGTAAAGGATCGTTCAACTCTGTGAGTTGAATACACACAACACAATGAAGTTACTGAGAATTCTTCTGTCTAGCAGAATATGAAGAAATCCCGTTTCCAACGGAAGCCTCAAAGAGGTCTGAATATCCCCTTGCAGACTTTACAAACAGAGTGTTTCCTAACTGCTCCATGAAAAGAAAGGTTAAACTCTGTGAGTTGAACACACACATCACAAAGGAGTTTCTGAGAATCATTCTGTCTAGTTTCTATAGGAAGATATTTCCTATTCTACCATTGACCTCAAAGCGGCTGAAATCTCCACTTGCAAATTCCACAAAAGGAGTGTTTCAAGTCTGCTCTGTGTAAAGGATCATTCAACTCTGTGAGTTGAATACACACAACACAAGGCAGTTACTGAGAATTCTTCTCTCAGGCATAATATGAAGAAATCCCGTTTCCAACCAAGGCTTCAAAGAGGTCTGAATATCCACTTGCAGAGTTTACAAACAGAGTGTTTCCTAACTGCTCTATGAAAAGAAAGGTTAAACTCTGTGAGTTGAACGCACACATCATAAAGGAGTTTCTGAGAATCATTCTGTCTAGTTTTTATACGAAGATATTTCCTTTTCTACCATTGACCTCAAAGCGGCTGAAATCTCCACTTGCAAATTCCACAAAAAGAGTGTTTCAAATCTGCTCTGTGTAAACCATTGTTCAACTCTGTGACTTGAAGACACACAACACAAGGAAGATTCTGAGAATTCTTCTGTCCAGCAGAACATGAAGAAATCCCGTTTCCAACGAAGGCCTCAAAGATGTCTGAATATCCACTTGCAGACTTTACAAACAGAGTGTTTCCTAACTGCTCTATGAAAACAAAGGTTAAACTCTGTGAGTTGAACGCACACATCACAAAGGAGTTTCTGAGAATCATTCTGTCTAGTCTTTATACGAAGATATTTCCTTTTCTACCATTGACCTCAAAGCGGCTGAAATCTCCACTTGCAAATTCCACAAAAAGAGTGTTTCAAGTCTGCTCTCTGTAAAGGATCGTTCAACTCTGTGAGTTGAATACAGAGAACACAAGGAAGTTACTGAGAATTCTTCTGTCTAGCATAATATGAAGAAATCCCGTTTCCAACGAAGGCCTCAAGAAGGTCTGAATATCCACTTGCAGACTTTACAAACAGAGTGTTTCCTAACTGCTCTATGAAAAGAAAGGTTAAACTCTGTGAGTTGAACGCAGACATCACAAAGGAGTTTCTGAGAATCACTCTGTCTAGTCTTTATAGGAAGATATTTCCTTTTCTACCATTGACCTCAAAGCGGCTGAAATCTCCACTTGCAAATTCCACAAAAAGAGTGTTTCAAGTCTGCTCTGCTGTAAAGGATCGTTCAACTCTGTGAGTTGAATACACACAACACAAGGAAGTTACTGAGAATTCTTCTGTCTAGCAGAATATGAAGAAATCCTGTTTCCAATGAAGGCCTCAAGGAGGTCTGAATATCCACTTGCAGACTTTACAAACAGAGTGTTTCCTAACTGCTCTATGAAAAGAAAGGTTAAACTCTGTGAGTTGAACGCACACATCACAAAGGAGTTTCTGAGAATCATTCAGTCTAGTCTTTATACGAAGATATTTCCTTTTCTACCATTGACCTCAAAGCGGGTGAAATCTCCACTTGCAAATTCCACAAAAAGAGTGTTTCAAGTCTGCTCTGTGTAAAGGATCGTTCAACTCTGTGAGTTGAATACACACAACACAAGGAAGTTACTGAGAATTCTTCTGTCTAGCAGAATATGAAGAAATCCCGTTTCCAACGATGGCCTCAAAGAGGTCTGAATATCCACTTGCAGACTTTACAAACAGAGTGTTTCCTAAGTGCTCTATGAAAAGAAAGGTTAAACTCTGTGAGTTGAACGCACACATCACAAAGGAGTTTCTGAGAATCATTCTGTCTTGTCTTTATACGAAGATATTTCCTTTTCTACCATTGACCTCAAAGCGGCTGAAATCTCCACTTGCAAATTCCACAAAAAGAGTGTTTCAAGTCTGCTCTGTGTAAAGGATCGTTCAACTCTGTGAGTTGAATACACACTACACAAGGAAGTTACTGAAAATTCTTCTGTCTAGCATAATATGAAGAAATCCCGTTTCCAACGAAGGCCTCTAAGAGGTCTGAATATCCACTTGCAGACTTTTCAAACAGAGTGTTTCCTAACTGCTCTATGAAAAGAAAGGTTAAACTCTGTGAGTTGAACGCACACATCACAAAGGAGTTTCTGAGAATCATTCTGTCTAGTTTTTATAGGAAGATATTTCCTTTTCTACCTTTGACTTCAAAGCGGCTGAAATCTCCACTTGCAAATTCCACAAAAAGTGTGTTACAAGTCTGCTCTGTGTAAAGGATCGTTCAACTGTGTGAGTTGAATACACACAACACAAGGAAGTTACTGAGAATTCTTCTGTCTAGCCTTACATGAAAAAAACCCGTTTCCAACGAAGGCCTCTAAGTGGTCAAATTATCCACGTGCAGACTTTACAAACAGAGTGTTTCCAAACTGCTGAATGAAAAGAAAAGTTAAACTCTGAGAGTTGAATGCACACATCACAGAGCAGTTTCTGAGAATGATTCAGTCTAGTCTTTATATGAAGATAGTTTCCTTTTCTACCATTGACCTCAAAGCGGCTGAAATCTCCACTTGCAAATTCCACAAAAAGAGTGTTTCAAGTCTGCTCTGTGTAAAGGATCGTTCAACTCTGTGAGTTGAATACACACAACACAAGGAAGTTACTGAGAATTCTTCTGTGTAGCAGAATATGAAGAAATCCCGTTTCCAACGAAGGCCTCAAAGAGGTCTGAATATCCACTTGAAGACTTTACAAACAGAGTGTTTCGTAACTGCTCTATGAAAAGAAAAGTGAAACTCTGTGAGTTGAACGCACACATCACAAAGGAGTTTCTGAGAATCATTCTGTCTAGTTTTTATAGGAAGATATTTCCTTTTCTACCATTGACCTCAAAGCGGCTGAAATCTCCACTTGCAAATTCCACAAAAAGAGTGTTTCAAATCTGCTCTGTGTAAACCATCGTTCAACTCTGTGAGTTGAATACACACAACACAAGGAAGATTGCTGAGAATTCTTCTGTCTAGCATAATATGAAGAAATCCTGTTTCCAACGAAGGCCTCTAAGAGGTCTGAATATCCACCTGAAGACTTTACAAACAGAGTGTTTCCTAACTGTTCTATGAAAAGAAAGGTTAAACTCTGTGAGTTGAATGCACACATCACAAAGGAGTTTCTGAGAATCATTCTGTCTAGTTTCTATAGGAAGATATTTGCTATTCTACCATTGACCTCAAAGCGGCTGAAATCTCCACTTGCAAATTCCACAAAAAGAATGTTTCAACTCTGCTCTGTGTAAAGGATCGTTCAACTCTGTGAGTTGAATACACACAACACAAGGGAAGTTACTGAGAATTCTTCTGTCTAGCATAATATGAAGAAATCCCGTTTCCAACGAAGGCCTCAAAGGGGTCTGAATATCTACTTGCAGACTTTATAAACAGAGTGTTTACTAACTGCTCTATGAAAAGAAAGGTTAAACTCTGTGAGTTGAACACACACATCACAAAGGAGTTTCTGAGAATCATTCTGTCTAGTGTTTATATGAAGATAGTTTCCTTTTCTACCATTGACCTCAAAGCGGCTGAAATCTCCACTTGCAAATTCCACAAAAAGAGTGTTTCAAGTCTGCTCTGTGTAAAGGATCGTTTAACTCTGTGAGTTGAATACACACAACACAAGGAAGTTACTGAGAATTCTTCTGTCTACCATAATATGAAGAAATCCCGTTTCCAACGAAGGCCACAAGATGTCAGAATATCCACTTACAGACTTTACAAACAGAGTGTTTCCTAACTGCTCTATGAACAGAAAGGTTAAACTCTGTGAGTTGAACGAACACATCACAACGCAGTTTGTGGGAATGATTCTGTCTAGTTTTGAAACGAAGATATTTCCTTTTCTGCCATTGACCTTAAAGCGCTTGAAATCTCCATTTGCCAATTGCACAAAAAGAGTGTTTCAAATCTGCTCTGTCTAAGGGAACGTTCAACTCTGTGAGTTGAATGTACACAACACAAGGAAGTTACTGGGAAAACTTCTGTCTAGCCTTACAGGAAAAAAACCCGTTTCCAACAAAGGCCTCTAAGTGGTCAAAATATCCACGTGCAGACTTTACAAACAGAGTGTTTCCACACTGCTGAATGAAAAGAAAAGTTGAACTCTGAGAGTTGAACGCACACATCGCAGAGCAGTTTCTGAGAATGATTCTGTCTAGTCTTTATACGAAGATATTTACTTTTCTACCATTGACCTCAAAGCGGCTGAAATCTCCACTTGCAAATGCCACAAAAAGAGTGTTTCAAGTCTGCTCTGTGTAAAGGATCATTAACTCTGTGAGTTGAATAAACACAACACAAGGAAGTTACTGAGAATTCTTCTGTCTAGCAGAATATGAAGAAATCCCGTTTCCAACGAAGGCCTCAAGGAGGTCTGAATATCCACTTGCAGACTTCACAAAGAGAGTGTTTCCTAACTGCTCTATGAAAAGAAAGGTTAAACTCTGTGAGTTGAACGCACACATCACAAAGGAGTTTATGAGAATCATTCTGTCTAGTTTTTATACGAAGATATTTCCTTTTCTACCATTGACCTCAAAGCGGCTGAAATCTCCACTTGCAAATTCCATAAAAAGAGTGTTTCAAGTCTGCTCTGTGTAAAGGATCGTTCAACTCTGTGAGTTGAATACACACAACACAAGGAAGTTACTGAGAATTCTTCTGTCTAGCATAATATGAAGAAATCCCGTTTCCAACGAAGGCCTCAAAGAGGTCTGAATATCAACTTGCAGACTTTACAAACAGAGTGTTTCCTAACTGCTCTATGAAAAGAAAGGTTAAACTCTGTGAGTTGAACGCACACATCACAAAGGAGTTTCTGAGAATCATTCTGTCTAGTTTTTATACGAAGATATTTCCTTTTCTACCATGGACCTCAAAGCGGCTGAAATCTCCACTTGCAAATTCCACAAAAAGAGTGTTTCAAGTCTGCTCTGTGTAAAGGATCGTTCAAATCTGTGAGTTGAATACACACAACACAAGGAAGATTCTGAGAATTCTTCTGTCTAGCAGAATATGAAGAAATCCCGTTTCCAACGAAGGCCACAAGATGTCAGAATATCCACTTACAGAATTGACAAACAGACTGTTTCCTAACTGCTCTATGAAAAGAAAAGTTAAACTCTGAGAGTTGAACGCACACATCGCAGAGCAGTTTCTGAGAATGATTCTGTCTAGTTTTGAAACGAAGATATTTCCTTTTCTGCCATTGAACTTAAAGCGCTTGAAATCTCCATTTGCCAATTGCACAAAAAGAGTGTTTCAAATCTGCTCTGTCTAAGGGAACGTTCAACTCTGTGAGTTGAATGTACACAACACAAGGAAGTTACTGGGAATTCTTCTGTCTAGCCTTACAGGAAAAAAACCCGTTTCCAACGAAGTCCTCTAAGTGGTCAAGTTATCCACGTGCAGACTTTACAAACAGAGTGTTTCCAAACTGCTGAATGAAAAGAAAAGTTAAACTCTGAGAGTTGAACGCAAACATCGCAGAGCAGTTTTTGAGAATGATTCTGTCTAGTTTTGAAACGGAGATATTTCCTTTTCTGCCTTTGGCCTCAAAGCGCTTGAAATCTCCACTTGCAAATTCCACAAAAAGAGTGTTTCAAATCTTTTCTGTGTAAATGAAAGTTCAACTCTGTGAGTTGAACACACACAACACAAGGAAGTTACTGGGAATTCTTCTGTCTAGCCTTATATGAAAAAAACCCGTTTCCAACGAAGGCCTCAAAGAGGTCTGAATATCCACTTGCAGACTTTACAAACAGAGTGTTTCCTAACTGCTCTATGAAAAGAAAGTTTAAACTCTGTGAGTTGAACGCACACATCACAAAGGAGTTTCTGAGAATCATTCTGTCTAGTTTTTCTACGAAGATATTTCCTTTTCTACTATTGACCTCAAAGCGGCTGAAATCTCCACTTGCAAATTCCACAAACAGAGTGTTTCAAGTCTGCTCTGTGTAAAGGATCGTTCAACTCTGTGAGTTGAATACACACAACACAAGGAAGTTACTGAGAATTCTTCTGTCTAGCCTTATAAGAAAAAAACCCGTTTCCAACGAAGGCCTCAAAGAGGTCTGAATATCCACTTGCAGACTTTACAAACAGAGTGTTTCCTAACTGCTCTATGGAAAGAAAGGTTAAACTCTGTGAGTTGAACGCACACATCACAAAGGAGTTTCTGAGAATCATTCTGTCTAGTTTTTATATGAAGATATATCCTTTTATACAATTGACCTCAAAGCGGCTGAAATCAACACTAGCCAATTGCACAAAAAGAGTGTTTCAAATCTGCTCTGTCTAAGGGAACGTTCAACTCTGTGAGTTGAATGTACACAACACAAGGAAGTTACTGGGAATTCTTCTGTCTAGCCTTACATGAAGAAAACCCGTTTCCAACGAAGGCCTCTAAGTGGTCAAAATTTCCACGTGCAGACTTTACAAACAGAGTGTTTCCAAACCGCTGAATGAAAAGAAAAGTTAAACTCTGAGAGTTGAACTCACACATCACGCAGCAGTTTCTGAGAATGATTCTGTCTAGTTTCTATAGGAAGATATTTCCTATTCTACCATTGACCTCAAAGCGCTTGAAATCTCCACTTGCAAATTCCACAAAAACAGTGTTTCAAATCTGCTCTCTCTAAATGAAAGTTCAACTCTGTCAGTTGAATACACACAACACAAGGAAGTTACTGAGAATTCTTCTGTCTAGCATAATATGAAGAAATCCCGTTTCCAACGAAGGCCTCAAAGAGGTCTCAATATCCACTTGCAGACTTTACAAACAGAGTGTTTCCTAACTGCTCTATGAGAAGAAAAGTTAAACTCTGTGAGTTGAACGCACACATCACAAAACATTTTCTGAGAATCATTCTGTCTAGTTTTTCTACGAAGATATTTCCTTTTCTACTATTGACCTCAAAGCGGCTGAAATCTCCACTTGCAAATTCCACAAAAAGAGTGTTTCAAGTCTGCTCTGTGTAAAGGATCGTTCAATTCTGTGAGTTGAATACACACAACACAAGGAAGTTACTGAGAATTCTTCTGTCTAGCCTTACATGAAAAAAACCCGTTTCCAACGAAGGCCTCTAAGTGGTCAAATTATCCACGTGCAGACTTTACGAACAGAGTGTTTCCAAACTGCTGAATGAAAAGAAAAGTTAAACTGCTGAGAGTTGAACGTACACATCACAGAGCAGTTTCTGAGAATGATTCTGTCTAGTTTTTATACGAAGATATTTCCTTTTCTGCCTTTGGCCCCAAAGCGCTTGAAATCTCCACTTGCAAATTCCAAAAAAACAGTGTTTCAAATCTGCTCTCTCCAAATGAAAGTTCAACTCTGTCAGTTGAATACACACAACACAAGGAAGTTACTGAGAATTCTTCTGTCTAGCATAATATGAAGAAATCCCGTTTCCAACGAAGGCCTCAAAGAGGTCTGAATATCCACTTGTAGACTTTACAAACAGAGTGTTTCCTAACTGCTCTATGAAAAGAAAGGTGAAACTCTGTGAGTTGAACGCACACATCACAAAGCAGTTTCTGAAAATCATTCTGTCTAGTTTCTATAGGAAGATATTTCCTATTCTACCATTGACCTCAAAGCGGCTGAAATCTCCCCTTGCAAATTCCACAAAAAGAATGTTTCAAGTCTGCTCTGTGTAAAGGATCGTTCAACTCTGTGAGTTGAATACACACAACACAAGGGAAGTTACTGAGAATTCTTCTGTCTAGCATAGTATGAAGAAATCCCGTATCCAACGAAGGCCTCAAAGAGGTCTGAATATCCACTTGCATAGTTTACAAACAGAGTGTTTCCTAACTGCTCTATGAAAAGAAAGGTTAAACTCTGTGAGTTGAACGCACACATCACAAAGAAGTTTCTGAGAATCATTCTGTCTACTTTTTATACGAAGATATTTCCTTTTCTGCCTTTGGCCCCAAGGCGCTTGATATCTCCACTTGCAAATTCCACAAAAACAGTGTTTCAAATCTGCTCTCTCTAAATGAAAGTTCAACTCTGTCAGTTGAATACACACAACACAAGGAAGTTACTGAGAATTCTTCTGTCTAGCATAATATGAAGAAATCCCGTTTCAAACGAAGGCGTCAAAGGGGTCTGAATATCCACTTGCAGACATTATAAACAGAGTGTTTACTAACTGCTCTATGAAAAGAAAGCTTAAACTCTGTGAGTTGAACACACACATCACAAAGGAGTTTCTGAGAATCATTCTGTCTAGTTTCTGTAGGAAGATAATTCCTATTCTACCATTGAACTCAAAGCGGCTGAAATCTCCACTTGCAAATTCCACAAAAAGAGTGTTTCAAGTCTGCTCTGTGTAAAGGATCGTTCAACTCTGTGAGTTGAATACACACAACACAAGGAAGTTACTGAGAATTCTTCTGTCTAGCATAATATGAAGAAATCCCGTTTCCAACGAAGGCCTCAAAGAGGTCTGAATATCCACTTGCAGACTTTACAAACAGAGTGTTTCCTAACTGCTCTATGAACAGTAAGGTTAAACTCTGTGAGTTGAACGCACACATCACAAAGGAGTTTCTGAGAATCATTCTGTCTAGTTTTGAAACCAAGATATTTCCTTTTCTGCCGTTGACCTTAAAGAGCTTGAAAACTACACTTGCAAATTGCACAAATAGAGTGTTTCAAATCTGCTCTGTCTAAGGGAACGTTCAACTCTGTGAGTTGAATGCACACAACACAAGGAAGTTACTGGGAATTCTTCTGTCTAGGCTTACAAGGACAAAACCCGTTTCCAACGAAGGCCTCTAAATGGTCAAAATATCCACGTGCAGACTTTACAAACAGAGTGTTTCCAAACTGCTGAATGAAAAGAAAAGTTAAACTCTGAGAGTTGAACGCACACATCGCAGAGCAGTTTCTGAGAATGATTCTGTGTAGTTTTTATACGAAGATATTTCCTTTTCTGCCTTTGGCCTCAAAGCGCTTGAAATCTCCACTTGCAAATTCCAGAAAAAGAGTGTTTCAAATCTGCTCTGTCTAAATGAAAGTTCAACTCTGTCAGTTGAATACACACAACACAAGGAAGTTACTGAGAATTCTTCTGTCTAGCCTTACATGAAAAAAAACCCGTTTCCAATGAAGGCCTCAAAGAGGTGAAAATATCCACTTGCAGACTTTACAAACAGAGTGTTTCCTAACTGCTCTATGAAAAGAAAGGTTAAACTCTGTGAGTTGAACACCCACATCACAAAGGAGTTTCTGAGAATCATTCTGTGTAGTTTTTCTACGAAGATATTTCCTTTTCTACTATTGACCTCAAAGCGGCTGAAATCTCCACTTGCAAATTCCACAAAAAGAGTGTTTCAAGTCTGCTCTGTGTAAACGATCGTGCAACTCTGTGAGTTGAATACACACAACACAAGGAAGTTACTGAGAATTCTTCTGTCTAGCAGAATATGAAGAAATCCCGCTTTCAACGAAGGCCTCAAAGAAGTCTGAATATCCACTTGCAGACTTTACAAACAGAGTGTTTCCCAACTGCTCTATGAAAAGAAAGGTTGAAATCTGTGAGTTGAACGCACACATCACAAAGGAGTTTCTGAGAATCATTCTGTCTAGTTTCTATAGGAAGATATTTCCTATTCTACCATTGAACTCAAAGCGGCTGAAATATCCACTTGCAAATTCCACAAAAAGAGTGTTTCAAGTCTGCTCTGTGTAAAGGATCGTTCAACTCTGTGAGTTGAATACACAAAACACAAGGAAGTTACTGAGAATTCTTCTGTCTAGCCTTACATGAAAAAAACCCGTTTCCAACGAAGGCCTCAAAGAAGTCCAAATATCCACATGCAGACTTTACAAACAGAGTGTTTCCTAACTGCTCTATGAAAAGAATGGTTAAACTCTGTGAGTTGAACGCCCACATCACAAAAGAGTTTCTGAGAATCATTCTGTCTAGTTTTTCTACGAAGATATTTACTTTTCTACTATTGACCTCAAAGCGGCTGAAATCTCCACTTGCAAATTCCACAAAAAGAGAGTTTCAAGTCTGCTCTGTGTAAAGGATCGTTCAACTCTGTGAGTTGAATACACACAACACAAGGAAGTTACTGAGAATTCTTCTCTCTAGCAGAATATGAAGAAATCCCGTTTCCAACGATGGCCTCAAAGAGGTCTGAATATCCACTTGCAGACTTTACAAACAGAGTGTTTCCTAACTGCTCTATGAAAAGAAAGGTTAAACTCTATGAGTTGAACGCACACATCACAAAGGAGTTTCTGAGAATCATTCTGTCTAGTTTCTATAGGAAGATATTTCCTATTCTACCATTGAACTCAAATCGGCTGAAATCTCCACTTGCAAATTCCACAAAAAGAGTGTTTCAAGTCTGCTCTGTGTAAAGGATCGTTCAACTCTGTGAGTTGAATACACACAACACAAGGAAGTTACTGAGAATTCTTCTGTCTAGCAGAATATGAAGAAATCCCGTTTCCACCGAAGGCCTCAAGGAGGTCTGAATATCCACTTGCAGACTTTACAAACAGAGTGTTTCCTAACTGCTCTATGAACAGAAAGGTTAAACTCTGTGAGTTGAACGCACACATCATAAAGGAGTTTCTGAGAATCATTCTGTCTAGTGTCTATAGGAAGATATTTCCTATTCTACCATTGACCTCAAAGCGGCTGAAATCTCCACTTGCAAATTCCAGAAAAAGAGTGTTTCAAGTCTGCTCTGTGTAAAGGATCGTTGAAATCTGTGAGTTGAATACACACAACACAATGAAGTTACTGAGAATTCTTCTGTCTAGCAGAATATGAAGAAATCCCGTTTCCAACGAAGGCCTCAAAGAGGTCTGAATATCCACTTGCAGACTTTACAAACAGAGTGTTTCCTAACTGCTCTATGAACAGAAAGGTTAAACTCTGTGAGTTGAACGAACACATCACAACGCAGTTTGTGGGAATGATTCTGTCTAGTTTTTATACGAAGATATTTCCTTTTCTACCATTGACCTCAAAGCGGCTGAAATCACCACTTGCCAATTGCACAAAAAGAGTGTTTCAAATCTGCTCTGTCTAAGGGAACGTTCAACTCTGTGAGTTGAATGTACACAACACAAGGAAGTTCCTGGGAATTCTTCTGTCTAGCCTTACAAGAAAAAAAACCCGTTTCCAACGAAGGCCTCTAAATGGTCAAAATATCCACGTGCAGACTTTACAAACAGAGTGTTTCCAAACTGCTGAATGAAAAGAAAAGTTAAACTCTGAGAGTTGAACGCACACATCGCAGAGCAGTTTCTGAGAATGATTCTGTCTAGTTTTGAAACGGAGATATTTCCTTTTCTGCCTTTGGCCTCAAAGCGCTTGAAATCTCCACTTGCAAATTCCACAAAAAGAGTGTTTCAAATCTGCTCTGTGTAAATGAAAGTTCAACTCTGTGAGTTGAACACACACAACACAAGGAAAGTTACTGGGAATTCTTCTGTATAGCAGAATATGAAGAAATCCCGTTTCCAACGAAGGCCTCAAGGAGGTCTGAATATCCACTTGCAGACTTTACAAACAGAGTGTTTCCTAACTGCTCTATGAAAAGAAAGGTTAAACTCGGTGAGTTGAACGCAGACATCACAAAGGAGTTTCTGAGAATCACTCTGTCTAGTTTTTATACGAAGAGATTTCCTTTTCTACCATTGACCTCAACGCGGCTGAAATCTCCACTTGCAAGTTTCACAAAAAGAGTGTTTCAATTCCGCTCTGTGTAAAGGATCGTTCAACTCTGTGAGTTGAATACACACAACACAAGGAAGTTACTGAGAATTCTTCTGTCTAGCACAGTATGAAGAAATCCCGTTTCCAACGAAGGCCTCAAAGAGGTCTTAATATCCACTTGCAGAGTTTACAAACAGAGTGTTTCCTAACTGCTCTATGAAAAGAAAGGTTAAACTCTGTGAGTTGAACGCACACATCACAAAGAAGTTTCTGAGAATCATACTGTCTAGCTTTGAAACGAAGATATTTCCTTTTCTGCCATTGACCTTAAAGCGCTTGAAATCTCCACTTGCCAATTGCACAAAAAGAGTGTTTCAAATCTGCTCTGTCTAAGGGAACGTTCAACTCTGTGAGTTGAATGTACACAACACAAGGAAGTTACTGGGAATTCTTCTGTCTAGCCTTACATGAAAAAAACCCGTTTCCAACGAAGGCCTCTAAGTGGTCAAAATATCCACGTGCAGACTTTACAAACAGAGTGTTTCCAAACTGCTGAATGAAAAGAACAGTTAAACTCTGAGAGATGAACGCACACATCACAGAGCAGTTTCTGAGAATTATTCTGTCTAGTTTTTATACGAAGATATTTCCTTTTCTGCCTTTGGCCTCAAAGCGCTTGAAATCTCCACTTGCAAATTTCACGAAAAGAGTGTTTCAAATCTGCTCTGTGTAAATGAAAGTTCAACTCTGTGAGTTGAACACACACAACACAAGGAAGTTACTGGGAATTCTTCTGTCTAGCATAATATGAAGAAATCCCGTTTCCACCGAAGGCCTCAAAGAGGTCTGAATATCCACTTGCAGACTTTACAAACAGAGTGTTTCCTAACTGCTCTATGAAAAGAAAAGTGAAACTCTGTGAGTTGAACGCACACATCACAAAGGAGTTTCTGAGAATCATTCTGTCTAGTTTTGAAACGAAGATATTTCCTTTTCTACCATTGACCTCAACGCGGCTGAAATCTCCACTTGCAAATTCCACAAAAAGTGTGTTTCAAGTCCGCTCTGTGTAAAGGATCGTTCAACTCTGTGAGTTGAATACACACAACACAAGGAAGTTACTGAGAATTCTTCTGTCTAGCATAGTATGAAGAAATCCCGTTTCCAACGAAGGCCTCAAACAGGTCTGAATATCCACTTGCAGAGTTTACAAACAGAGTGTTTCCTAACTGCTCTATGAAAAGAAAGGTTAAACTCTGTGAGTTGAACGCACACATCAAAAAGAAGTTTCTGAGAATCATTCTGTCTAGTTTTTATAGGAAGATATTTCCTTTTCTACCTTTGACTTCAAAGGGGCTGAAATCTCCACTTGCAAATTCCACAAAAAGAGTGTTACAAGTCTGCTCTGTGTAAAGGATCGTTCAACTCTGTGAGTTGAATACACACAACACAAGGAAGTTACTGAGAATTCGTCTGTCTAGCAGAATATGAAGAAATCCCGTTTCCAACGAAGGCCACAAGCTGTCAGAATATCTACTTACAGAATTTTCAAACAGACTGTTTCCTAACTACTCTATGAAAAGAAAGGTTAAACTCTGTGAGTTGAACGAACACATCACAACGCAGTTTGTGGGAATGATTCTGTCTAGTTTTGAAACGAAGATATTTCCTTTTCTACCATTGACCTCAAAGCGCTTGAAATCTCCATTTGCCAATTGCACAAAAAGAGTGTTTCAAATCTGTTCTGTCTAAGGGAACGTTCAACTCTGTGAGTTGAATGTACACAACACAAGGAAGTTACTGGGAATTCTTCTGTCTAGCCTTACAGGAAAAAAACCCGTTTCCAACGAAGGCCTCTAAGTGGTCAAAATATCCACGTGCAGACTTTACAAACAGAGTGTTTCCAAACTGCTGAATGAAAAGAAAAGTTAAACTCCTGAGAGTTGAACGCACACATCGCAGAGCAGTTTCTGAGAATGATTTCTGTCTAGTTTTTATACGAAGATATTTCCTTTTCTGCCTTTGGCCTCAAAGCGCTTGAAATCTCCATTTGCAAATTCCACAAAAAGAGTGTTTCAAATCTGCTCTGTGTACATGAAAGTTCAACTCTGTGAGTTGAACACACACAACACAAGGAAGTTACTGGGAATTCTTCTGTCTAGCACAGTATGGAGAAATCCCGTTTCCAACGAAGGCCTCAAAGAGGTCTGAATATCCACTTGCAGAGTTTACAAACAGAGTGTTTCCTAACTGCTCTATGAAAAGAAAGGTTAAACTCTGTGAGTTGAACGCACACATCACAAAGAAGTTTATGAGAATCATTCTGTCTAGTTTTTATACGAAGATATTTCCTTTTCTACCATTGACCTCAAAGGGGATGAAATCTCCACTTGCAAATTCCACAAAAAGAGTGTTTCAAGTCTGCTCTGTGTAAAGGTTCGTTCAACTCTGTGAGTTGAATACACACAACACAAGGAAGTTACTGAGAATTCTTCTGTCTAGCATAATATGAAGAAATCCCGTTTCCAACGAAGGCCTCAAAGGGGTCTGAATATCCACTTGCAGACTTTATAAACAGAGTGTTTAGTAACTGCTCTATGAAAAGAAAGGTTAAACTCTGTGAGTTGAACACACACATCACAAAGGAGTTTCTGAGAATCATTCTGTCTAGTTTTGAAACGAAGATATTTCCTTTTCTGCCGTTGACCTTAAAGAGCTTGAAAACTACACTTGCAAATTGCACAAATAGAGTGTTTCAAATCTGCTCTGTCTAAGGGAACGTTCAACTCTGTGAGTTGAATGCACACAACACAAGGAAGTTACTGGGAATTCTTCTGTCTAGCCTTACATGAAAAAAACCCGTTTCCAAAGAAGGCCTCTAAGTGGTCAAAATTTCCACGTGCAGACTTTACAAACAGAGTGTTTCCAAACCGCTGAATGAAAAGAAAAGTTAAACTCTGAGAGTTGAACGCACACATCACGCAGCAGTTTCTGAGAATGATTCTGTCTAGTTTTTATACGACGATATTTCCTTTTCTGCCTTTGGCCCCAAAGCGCTTGAAATCTCCACTTGCAAATTCCACAAAAACAGTGTTACAAATCTGCTCTCTCTAAATGAAAGTTCAACTCTGTCAGTTGAATACACACAACACAAGGAAGTTACTGAGAATTCTTCTGTCTAGCAGAATATGAAGAAATCCCGTTTCCAACGAAGGCCTCAAAGATGTCTGAATATCCACTTGCAGACTTTACAAACAGAGTGTTTCCTAACTACTCTATGAAAAGAAAGGTTAAACTCTGTGAGCTGAACGCACACAGCACAAAGGAGTTTCTGAGAATCATTCTGTCTAGTTTTTCTATGAAGATATTTCCTTTTCTACTATTGACCTCAAAGCGGCTGAAATCTCCACTTGCAAATTCCACAAAAAGAGTGTTTCAAGTCTGCTCTGTGTAAAGGATCGTTCAACTCTGTGAGTTGAATACACACAACACAAGGAAGTTACTGAGAATTCTTCTGTCTAGCATAATATGAAGAAATCCCGTTTCCAACGAAGGCCTCAAGGAGGTCTGAATATCCACTTGAAGACTTTAAAAACAGAGTGTTTCCTAACTGCTCTATGAAAAGAAAGGTTAAACTCTGTGAGTTGAACGCACACCTCACAAAGGATTTCTCAGAACCATTCTGTCTAGTTTCTATAGGAAGATATTTACTATTCTACCATTGACCTCAAAGCGGCAGAAATCTCCACTTGCAAATTCCACAAAAAGAGTGTTTCAAGTCTGCTCTGTGTAAAGGATCGTTCAACTCTGTGAGTTGAATACACACAACACAAGGAAGTTTCTGAGAATTCTTCTGTCTAGCAGAATATGAAGAAATCCCGTTTCCAACGAAGGCCACAAGATGTCAGAATATCCACTTACAGAATTTACAAACCCACTGTTTCCTAACTGCTCTATGAAAAGAAAGGTTAAACTCTGTGAGTTGAACGAACACATCACAACGCAGTTTGTGGGAATGATTCTGTCTAGTTTTGAAACGAAGATATTTCCTTTTCTGCTGTTGACCTTAAAGAGCTTGAAAACTACACTTGCAAATTGCACAAATAGAGTGTTTCAAATCTGCTCTGTCTAAGGGAACGTTCAACTCTGTGAGTTGAATGCACACAACACAAGGAAGTTACTGGGAATTCTTCTGTCTAGCCTTACATGAAAAAAAACCCGTTTCCAACGAAGGCCTCTAAGTGGTCATATTATACACGTGCAGACTTTTCAAACAGAGTGTTTCCAAACTGCTCTATGAAAAGAAAGGTTAAACACTGTGAGTTGAACACCCACATCACAAAGGAGTTTCTGAGAATCATTCTGTCTAGTTTTTATACGAAGATATTTCCTTTTCTGCCTTTGGCCTCAAAGCACTTGAAATCTCCACCTGCAAATTCCACAAAAAGAGTGTTTCAAATCTGCTCTGTGTAAATGAAAGTTCAACTCTGTGAGTTGAACACACACAACACAAGGAAGTTACTGGGAATTCTTCTGTCTAGCCTTATATGAAAAAAACCCGTTTCCAACGAAGGCCTCAAAGAGGTCTGAATATCCTCTTGCAGACTTTACAAACAGAGTGTTTCCTAACTGCTCTATGAAAAGAAAGGTTAAACTCTGTGAGTTGGACACACACATCCCAAAGGAGTTTCTGAGAATCATTCTGTCTAGTTTCTATAGGAAGATATTTCCTTTTCTACCATTGACCTCAAATCGGCTGAAATCTCCACTTGTAAATTCCACAAAAACAGTGTTTCAAGTCTGCTCTGTATAAAGGATCGTTCAACGGTGTGAGTTGAATACACACAACACAAGGAAGTTACTGAGAATTCTTCTGTCTAGCAGAATATGAAGAAACCCCGTTTCCAACGAAGGCCACAAGATGTCAGAATATCCACTTACAGACTTTAGAAACAGAGTGTTTCCTAACTGCTCTATGAACAGAAAGGTTAAACTCTGTGAGTTGAACGAACACATCACAACGCAGTTTGTGGGAATGATTCTGTCTAGTTTTGAAACGAAGATATTTCCTTTTCTGTCTTTGGCCTCAAAGCGCTTGAAATCTCCATTTGCAAATTGCACAAAAAGAGTCTTTCAAATCTGCTCTGTGTAAATGAAAGTTCAACTCTGTGAGTTGAACACACACAACACAAGGATGTTAGTGGGAATTCTTCTGTCTAGCCTTACATGAAAAAAACCCGTTTCCAACGAAGGCCTCTAAGTGTTCAAGTTATCCACGTGCACACTTTACAAACAGAGTGTTTCCAAACTTCTGAATGAAAAGAAAAGTTAAACTCTGAGAGTTGAACGCACACATCGCAGAGCAGTTTCTGAGAATGATTCTGTCTAGTTTTGAAACGAAGACATTTCCTTTTCTGCCTTTGGCCTCAAAGCGCTTGAAATCTCCACTTGCAAATTCCACAAAAAGAGTGTTTCAAATCTGCTCTGTGTAAATGAAAGTTCAACTCTGTGAGTTGAACACACACAACACAAGGAAGTTACTGGGAATTCTTCTTTCTAGCAGAATATGAAGAAATCCCGTTTCCAACGAAAGCCTCAAGGATGTCTGAATATACACTTGCAGACTTTACAAACAGAGTGTTTCCTAACTGCTCTATGAAAAGGAAGGTTAAACTCTGTGAGTTGAACGCACACATCACAAAGGAGTTTCTGAGAATCATTCTGTCTAGTTTCTATGGGAAGATATTTCCTATTCTACCATTGACCTCAAAGCGGCTGAAGTCTCCACTTGCAAATTCCACAAAAAGAGTGTTTCAAGTCTGCTCTGTGTAAAGGATCGTTCAACTCTGTGAGTTGAATACACACAACACAAGGAAGTTACTGAGAATTCTTCTGTCTAGCAGAATATGAAGAAATCCCGCTTCCAACGAAGACCTCAAAGAAGTCTGAATATCCACTTGCAGACTTTACAAACAGAGCGTTTCCCAAATGCTCTATGAAAAGAAAGGTTAAACTCTGTGAGTTGAACGCACACATCACAAAGGAGTTTCTGAGAATCATTCTGTCTAGTTTTGAAACGAAGATATTTCCTTTTCTACCATTGACCTTAAAGCGCTTGAAATCTCCACTTGCCAATTGCACAAAAAGAGTGTTTCAAATCTGCTCTGTCTAAGGGAACGTTCACCTCTGTGAGTTGAATGTACACAACACAAGGAAGTTAGTGGGAATTCTTCTGTCTAGCCTTACAGGAAAAAAACCCGTTTCCAACGAAGTCCTCTAAGTGGTCAAGTTATCCACGTGCAGACTTTACAAACAGAGTGTTTCCAAACTGCTGAATGAAAAGAAAAGTTAAACTCTGAGAGTTGAACGCACACATCGCAGAGCAGTTTACTGAGAATGATTTCTGTCTAGTCTTTATACGAAGATATTTCCTTTTCTACCATTGACCTCAAAGCAGCTGAAATCTCCACTTGCAAATTCCACAAAAAGAGTGTTTCAAGTCTGCTCTGTGTAAAGGATCGTTCAACTCTGTGAGTTGAATACACACAACACAAGGAAGTTACTGAGAATTCTTCTGTCTAGCAGAATATGAAGAAATCCCGTTTCCAACGAAGGCCTCAAGGAGGTCTGAATATCCACTTGCAGACTTTACAAACAGAGTGTTTCCTAACTGCTCTATGAAAAGAAAGGTGAAACTCAGTGAGTTGAATGCACACATCACAAAGGAGTTTATGAGAATCATTCTGTCTAGTTTTTATAGGAAGATATTTCCTTTTCTACCATTGACCTCAAAGCGGCAGAAATCTCCACTTGCAAATTCCACAAAAAGAGTGTTTCAAGTCTGCTCTGTGTAAAGGATCGTTCAACTCTCTGAGTTGAATACACACAACACGCGGAAGTTACTGAGAATTCTTCTGTCTAGCAGAATATGAAGAAATCCCGTTTCCAACGAAGGCCTCAAGGAGGTCTGAATATCCACTTGCAGACTATACAAACAGAGTGTTTCCTAACTGCTCTATGAACAGAAAGGTTAAACTCTGTGAGTTGAACGCACACATCACAAAGGAGTTTCTGAGAATCATTCTGTCTAGTCTTTATAGGAAGATATTACCTTTTCTACCATGGACCTCAAAGCGGCTGAAATCTCCACTTGCAAATTCCACAAAAAGAGTGTTTCAAGTCTGCTCTTTGTAAAGGATCGTTCAACTCTGTGAGTTGAATACACACAACACAAGGAAGTTACTGAGAATACTTCTGTCTAGCAGAATATGAAGAAATCCCGTTTCCAACGAAGGCCTCAAGGAGGTCTGAATATCCACTTGCAGACTTTACAAACAGAGTGTTTCCTAACTGCTCTATGAAAAGAAAGGTTAAACTCTGTGAGTTGATCGCACACATCACAAAGGAGTTTCTGAGAATCGTTCTGTCTACTTTCTATAAGAAGATATTTCCTATTCTACCATTGACCTCAAAGCGGCTGAAATCTCCACTTGCAAATTCGACAAAAAGAGTGTTTCAAGCCTGCTCTCTGTAAAGGATCCTTCAACTCTGTGAGTTGAATACACACAACACAAGGAAGTTACTGAGAATTATTCTGTCTAGCAGAATATGAAGAAATCCCGTTTCCAACGAAGGCCTCAAGGAGGTCTGAATATCCACTTGCAGACTTTACAAACAGAGTGTTTCCTAACTGCTCTATGAAAAGAAAGGTTAAACTCTGTGAGTTGAATGCACACATCACAAAGGAGTTTCTCAGAATCATTCTGTCTAGTCTTTATATGAAGATAGTTTCCTTTTCTACCATTGACCTCAAAGCGGCTGAAATCTCCACTTGCAAATTCCACAAAATGAGTGTTTCAAGTCTGCTCTGTGTAAAGGATCGTTCAACTCTGTGAGTTGAATACACACAACACAAGGAAGTTACTGAGAATTCTTCTGTCTAGCAGAATATGAAGAAATCCCGTTTCCAACGAAGGCCACAAGATGTCAGAATATCCACTTACAAACTTTACAGAGTGTTTCCTAACTGCTCTATGAACAGAAAGGTTAAACTCTGTGAGTTGAACGAACACATGACAACGCAGTTTCTTGGAATGATTCTGTCTAGTTTTTATAGGAAGATATTTCCTTTTCTACCTTTGACTTCAAAGTGGCTGAAATCTCCACTTGCAAATTCCACAAAAAGAGTGTTACAAGTCTGCTCTGTGTAAAGGATCGTTCAACTCTGTGAGTTCAATACACACAACACAAGGAAGTTACTGAGAATTCTTCTGTCTAGCCTTACATGAAAAAAACCCGTTTCCAATGAAGGCCTCTAAGTGGTCAAATTTTCCACGTGCAGACTTTACAAACAGAGTGTTTCCAAACTGCTGAATGAAAAGAAAAGTCAAACTCTGAGAGTTGAACGCACACATCGCAGAGCAGTTTCTGAGAATGATTCTTTCTATTTTTTTACGAAGATATTTCCTTTTCTGCCTTTGGCCTCAAAGCGCTTGAAATCTCCACTTGCAAATTCCACAAAAAGAGTGTTTCAAATCTGCTCTGTTTAAATGAAGTTCAACTCTGTGAGTTGAACACACACAACACAAGGAAGTTACTGGGAATTCTTCTGTCTAGCCTAATATGAAAAAAACCCGTTTCCAACGAAGGCCTCAAAGAGGTCTGAATATCCACTTGCAGACTTTACAAACAGAGTGTTTCCTAACTGCTCTATGAAAAGAAAGGTTAAACTCTGTGAGTTGAACACACACATCACAAAGGAGTTTCTGAGAATCATTCTGTCTAGTTTTTATACGAAGATATTTCCTTTTCTACCATTGACCTCAAAGCGGCTGAAATCACCACTTGCCAATTGCACAAAAAGAGTGTTTCAAATCTGCTCTGTCTAAGGGAACGTTCAACTCTGTGAGTTGAATGTACACAACAAAAGGAAGTTCCTGGGAATTCTTCTGTCTAGCCTTACAAGAAAAAAACCCGTTTCCAACGAAGGCCTCTAAATGGTCAAAATATCCACGTGCAGACTTTACAAACAGAGTGTTTCCAAACTGCTGAATGAAAAGAAAAGTTAAACTCTGAGAGTTGAACGCACACATCGCAGAGCAGTTTCTGAGAATGATTCTGTCTAGTCTTTATACGAAGATATTTCCTTTTCTACCATTGACCTCAAAGCGGCTGAAATCTCCACTTGCAAATTCCACAAAAAGAGTGTTTCAAGTCTGCTCTGTGTAAAGGATCGTTCAACTCTGTCAGTTGAATACACACAACACAAGGAAGTTACTGAGAATTCTTCTGTCTAGCAGAATACGAAGAAATCCCGTTTCCAACGAAGGCCTCAAGGAGGTCTGAATATCCACTTGCAGACTTTACAAACAGAGTGTTTCCTAACTGCTCTGTGAACAGAAAGGTTAAACTCTGTGAGTTGAACGCACACATCACAAAGGAGTTTCTGAGAATCATTCTGTCTAGTTTCTATAGGAAGATATTACCTATTCTACCTTTGACCTCAAAGCGGCTGAAATCTCCACTTGCAAATTCCACAAAAAGAGTGTTTCAAGTCTGCTCTGTGTAAAGGATCGTTCAACTCTGTGAGTTGAATACACACAACACAAGGAAGTTACTGAGAATTCTTCTGTCTAGCAGAATATGAAGAAATCCCGTTTCCAACGAAGGCCACAAGTTGTCAGAAAATCCACTTACAGAATTTACAAACAGACTGTTTCCTAACTGCTCTATGAAAAGAAAGGTTAAACTCTGTGATTTGAACGAACACATCACAACGCAGTCTGTGGGAATGATTCTGTCTAGTTTTGAAACGCAGATATTTCCTTTTCTGCCATTGACCTTAAAACTCTTGAAATCTCCACTTGCCAATTGCACAAAAAGAGTGTTTCAAATCTGCTCTGTCTAAGGGAACGTTCAACTCTGTGAGTTGAATGTACACAACACAAGGAAGTTACTGGGAATTCTTCTGTCTAGCCTTACATGAAAAAAACCCGTTTCCAACGAAGGCCTCTAAGTGGTCAAAATATCCACGTGCAGACTTTACAAACAGAGTGTTTCCAAACCGCTGAATGAAAAGAAAAGTTAAACTCTGAGAGTTGAACGCAAACATCAAGCAGCAGTTTCTGAGAATGATTCTGTCTAGTTTTTATACGAAGATATTTCCTTTTCTGCCTTTGGCCTCAAAGCGCTTGAAATCTCCACTTGCAAATTCCACAAAAAGAGTGTTTCAAATCTGCTCTGTGTAAATCAAAGTTCAACTCTGTGAGTTGAACGCACACAACACAAGGAAGTTACTGGGAATTCTTCTGTCTAGCATAGTATGAAGAAATCCCGTTTCCAACGAAGGCCTCAAAGAGGTCTGAATATCCACTTGCAGAGTTTACAAACAGAGGGTTTCCTAACTGCTCTATGAAAAGGAAGGTTAAACTCTGTGAGTTGAACGCATACATCACAAAGAAGTTTCTGAGAATGATTCTGTCTAGTTTTTATACGAAGATATTTCCTTTTCTACCATTGACCTCAACGCGGCTGAAATCTCCAATTGCAAATTCCACAAAAAGTGTGTTTCAAGTCTGCTCTGTGTAAAGGATCGTTCAACTCTGTGAGTTGAATACACACAACACAAGGAAGTTAGGGAGAATTCTTCTGTCTAGCAGAATATGAAGAAATCCCGTTTCCAACGAAGGCCTCAAAGAGGTCTGAATATCCACTTGCAGACTTTACAAACAGAGTGTTTCCTAACTGCTCTATGAAAAGAAAAGTTAAACTCTGTGAGTTGAACGCACACGTCACAAAGGAGTTTCTGAGAATCATTCTGTCTAGTTTTTATACGAAGATATTTCCTTTTCTGCCTTTGGCCCCAAAGCGCTTGAAATCTCCACTTGCAAATTCCACAAAGCAGTGTTTCAAATCTGCTCTCTGTAAATGAAAGTTCAACTCTGTCAGTTGAATACACACAACACAAGGAAGTTACTGAGAATTCTTCTGTCTAGCATAATATGAAGAAATCCCGTTTCCAACGAAGGCCTCAAAGAGATCTGAATATCCACATGCAGATTTATAAACAGAGTGTTTACTAACTGCTCTATGAAAAGAAAGGTTAAACTCTGTGAGTTGAACACACACATCACAAAGGAGTTTCTGAGAATCATTCTGTCTAGTTTCTATAGGAAGATATTTCCTATTCTACCATTGACCTCAAAGCGGCTGAAATCTCCAATTGCAAATTCCACAAAAGGAGTGTTTCAAGTCTGCTCTGTGTAAAGGATCGTTCAACTCTGTGAGTTGAATACACACAACACAAGGCAGTTACTGAGAATTCTTCTGTCTAGCACAGTATGAAGAAATCCCGTTTCCAACGAAGGCCTCAAAGAGGTCTGAATATCCACTTGCAGACTTTACAAACAGAGTGTTTCCTAACTGCTCTATGAAAAGAAAGGATAAACTCTGTGAGTTGAACGCACACGTCACAATGAAGTTTCTGAGAATCATTCTGTCTAGTTTTTATACGAAGATATTTCCTTTTCTACCATTGACCTCAAAGCGGCTGAAATCACCACTTGCCAATTGCACAAAAAGAGTGTTTCAAATCTGCTCTGTCTAAGGGAACGTTCAACTCTGTGAGTTGAATGTACACAACACAAGGAAGTTCCTGGGAATTCTTCTGTCTAGCCTTACAAGAAAAAAACCCGTTTCCAACGAAAGCCTCTAAATGGTCAAAATATCCACGTGCAGACTTTACAAACAGAGTGTTTCTAAACTGCTGAATGAAAAGAAAAGTTAAACTCTGAGAGTTGAACGCACACATCGCAGAGCAGTTTCTGAGAATGATTCTGTCTAGTTTTTATACGAAGATATTTCCTTTTCTGCCTTTGGCCTCACAGCGCGTGAAATCTCCACTTGCAAATTCCACAAAAAGAGTGTTTCAAATCTGCTCTGTGTAAATGAAAGTTCAACTCTGTGAGTTGAACACACACAACACAAGGAAGTTACTGGGAATTCTTCTGTCTAGCATAATATGAAGAAATCCCGTTTCCAACGATGGCCTCAAAGAGGTCTGAATATCCACTGGCAGACATTACAAACAGAGTGTTTCCTAACTACTCTATGAAAAGAAAGGTTAAACTCTGTGAGTTGAACGCACACATCACAAAGGAGTTTCTGAGAATCATTTCTGTCTAGTTTCTATAGGAAGATATTTCCTATTCTAACATTGACCTCAAAGCGGCTGAAATCTCCACTTGCAAATTCCACAAAAAGAGTGTTTCAAGTCTGCTTTGTGTAAAGGATCGTTCAACTCTGTGAGTTGAATACACACAACACAAGGAAGTTACTGAGAATTCTTCTGTTTAGCAGAATATGAAGAAATCCCGTTTCCAACGAAGGCCTCAAAGAGGTCTGAATATCCACTTGCAGACTTTACAAACAGAGTGTTTCCTAACTGCTCTATGAAAAGAAAGGTTAAACTCTGTGAGTTGAGCGCACACATCACAAAGGAGTTTCTGAGAATCATTCTGTCTAGTTTCTATAGGAAGATATTTCCTATTCTACCATTGACCTCAAAGCGGCTGAAATCTCCACTTGCAAATTCAACAAAAAGTGTGTTTCAAGTCTCCTCTGTGCAAAGCATCGTTGAACTCTGTGAGTTGAATACACACAACACAAGGAAGTTACTGAGAATTCTTCTGTCTAGCCTTACAGGATAAAAACCCGTTTCCAACGAAGGCCTCTAAGTGGTCAAAATATCCACGTGCAGACTTTACAAACAGAGTGTTTCCAAACTGCTGAATGAAAACAAAAGTTAAACTCTGAGAGTTGAACGCACACATCGCAGAGCAGTTTCTGAGAATGATTCTGTCTAGTTTTTATACGATGATATTTCGTTTTCTGCCATTGACCGCAAAGCGCTTGAAATCTCCACTTGCAAATTCCACAAAAAGAGTGTTACAAATCTGCTCTCTCTAAATGAAAGTTCAACTCTGTCAGTTGAATACACACAATACAAGGAAGTTACTGAGAATTCTTCTGTCTAGCATAATATGAAGAAATCCCGTTTCCAACGAAGGCCTCAAAGAGGTCTGAATATCCACTTGCAGACTTTACAAACAGAGTGTTTCCTAACTGCTCTATGAAAAGAAAAGTTAAACTCTGAGATTTGAACGCACACATCACAAAGGATTTTCTGAGAATCATTCTGTCTAGTCTTTATACGAAGATAGTTTCCTTTTCTACCATTGACCTCAAAGCGCCTGAAATCTCCACTTGCAAATTCCACAAAAAGAGTGTTTCAAGTCTGCTCTGTGTAAAGGATCGTTCAACTCTGTGAGTTGAATACACACAACACAAGGAAGTTGCTGAGAATTCTTCTCTCCAGCAGAATATGAAGAAACCCCGTTTCCAACGAAGGCCTCAAGGAGGTCTGAATATCCACTTGCAGACTTTACAAACAGAGTGTTTCCTAACTGCTCTATGAACAGAAAGGTTAAACTCTGTGAGTTGAACGCACACATCACAAAGGAGTTTCTGAGAATCATTCTGTCTAGTTTTTATACGAATATATTTCCTTTTCTGCGTTTGGCCCCTAAGCGTTTGAAATCTCCACTTGCAAATTCCACAAAAACAGTGTTTCAAATCTGATCTCTCTAAATGAAAGTTCAACTCTGTCAGTTGAATACACACAACACAAGGAAGTTACCGAGAATTCTTCTGTCTAGCCTTATATGAAAAAAACCCGTTTCCAACGAAGGCCTCAAAGAGGTCTGAATATCCACTTGCAGACTTTACAAACAGAGTGTTTCCTAACTGCTCTATGAAAAGAAAGGTTAAACTCTGTGAGTTGAACACACACATCACAAATGAGTTTCTGCGAATCATTCTGTCTAGTCTTTATACGAAGATATTTCCTTTTCTACCATTGACCTCAAAGCGGCTGAAATCTCCACTTGCAAATTCCACAAAAAGAGTGTTTAAAGTCTGCTCTCTGTAAAGGATCGTTCAACTCTGAGAGTTGAATACACACAACACAAGGAAGTTACTGAGAATTCTTCTGTCTAGCCTTACATGAAAAAAACCCGTTTCCAACGAAGGCCTCTAAGTGGTCAAATTATCCACGCGCAGACTTTACAAACAGAGTGTTTCCAAACTGCTGAATGAAAAGAAAAGTTAAACTCTGAGAGTTGAACGCACACATCGCAGAGCAGTTTCTGAGAATGATTCTGTCTAGTTTTTATACGACGATATTTCATTTTCTGCCTTTGGCCTCAAAGCGCTTGAAATCTCCATTTGCAAATTCCACAAAAAGAGTGTTTCAAATCTGCTCTGTGTAAATGAAAGTTCAACTCTGTGAGTTGAACACACACAACACAAGGAAGTTACTGGGAATTCTTCTGTCTAGCATAATATGAAGAAATCCCGTTTCCAACGAAGGCCTCAAGGAGGTCTGAATATCCACTTGCAGACTTTACAAACAGAGTGTTTACTAACTGCTCTATGAAAAGAAAGGTTAAACTGTGTGAGTTGAACGCACACATCACAAAGGAGTTTCTGAGAATCATTCTGTCTAGTTTCTGTAGGAAGATATTTCCTATTCTACCATTGACCTCAAAGCGGCTGAAATCTCCACTTGCAAATTCCACAAAAAGAGTGTTTCAAGTCTGCTCTGTGTAAAGGATCGTTCAACTCTGTGAGTTGAAAACACACAACACAAGGAAGTTACTGAGAATTCTTCTGTCTAGCAGAATATGAAGAAATCCCGTTTCCAACGAAGGCCTCAAGGAGGTCTGAATATCCACTTGCAGACTTTACAAACAGAGTGTTTCCTAACTGCTCTATGAAAAGAAAGGATAAACTTTGTGAGTTGAATGCACACATCACAAAGGAGTTTCTCAGAATCATTCTGTCTAGTTTTTATACGAAGATATTTCCTTTTCTACCATGGACGTCAAAGCAGCTGAAATCTCCACTTGCAAATTCCACAAAAAGAGTGTTTCAAGTCTGCTCTGTGTAAAGGATCGTTCAACTCTGTGAGTTGAATACACACAACACAAGGAAGATTCTGAGAATTCTTCTGTCTAGCAGAATATGAAGAAATCCCGTTTCCAACGAAGGCCTCAAAGAGGTCTGAATATCCACTTGCAGACTTTACAAACAGAGTGTTTCCTAACTGATCTATGAAAAGAAAAGTTAAACTCTGTGAGTTGAACGCACACATCACAAAGGAGTTTCTGAGAATCATTCTGTCTAGTTTTTATACGAAGATATTTCCTATTCTACCATTGACCTCAAAGCGGCTGAAATCTCCACTTGCAAATTCCACAAGAAGAGTGTTTCAAGTCTGCTCTGTGTAAAGGATCGTTCAACTCTGTGAGTTGAATACACACAACACAAGGAAGTTACTGAGAATTCTTCTGTCTAGCATAATATGAAGAAATCTCGTTTCCAACGAAGGCCTCAAGGAGGTCTGAATATCCACTTGCAGACTTTACAAACAGAGTGTTTCCTAACTGCTCTATGAAAAGAAAGGTTAAACTCTGTGAGTTGAACGCACACATCACAAAGGAGTTTCTGAGAATCATTCTGTCTAGTTTCTATAGGAAGATATTTCCTATTCTACCATTGACCTCAAAGCGGCTGAAATCTCCACTTGCAAATTCCACAAAAAGAGTGTTTCAAGTCTGCTCTGTGTACAGGATCGTTCAACTCTGTGAGTTGAATACACACAACACAAGGAAGTTACTGAGAATTCTTCTGTCTAGCAGAATATGAAGAAATCCCGTTTCCAACGAAGGCCTCAAGGAGGTCTGAATATCCACTTGCAGACTTTACAAACAGAGTGTTTCCTAACTGCTCTATGAAAAGAAAGGTTAAACTCTGTGAGTTGAACGCACACATCACAAAGGAGTTCCTGAGAATCATTCTGTCTAGTTTTGAAACGAAGATATTTCCTTTTCTGCCATTGACCCTAAAGCGCTTGAAATCTCCACTTGCAAATTGCACAAAAAGAGTGTTTCAAATCTGCTCTGTCTAAGGGAACGTTCAACTCTGTGAGTTGAATGCACACAACACAAGGAAGTTACTGGGAATTCTTCTGTCTACACTTACATGAAAAAAACCCGTTTCCAAAGAAGGCCTCTAAGTGGTCAAAATATCCACGTGCAGACTTTACAAACAGAGTGTTTTCAAACTGCTGAATGAAAAGAAATGTTAAACTCTGAGAGTTGAACGCACACATCACAGAGGATTTTCTGAGAATGATTCTGTCTAGTTTTTATACGAAGATATTTCCTTTTCTGCCTTTGGCCTCAAAGCGCTTGAAATCTCCATTTGCAAATTCCACAAAAAGAGTGTTTCATATCTGCTCTCTGTAAATGAAAGTTCAACTCTGTGAGTTGAACACACACAACACAAGGAAGTTACTGGGAAATCTTCTGTCTAGCATAATATGAAGAAATCCCGTTTCCAAAGAAGGCCTCAAAGGGGTCTGAATATCCACTTGCAGACTTTACAAACAGAGTGTTTACGAACTGCTCTATGAAAAGAAAGGTTAAACTCTGTGAGTTGAACACACACATCACAAAGGAGTTTCTGAGAATCATTCTGTCTAGTTTTTCTACGAAGATATTTCCTTTTCTACTATTGACCTCAAAGCGGCTGAAATCTCCACTTGCAAATTTCACAAACAGAGTGTTTCAAGTCTGCTCTGTGTAAAGGATCGTTCAACTCTGTGAGTTGAATACACACAACACAAGGAAGTTACTGAGAATTCTTCTGTCTAGCAGAATATGAAGAAATCCCGTTTCCAACGAAGGCCTCAAGGAGGTCTGAATATCCACTTGCAGACTTTACAAACAGAGTGTTTCCTAACTGCTCTATGAAAAGAAAAGTTAAACTCTGTGAGTTGAACGCACACATCACAAAGGATTTTCTGATAATTATTCTGTCTAGTTTTTATACGAAGATATTTCCTTTTCTACCATGGACCTCAAAGTGGCTGAAATCTCCACTTGCAAATTCCACAAAAAGAGTGTTTCAAGTCTGCTCTGTGTGAAGGATCGTTCAACTCTGTGAGTTGAATACACACAACACAAGGAAGATTCTGAGAATTCTTCTTTCTAGCAGAATATGAAGAAATCCCGTTTCCAACGAAAGCCTCAAAGATGTCTGAATATCCACTTGCAGACTTTACAAACAGAGTGTTTCCTAACTGCTCTATGAAAAGAAAGGTTGAACTCTGTGAGTTGAACGCACACATCACAAAGGAGTTTCTGAGAATCATTCTGTCTAGTTTCTATAAGAAGATATTTCCTATTCTACCATTGACCTCAAAGCGGCTGAAATCTCCACTTGCAAATTCGACAAAAAGAGTGTTTCAAGCCTGCTCCCTGTAAAGGATCCTTCAACTCTGTGAGTTGGATACACACAACACAAGGAAGTTACTGAGAATTATTCTGTCTAGCCTTATATGAAAAAAACCCGTTTCCACCGAAGGCCTCAAAGAGGTCTGAATATCCTCTTGCAGACTTTACAAACAGAGTGTTTCCTAACTGCTCTATGAAAAGAAAGGTTAAACTCTGTGAGTTGGACACACACATCACAAAGGAGTTTCTGAGAATCATTCTGTCTAGTCTTTATATGAAGATAGTTTCCTTTTCTACCATTGACCTCAAAGCGGCTGAAATCTCCACTTGCAAATTCCACAAAAAGAGTGTTTCAAGTCTGCTGTGTGTAAAGGATCGTTCAACTCTGTGAGTTGAATACACACAACACAAGGAAGTTACTGAGAATTCTTCTGTCTAGCAGAATATGAAGAAATCCCGTTTCCAACGAAGGCCTCAAGGAGGTCTGAATATCCACTTGCAGACTTTACAAACAGAGTGTTTCCTAACTGCTCTATGAACAGAAAAGTTAAACTCTGTGAGTTGAACGAACACATCACAACGCAGTTTGTGGGAATGATTCTGTCTAGTTTTGAAACGAAGATATTTCCTTTTCTGCCACTGACCTTAAAGCGCTTGAAATCTACACTTGCAAATTGCACAAAGAGAGTGTTTCAAATCTGCTCTGTCTAAGGGAACGTTCAACTCTGTGAGTTGAATGCATAAAACACAACGAAGTTACTGGGAATTCTTCTGTCTAGCCTTACATGAAAAAAACCCGTTTCCAACGAAGACCTCTAAGTGGTCAAATTATCCACGTGCAGACTTTACAAACAGAGTGTTTCCAAACTTCTGAATGAAAAGAAAAGTTAAACTCTGAGAGTTGAAAGCACACATCGCAGAGCAGTTTCTGAGAATGATTATGTCTAGTTTTGAAACGAAGATATTTCCTTTTCTGCCTTTGGCCTCAAAGCGCTTGAAATCTCCACTTGCAAATTCCACAAAAAGAGTGTTTCAAATCTGCTCTGTGTAAATGGAAGTTCAACTCTGTGAGTTGAACACACACAACACAAGGAAGTTACTGGGAATTCTTCTGTCTAGCACAGTATGAAGAAATCCCGTTTCCAACGAAGGCCTCAAAGAGGTCCGAATATCCACTTGCAGAGTTTACAAACAGAGTGTTTCCTAACTGCTCTATGAAAAGAAAGGTTAAACTCTGTGAGTTGAACGCACACATCACAAAGAAGTTTCTGAGAATCATTCTGTCTAGTTTCTATAAGAAGATATTTCCTATTCTACCATTGACCTCAAAGCGGCTGAAATCTCCACTTGCAAATTCGACAAAAAGAGTGTTTCAAGCCTGCTCTCTGTAAAGGATCCTTCATATCTGTGAGTTGAATACACACAACACAAGGAAGTTACTGAGAATTATTCTGTCTAGCAGAATATGAAGAAATCCCGTTTCCAACGAAGGCCTCAAAGAGGTCTGAATATCCACTTGCAGACTTTACAAACAGAGTGTTTCCTAACTGCTCTATGAAAAGAAAGGTCAAACTCTGTGAGTTGAACGCACACATCACAAAGGAGTTTCTGAGAATCGTTTTGTCTAGTTTCTATAAGAAGATATTTCCTATTCTACCATTGACCTCAAAGCGGCTGAAATCTCCACTTGCAAATTCCACAAAAAGAGTGTTTCAAGTCTGCTCTGTGTAAAGGATCATTCAACTCTGTGTGTTGAATAAACACAACACAAGGAAGTTACTGAGAATTCTTCTGTCTAGCATAATATGAAGAAATCCCGTTTCCAACGAAGGCCTCAAAGAAGTCTGAATATCCACTTGCAGACTTTACAAACAGAGTGTTTCCCAACTGCTCTATGAAAAGAGAGGTTGAACTCTGTGAGTTGAACGCACACATCACAAAGGAGTTATGAGAATCATTCTGTCTAGTTTTTATATGAAGATATTTCCTTTTCTACCATTGACCTCAAAGCGGCTGAAATCTCCACTTACAAATTCCACAAAAAGTGTGTCTCAAGTCTGCTCTGTGTAAACGATCGTTCAACTCTGTGAGTTGAATACACACAACACAAGGAAGTTTCTGAGAATTCTTCTGTCTAGCATAATATGAAGAAATCCCGTTTCCAACGAATGCCTCAAGGAGGTCTGAATATCCACTTGCAGACTTTAGAAACAGAGTGTTTCCTAACTGCTCTATGAAAAGAAAGGTTAAACTCTGTGAGTTGAACGCACACATCACAAAGGAGTTTCTGAGAATCATTCTGTCTAGTCTTTATACGAAGATATTTGCTTTTCTACCATTGACCTCAAAGCGGCTGAAATCTCCACTTGCAAATTCCACAAAAAGAGAGTTTCAAGTCTGCTCTGTGTAAAGGATCATTCAACTCTGTGAGTTGAATATACACAACACAAGGAAGTTACTGAGAATTCTTCTGTCTAGCATAATATGAAGAAATCCCGTTTCCAACGAAGGCCTCAAAGAGGTCTGAATATCCACTTGCAGACTTTACAAACAGAGGGTTTCCTAACTGCTCTATGAAAAGAAAAGTTAAACTCTGTGATTTGAACGCACACATCACAAAGGAGTTTCTGAGAATCATTCTGTCTAGTCTTTATACGAAGATAGTTTCCTTTTCTACCATTGACCACAAAGCGGCTGAAATCTCCACTTGCAAATTCCACAAAAAGAGTGTTTCAAGTCTGCTCTGTGTAAAGGATCGTTCAACTCTGTGAGTTGAATACACACAACACAAGGAAGTTGCTGAGAATTCTTCTGTCTAGCAGAATATGAAGAAATCCCGTTTCCAAAGAAGGCCTCAAGGAGGTCTGAATATCCACTTGCAGACTTTACAAACAGAGTGTTTCCTAACTGCTCTATGAAAAGAAAGGTTAAACTCTGTGAGTTGAACGCACACATCACAAAGGAGTTTCTGCGAATCATTCTGTCTAGTCTTTATACGAAGATATTTCCTTTTCTACCATTGACCTCAAAGCGGCTGAAATCCCCACTTGCAAATTCCACAAAAAGAGTGTTTCAAGTCTGCTCTGTGTAAAGGATCGTTCAACTCTGTGAGTTGAATACACACAACACAAGGAAGTTACTGAGAATTCTTCTGTCTAGCCTTACATGAAAAAATCCCGTTTCCAACGAAGGCCGCTAAGTGGTCAAAATTTCCACGTGCAGACTTTACAAACAGAGTGTTTCCAAACCGCTGAATGAAAAGAAAAGTTAAACTCTGAGAGTTGAACGCACACATCACGCAGCAGTTTCTGAGAATGATTCTGTCTAGTTTTGAAACGAAGATATTTCCTTTTCTGCCTTTGGCCTCAAAGCGCATGAAATCTCCACTTGCAAATTCCACAAAAAGAGTGTTTCAAATCTGCTCTGTGTAAATGAAAGTTCAACTCTGTGAGTTGAACACACACAACACAAGGAAGTTACTGGGAATTCTTCTGTCTAGCATAATATGAAGAAATCCCGTTTCCAACGAAGGACTCAAAGGGGTCTGAATATCCACTTGCAGACTTTATAAACAGAGTGTTTACTAACTGCTCTATGAAAAGAAAGGTTAAACTCTGTGAGTTGAACACACACATCACAAAGGAGTTTCTGAGAATCATTCTGTCTTGTTTCTATACGAAGATATTTCCTTTTCTACCATTGACCTCAAAGCGGCTGAAATCTACAATTGCAAATTCCACAAAAAGAGTGTTTCAAGTCTGCTCTGTGTAAAGGATCGTTCAATTCTGTGAGTTGAATACACACAACACAAGGAAGTTACTGAGAATTCTTCTGTCTAGCAGAATATGAAGAAATCCCATTTCCAACGAAGGCCACAAGATGTCAGAATATCCACTTGCAGACTTTACAAACAGAGTGTTTCCTAACTGCTCTATGAACAGAAAGGTTAAACTCTGTGAGTTGAACGAACACATCACAACGCAGTTTGTGGGAATGATTCTGTCTAGTTTTGAAACGAAGATATTTCTTTTACTGCCATTGACCTTAAAGCGCTTGAAATCTCCACTTGCCAATTGCACAAAAAGAGTGTTTCAAATCTGCTGTGTCTAAGGGAACGTTCAACTCTGTGAGTTGAATGTACACAACACAAGGAAGTTACTGGGAATTCTTCTGTCTAGCCTTACAGGAAAGAAACCCGTTTCCAACGAAGGCCTCTAAGTGGTCAAAATATCCATGTGCAGACTTTACAAACAGAGTGTTTCCAAACTGCTGAATGAAAAGAAAAGTTAAACTCTGAGAGTTGAACGCACACATCGCAGAGCAGTTTCTGAGAATGATTCTGTCTAGTTTTTATACGAAGATATTTCCATTTCTGCCTTTGGCCTCAAAGCGCTTGAAATCTCCACTTGCAAATTCCACAAAAAGAGTGTTTCCAATCTGCTCTGTGTAAATGAAAGTTCAACTCTGTGAGTTGAACACACACAACACAAGGAAGTTACTGGGAATTCTTCTGTCTAGCACAGTATGAAGAAATCCCGTTTCCAACGAAGGCCTCAAAGAGGTCTGAATATCCACTTGCAGACTTTACAAACAGAGTGTTTCCTAACTGCTCTATGAAAAGAAAGGTTAAACTCTGTGAGTTGAAGGCACACATCACAAAGGAGTTTCTGAGAATCATTCTGTCTAGTTTTTATACGAAGAGATTTCCTTTTCTACCATTGACCTCAAAGCGGCTGAAATCTCCACTTGCAAATTACACAAAAAGAGTGTTACAAGTCTGCTCTGTGTAAAGGATCCTTCAACTCTGTGAGTTGAATACACACAACACAAGGAAGTTACTGAGAATTCTTCTGTCTAGCATAATATGAAGAAATCCCGTTTCCAACGAAGGCCTCAAAGGGGTCTGAATATCCACTTGCAGACTTTACAAACAGAGTGTTTCCTAACTGCTCTATGAAAAGAAAGGTTAAACTCTGTGAGTTGAACGCACACATCACAAAGGAGTTTCTGAGAATCGTTCTGTCTAGTTTTTATACGAAGATATTTCCTTTTCTACCATTGACCTCAAAGCGGCTGAAATCACCACTTGCCAATTGCACAAAAAGAGTGTTTCAAATCTGCTCTATCTAAGGGAACGTTCAACTCTGTGAGTTGAATGTACACAACACAAGGAAGTTCCTGGGAATTCTTCTGTCTAGCCTTACAGGAAAAAAACCCGTTTCCAACGAAGGCCTCTAAGTGGTCAAAATATCCACGTGCAGACTTTACAAACAGAGTGTTTCCAAACTGCTGAATGAAAAGAAAAGTTAAACTCTGAGAGTTGAACGCACACATCGCAGAGCAGTTTCAGAGAATGATTCTGTCTAGTTTTGAAACGAAGATATTTCCTTTTCTGCCTTTGGCCTCAAAGCGCTTGAAATCTCCACTTGCAAATTCCACAAAAAGAGTGTTTCAAATCTGCTCTGGGTAAATGAAAGTTCAACTCTGTGAGTTGAACACACACAACACAAGGAAGTTAGTGGGAATTCTTCTGTCTAGCATAATATGAAGATATCCCGTTTCCAACGAAGGCCTCAAAGAGGTCTGAATATCCACTTGCAGACTTTACAAACAGAGTGTTTCCTAACTGCTCTATGAAAAGAAAGGTTAAACTCTGTGAGTTGAACGCACACATTTCAAAGGAGATTCTGAGAATCATTCTGTCTAGTTTCTATAAGAAGATACTTCCTATTCTACCATTGACCTGAAAGCGGCTGAAATCTCCACTTGCAAATTCGACAAAAAGAGTGTTTCAAGCCTGCTCTCTGTAAAGGATCCTTCAACTCTGTGAGTTGAATACACACAACACAAGGAAGTTACTGAGAATTCTTCTGTCTAGCATAATATGAAGAAATCCCGTTTCCAACGAAGGCCTCAAAGAGGTCTGAATATCCACTTGCAGACTTTACAAACAGAGTGTTTCCTAACTGCTCTATGAACAGAAAGGTTAAACTCTGTGAGTTGAACGCACACATCACAAAGGAGTTTATGAGAATCATTCTGTCTAGTTTCTATAGGAAGATATTTCCTATTCTACCATTGACCTCAAAGCGGCTGAAATCTCCACTTGCAAATTCCACAAAAAGAGTGTTTCAAGTCTGCTCTCTGTAAAGGATCGTTCAACTCTGTGAGTTGAATACACACAACACAAGGAAGTTTCTGAGAAATATTCTGTATAGCAAAATATGAAGAAATCCGGTTTCCAACGAAGGCCTCAAGGAGGTCTGAATATCCACTTGCAGACTTTACAAACAGAGTGTTTCCTAACTGCTCTATGAAAAGAAAGGTTAAACCCTGTGAGTTGAACGCAGACATCACAAAGGAGTTTCTGAGAATCACTCTGTCTAGTTTTTATACGAAGATATTTCCTTTTCTACCACTGACCTCAAAGCGGCTGAAATCTCCACTTGCCAATTCAACAAAAAGAGTGTTTCAAGTCTACTCTGTGTAAAGGATCGTTGAACTCTGTGAGTTTAAAACACACAACACCAGGACGTTTCTGAGAATTCTTCTGTCTAGCCTTACATGAAAAAAACCCGTTTCCAACGAAGGCCTCAAAGAGGTCTGAATATCCACTTGCAGACTTTAAAAACAGAGTGTTTCCCAACTGCTCTATGAAAAGGAAGGTTAAACTCTGTGAGTTGAACGCACACATCACAAAGAAGTTTCTGAGAATCATTCTGTCTAGTTTCTATAGGAAGATATTTCCTATTCTACCATTGACCACAAAGCGGCTGAAATCTCCACTTGCAAATTTCACAAAAAGAGTGTTTCAAGTCTGCTCTGTGTAAAGGATCGTTCAACTCTGTGAGTTGAGTACACACAACACGAGGAAGTTACTGAGAATTCTTCTGTCTAGCAGAATATGAAGAAATCCCGTTTCCAACGAAGGCCTCAAAGAGGTCTGAATATCCACTTGCAGACTTTACACACAGAGTGTTTCCTAACTGCTCTATGAACAGAAAGGTTAAACTGCTGTGAGTTGAACGAACACATCACAACGCAGTTTGTGGGAATGATTCTGTCTAGTTTTTATAGGAAGATATTTCCTTTTCTACCTTTGACTTCAAAGCGGCTGAAATCTCCACTTGCAAATTCCACAAAAAGAGTGTTACAAGTCTGCTCTGTGTAAAGGATCGTTCAACTCTGTGAATTGAATACACACAACACAAGGAAGTTACTGAGAATTCTTCTGTCTAGCCTTACATGAAAAAAACCCGTTTCCAACGAAGGCCTCTAAGTGGTCAAATTATCCACTTGCAGACTTTACAAACAGAGTGTTTCCAAACTGCTGAATGAAAAGAAAAGTTAAACTCTGAGAGTTGAACGCACACATCGCAGAGCAGTTTCTGAGAATGATTCTGTCTAGTTTTTATACGAAGATATTTCCTTTTCTGCCTTTGGCCCCAAAGCGCTTGAAATCTCCACTTGCAAATTCCACAAAAACAGTGTTTCAAATCTGCTCTCTCTAAATGAAAGTTCAACTCTGTCAGTTGAATACACACAACACAAGGAAGTTAGTGAGAATTCTTCTGTCTAGCAGAATATGAAGAAATCCCGTTTCCAACGAAGGCCTCAAGGAGGTCTGAATATCCACTTGCAGAATTTACAAGCAGAGTGTTTCCTAACTGCTCTATGAAAAGAATGGTTAAACTCTGTGAGTTGAACGCACACATCACAAAGGAGTTTCTGAGAATCATTCTGTCTAGTTTTTATACGAAGATATTTCCTTTTCTACCATTGACCTCAAAGCGGCTGAAATCTCCACTTGCAAATTCCACAAAAAGAGTGTTTCAAATCTGCTCTGTGTAAACCAGAGTTCAACTCTGTGAGTTGAATACACACAACACAAGGAAGTTGCTGAGAATTCTTCTGTCTAGCAGAATAGGAAGAAATCCCGTTTCCAACGAAGGCCACAAGATGTCAGAATATCCACTTACAGACTTTACAAACAGAGTGTTTCCTAACTGCTCTATGAACAGAAATGTTAAACTCTGTGAGTTGAACGAACACATCACAACGCAGTTTGTGGGAATGATTCTGTCTAGTTTTGAAACGAAGATATTTCCTTTTCTGCCATTGACCTTAAGCGCTTGAAATCTCCACTTGCCAATTGCACAAAAAGAGTGTTTCAAATCTGCTCTGACTAAGGGAACGTTCAACTCTGTGAGTTGAATGTACACAACACAAGGAAGTTACTGGGAATTGTTCTGTCTAGCCTTACATGACAAAAACCCGTTTCCAACGAAGGCCTCTAAGTGGTCAAAATATCCACGTGCAGACTTTACAAACAGAGTGTTTCCAAACTGCTGAATGAAAAGAAAAGTTAAACTCTGAGAGCTGAACGCACACATCGCAGAGCAGTTTCTGAGAATGATTCTGTCTAGTTTTTATACGAAGATATTTCCTTTTCTGCCTTTGGCCGCAAATCGCTTGAAATCTCCACTTGCAAATTCCACAAAAACAGTGTTACAAATCTGCTCTCTCTAAATGAAAGTTCAACTCTGTCAGTTGAATACACACAACACAAGGAAGTTACTGAGAATTCTGCTGCCTAGCCTTACATGAAAAAAACCCGTTTCCAACGAAGGCCTCAAAGAAGTCCAAATATCCACGTGCAGACTTTACAAACAGAGTGTTTCCTAACTGCTCTATGAAAAGAAAGGTTAAACTCTGTGAGTTCAACGCACACATCACAAAGGAGTTTCTGAGAATCATTCTGTCTAGTTTCTATAGGAAGATATTTCCTATTCTACCATTGACCTCAAAGCGGCTGAAATCTCCACTTGCAAATTCCGCAAGAAGAGTGTTTCAAGTATGCTCTGTGTAAAGGATCGTTCAACTCTGTGCGTTGAATACACACAACACAAGGAAGTTACTGAGAATTCTTCTGTCAGGCATAATATGAAGAAATCCCGTTTGCAACGAAGGCCTCAAAGAGGTCTGAATATCCACTTGCAGAGTTTACAAACAGAGTGTTTCCTAACTGCTCTATGAAAAGAAAGGTTAAACTCTGTGAGTTGAACGCACACATCACAAAGAAGTTTCTGAGAATCATTCTGTCTAGTTTCTATAGGAAGATATTTCCTATTCTACAATTGACCTCAAAGCGGCTGAAATCTCCACTTGCAAGTTCCACAAAAAGAGTGTTTCAAGTCTGCTCTGTGTAAAGGATCGTTCAACTCTGTGAGTTGAATACACACAACACAAGGAAGTTACTGAGAATTCTTCTGTCTAGCATAATATGAAGAAATCCCGTTTCCAACGAAGGCCTCAACGAGGTCTGAATATCCACTTGCAGACTTTACCAACAGAGTGTTTCCTAACTGCTCTATGAAAAGAAAGGTTAAACTCTGCGAGTTGAACGCACACATCACAAAGGAGTTTCTGAGAATCATTCTGTCTAGTTTCTATAGGAAGATATTTCCTATTCTACCTATTGACCTCAAAGCGGCTGAAATCTCCACTTGCAAATTCCACAAAAAGAGTGTTTCAAGTCTGCTCTGTGTAAAGGATCGTTCAACTCTGTGAGTTGAATACACACAACACAAGGAAGTTCCTGAGAATTCCTCTCTCTAACATAATATGAAGAAATCCCGTTTCCAAAGAAGGCCTCAAAGAGGTCTGAATAGCCACTTGCAGACTTTACATACAGAGTGTTTCCTAACTGCTCTATGAAAAGAAAGGTTAAACTCTGTGAGTTGAACGCACACATCACAAAGGAGTTTCTGAGAATCATTCTGTCTAGTTTCTATAGGAACATATTTCCTATTCTACCATTGACCACAAAGCGGCTGAAATCTCCACTTGCAAATTCCACAAAAACAGTGTTTCAAGTCTGTTCTGTGTAAAGGATCGTTCAACTCTGTAAGTTGAATACACACAACACAAGGAAGTTACTGAGAATTCTTCTGTCTAGCAGAATATGAAGAAATCCCGTTTCCAACGAAGCCCTCAAGGAGGTCTGAATATCCACTTGCAGACTTTACAAACAGAGTGTTTCCTAACCGCTCTATGAAAAGAAAGGTTAAACCCTGTGAGTTGAACGCACACATCACAAAGTAGTTTCTGAGAATCATTCTGTCTGGTCTTTATACGAAGATAGTTTCCTTTTCTACCATTGACCTCAAAGCGGCTGAAATCTCCACTTGCAAATTCCACAAAAAGAGTGTTTCAAGTCTGCTCTGTGTAAAGGATCGTTCAACTCTGTGAGTTGAATACACACAACACAAGGAAGTTACTGAGAATTCTTCTGTCTAGCATAATATGAAGAAATCCCGTTTCCAATGAAGGCCTCAAAGAGGTCTGAATATCCACTTGCAGATTTTACAAACAGAGTGTTTCCTAACGGCTCTATGAAATGAAAAGTTAAACTCTGTGAGTTGAACGCACACATCACAAAGGAGTTTATGAGAATCATTCTGTCTGGTTTATATATGAAGATATTTCCTTTTCTACCATTGACCTCAAAGCGGCTGAAATCTCCACTTACAAATTCCACAAAAAGAGTGTCTCAAGTCTGCTCTGTGTAAACGATCGTTCAACTCTGTGAGTTGAATACACACAACACAAGGAAGTTTCTGAGAATTCTTCTGTCTAGCAGAATATGAAGAAATCCCGTTTCCAACGAAGACCACAAGATTTCAGAATATCCACTTACAGACTTTACAAACAGAGTGTTTCCTAACTGCTCTATGAACAGAAAGGTTAAACTCTGTGAGTTGAACGAACACATCACAACGCAGTTTGTGGGAATGATTCTGTCTAGTTTTGAAACGAAGATATTTCCTCTTCTGCCATTGACCTTAAAGCGCTTGAAATCTACACTTGCCAATTGCACAAATAGAGTGTTTCAAATCTGCTCTGTCTAAGGGAACGTTCAACTCTGTGAGTTGAATGCACACAACACAAGGAAGTTACTGGGAATTCTTCTGTCTAGCCTTACAGGAAAAAAACCCGTTTCCAAAGAAGGCCTCTAAGTGGTCAAAATATCCACGTGCAGACTTTACAAACAGAGTGTTTCCAAACTGCTGAATGAAAAGAAAAGTTAAACTACTGAGAGTTGAACGCACACATCGCAGAGCAGTTTCTGAGAATGATTCTGTCTTGTTTTTATACGAAGATATTTCCTTTTCTGCCTTTGGCCCCAAAGCGCTTGAAATCTCCACTTGCAAATTCCACAAAAACAGTGTTTCAAATCTGCTCTCTCTAAATGAAAGTTCAACTCTGTCAGTTGAATACACACAACACAAGGAAGTTACTGAGAATTCTTCTGTCTAGCATAATATGAAGAAATCCCGTTTCCAACGAAGGCCTCAAACAGGTCTGAATATCCACTTGCAGACTTTACAAACAGAGTGTTTCCTAACTGCTCTATGAGAAGAAAAGTTAAACTCTGTGAGTTGAACGCACACATCACAAAAGATTTTCTGAGAATCATTCTCTCTAGTTTCTATAGGAAGATATTTCCTATTCTACCATTGAACTCAAAGCGGCTGAAATCTCCACTGGCAAATTCCACAAAAAGAGTGTTTCAAGTCTGCTCTGTGTAAAGGATCGTTCAACTCTGTGAGTTGAATACACACAACACAAGGAAGTTACTGAGAATTCTTCGGTCTAGCAGAATATGAAGAAATCCCGTTTCCAACGAAGGCCTCAAGGAGGTCTGAATATCCACTTGCATACTTTACAAACAGAGTGTTTCCTAACTGCTCTATGAACAGAAGGGTTAAACTCTGTGAGTTGAACGAACACATCACAACGCAGTTTGTGGGAATGATTCTGTCTAGTTTTGAAACGAAGATATTTCCTTTTCTGCCGTTGACCTTAAATCGCTTGAAATCTACACTTGCAAATTGCACAAATAGAGTTTTTCAAATCTGCTCTGTCTAAGGGAACGTTCAACTCTGTGAGTTGAATGCACACAACACAAGGAAGTTACTGGGAATTCTTCTGTCTAGCCTTACAGAAAAAAACCCGTTTCCAACGAAGGCCTCTAAGTGGTCAAGTTATCCACGTGCAGACTTTACAAACAGAGTGTTTCCAAACTGCTGAATGAAAAGAAAAGTTAAACTCTGAGAGTTGAACGCACACATCGCAGAGCAGTTTCTGAGAATGATTCTGTCTAGTTTTTATACGAAGATATATCGTTTTCTGCCTTTGGCCACAAAGCGCTTGAAATCTCCACTTGCAAATTCCACAAAAACAGTGTTTCAAATCTGCTCTCTCTAAATGAAAGTTCAACTCTGTCAGCTGAATACACACAACACAAGGAAGTTACTGAGAATTCTTATGTCTAGCCTTATATGAAAAAAACCCGTTTCCAAAGAAGGCCTCAAAGAGGTCTGAATATCCACTTGCAGACTTTACAAACAGAGTCTTTCCTAACTGCTCTATGAAAAGAAAGGTTAAACTCTGTGAGTTGAACGCACACATCACAAAGAAGTTTCTGAGAATCATTCTGTCTAGTCTTTATACGAAGATATTTCCTTTTCTACCATTGACCTCAAAGCGGCTGAAGTCTCCACTTGCAAATTCCACAAAAAGTGTGTTTAAAGTCTGCTCTCTGTAAAGGATCATTCAACTCTGTGAGTTGAATACACACAACACAAGGAAGTTACTGAGAATTCTTCTGTCTTGCAGAATATGAAGAAATCCCGTTTCCAACGAAGGCCTCAAAGAGGTCTGAATATCCACTTGCAGACTTTACAAACAGAGTGTTTCCTAACTGCTCTATGGAAAGAAAAGTTGAACTCTGTGAGTTGAACGCACACATCACAAAGGAGTTTCTGAGAATCATTCTGTCTAGTTTCGATAGGAAGATATTTCCTATTCTACCATTGACCTCAAAGCGGCTGAAATCTCCACTTGCAAATTCCACAAAAAGAGTGTTTCAAGTCTGCTCTCTGTAAAGGATCGTTCAACTCTGAGAGTTGAATACACACAACACAAGGAAGTTACTGAGAATTATTCTGTCTAGCCTTATATGAAAAAAACCCGTTTCCAACGAAGGCCTCAAAGAGGTCTGAATATCCTCTTGCAGACTTTACAAACTGAGTGTTTCCTAACTGCTCTATGAAAAGAAAGGTTAAACTCTGTGAGTTGGACACACACATCACAATGGAGTTTCTGAGAATCATTCTGTCTAGTTTTTATAGGAAGATATTTCCTTTTCTACCTTTGACTTCAAAGCGGCTGAAATCTCCACTTGCAAATTCCACAAAAAGAGTGTTACAAGTCTGCTCTGTGTAAAGGATCGTTCAACTCTGTGAGTTGAATACACACAACCCAAGGAAGTTACTGGGAATTCTTCTGTCTAGCATAATATGAAGAAATCCCGTTTCCAACGAAGGCCTCAAAGAGGTCGGAATATCCACTTGCAGACTTTACAAACAGAGTGTTTCCTAACTGCTCTATGAGAAGAAAAGTTAAACTCGGTGAGTTGAACGCACACATCACAAAAGATTTTCTGAGAATCATTCTGTCTAGTTTTTATACGAAGGTATTTCCTTTTCTACCACGGACCTCAAAGTGGCTGAAATGTCCACTTGCAAATTCCACAAAAAGAGTGTTTCAAGTCTGCTCTGTGTAAAGGATCGTTCAACTCGGTGAGTTGAATACACACAACACAAGGGAAGATTCTGAGAATTCTTCTGTCTAGCCTTATATGAAAAAAACCCGTTTCCAACGAAGGCCTCAAAGAGGTCTGAATATCCACTTGCAGAATTTACAAACAGAGTGTTTCCTAACTGCTCTATGAAAAGAAAGGTTAAACTCTGTGAGTTGAACGCACACATCACAAAGGAGTTTCTGAGAATCATTCTGTCTAGTTTCTATAGGAAGATATTTCCTATTCTACCATTGACCTCAAAGCGGCTGAAATCTCCACTTGCAAATTCCACAAAAAGAGTGTTTCAAGTCTGCTCTGTGTAAAGGATCGTTCAACTCTGTGAGTTGAATACACACAACACAAGGAAGTTACAGAGAATTCTTCTGTCTAGCCTTATATGAAAAAAACCCGTTTCCAACGAAGGCCTCAAAGAGGTCTGAATATCCAATTGCAGACTTTACAAACAGAGTGTTTCCTAACTGCTCTATGAAAAGAAAGGTTAAACTCTGTGAGTTGAACGCACACATCACAAAGGAGTTTCTGAGAATCATTCTGTCTTGTTTCTATACGAAGATATTTCCTTTTCTACCATTGACCTCAAAGCAGCTGAAATCTCCACTTGCAAATTCCACAAAAAGAGTGTTTCAAGTCTGCTCTGTGTAAAGGATCGTTCAATTCTGTGAGTTGAATACACACAACACAAGGAAGTTACTGAGAATTCTTCTGTCTAGCATAATTTGAAGAAATCCCGTTTCCAACGAAGGCCTCAAAGAGGTCTGAATATCCACTTGCAGACTTTACAAACAGAGTGTTTCTTAACTGCTCTATGAGAAGAAAAGTTAAACTCTGTGAGTTGAACGCACACATCACAAAAGATTTTCTGAGAATCATTCTGTCTAGTCTTTATACGAAGATATTTCCTTTTCTACCATTGACCTCAAAGCGGCTGAAATCTCCACTTGCAAATTCCACAAAAAGAGTGTTTCAAGTCTGCTCTGTGTAAAGGATCGTTCAACTCTATGAGTTGAATACACACAACACAAGGAAGTTACTGAGAATTCTTCTGTCTAGCAGAATACGAAGAAATCCCGTTTCCAACGAAGGCTACAAGATGTCAGAATATCCACTTTCATACTTTACAAACAGAGTGTTTCCTAACTGCTCTATGAACAGAAAGGTTAAACTCTGTGGGTTGAACGAACACATCACAACGCAGTTTGTGGGAATGATTCTGTCTAGTTTTTATACGAAAATATTTCCTTTTCTACCATTGACCTCAAAGCGGCTGAAATCACCACTTGCCAATTGCACAAAAAGAGTTTTTCAAATCTGCTCTGTCTAAGGGAACGTTCAACTCTGTGAGTTGAATGTACACAACACAAGGAAGTTACTGGGAATTCTTCTGTCTAGCCTTACAGGAAAAAACCCGTTTCCAACGAAGGCCTCTAAGTGGTCAAATTATCCACGTGCAGACTTTACAAACAGAGTGTTTCCAAACTGCTGAATGAAAAGAAAATTTAAACTCTGAGAGTTGAACGCACACATCGCAGAGCAGTTTCTGAGAATGATTCTGTCTAGTTTTTATACGAAGATATTTCCTTTTCTGCCTTTGGCCTCAAAGCGCTTGAAATCTCCACTTGCAAATTCCACAAAAAGAGTGTTTCAAATCTGCTCTGTGTAAATCAAAGTTCAACTCTGTGAGTTGAACACACACAACACAAGCAAGTTACTGGGAATTCTTCTGTCTAGCACAATATGAAGAAATCCCGTTTCCAACGAAGGCCTCAAAGGGGTCTGAATATCCACTTGCAGACTTTATAAACAGAGTGTTTACTAACTGCTCTATGAAAAGAAAAGTTAAACTCTGTGAGTTGAACGCACACATCAAAAAGGAGTTTCTGAGAATCATTCTGTCTAGTTTCTATAGGAAGATATCTCCTATTCTACCATTGACCTCAAAGAGGCAGAAATCTCCACTTGCAAATTCCACAAAAAGAGTGTTTCAAGTCTGCTCTGTGTAAAGGATCGTTCAACTCTGTGAGTTGAATACACACAACACAAGGAAGTTACTGAGAATTCTTCTGTCTAGCAGAATATGAAGAAATCCCGTTTCCAACGAAGGCCTCAAAGAGGTCTGAATATCCACTTGCAGACTTTACAAACAGAGTGTTTCCTAACTGCTCTATGAAAAGAAAAGTTAAACTCTGTGAGTTGAACGCACACGTCACAAAGGATTTTCTGAGAATCATTCTGTCTAGTTTCTATAGGAAGATATTTCCTATTCTACCATTGACCTCAAAGCGGCTGAAATCTCCACTTGCAAATTCGACAAAAAGAATGTTTCAAGTCTGCTCTGTGTAAAGGATCGTTCAGCTCTGTGAGTTGAATACACACAACACAAGGAAGTTACTGAGAATTCTTCTGTCTAGCAGAATATGAAGAAATCCCGTTTCCAACGAAGGCCACAAGATGTCAGAATATCCACTTACAGACTTAACAGAGTGTTTCCTAACTGCTCTATGAACAGAAAGGTTAAACTCTGTGAGTTGAACGAACACATCACAACGCAGTTTGTGGGAATGATTCTGTCTAGTTTTGAAACCAAGATATTTCCTTTTCTGCCGTTGACCTTAAAGAGCTTGAAAACTACACTTGCAAATTGCACAAATAGAGTGTTTCAAATCTGCTCTGTCTAAGGGAACGTTCAACTCTGTGAGTTGAATGCACACAACACAAGGAAGTTACTGGGAATTCTTCTGTCTAGCCTTACATGAAAAAAACCCATTTCCAACGAAGGCCTCTAAGTGGTCAAAATTTCCACGTGCAGACTTTACAAACAGAGTGTTTCCAAACCGCTGAATGAAAAGAAAAGTTAAACTCTGAGAGTTGAACGCACACATCACGCAGCAGTTTCTGAGAATGATTCTGTCTAGTTTTGAAACGAAGATATTTCCTTTTCTGCCTTTGGCCTCAAAGCGCTTGAAATCTCCATTTGCAAATTCCACAAAAAGAGTGTTTCAAATCTGCTCTGTGTAAATGAGAGTTCAACTCTGTGAGTTGAACACACACAACACAAGGAAGTTACTGGGAATTCTTCTGTCTAGCATAATATGAAGAAATCCCGTTTCCAACGAAGGCCTCAAAGGGGTCTGAATATCCACTTGCAGACTTTATAAACAGAGTGTTTCCTAACTGCTCTATGAAAAGAAAGGTTAAACTCTGTGAGTTGAAAACACACATCACAAAGGAGTTTCTGAGAATCATTCTGTCTAGTCTGTATACGAAGATAGTTTCCTTTTCTACCATTGACCTCAAAGAGGCTGAAATCTCCACTTGCAAATTCCACAAAAAGAGTGTTTCAAGTCTGCTCTGTGTAAAGGATCGTTCAACTCTGTCAGTTGAATACACAGAACACAAGGAAGTTACTGAGAATTCCTCTGTCTAGCAGAATATGAAGAAATCCCGTTTCAAACGAAGGTCACAAGGAGGTGTGAATATCCACTTGCAGACTTTACAAACAGAGTGTTTCCTAACGGCTCTATGAACAGAAAGGTTAAACTCTGTGAGTTGAACGCACACATCACAAAAGAGTTTCTGAGAATCATCTGTCTAGTTTTTATACGAAGATATTTCCTTTTCTACCATGGACCTCAAAGCGGCTGAAATCTCCACTTGCAAATTCCACAAAAAGAGTGTTTCAAGTCTGCTCTGTGTAAAGGATCGTTCAACTCTGTGAGTTGAATACACACAACACAAGGAAAGATTCTGAGAATTCTTCTGTCTAGCAGAATATGAAGAAATCCCGTTTCCAACGAAGGCCACAAGATGTCAGAATATCCACTTACAGAATTTAGAAACAGACTGTTTCCTAACTGCTCTACGAAAAGAAAGGTTAAACTCTGTGAGATGAACGAACACATCACAACGCAGTTTGTGGGAATGATTCTGTCTAGTTTTGAAACGAAGATATTTCCTTTTCTGCCATTGACCTCAAAGCGCTTGAAATCTCCACTTGCCAATTGCACAAAAAGAGTGTTTCAAATCTGCTCTGTCTAAGGAAACGTTCAACTCTGTGAGTTGAATGTACACAACACAAGGAAGTTACTGGGAATTCTTCTGTGTAGCCTTACATGAAAAAAACCCGTTTCCAACGAAGGCCTCTAAGTGGTCAAATTATCCACGTGCAGACTTTACAAACAGAGTGTTTCCAAACTGCTGAATGAAAAGAAAAGTTAAACTCTGAGAGTTGAACGCACACATCGCAGAGCAGTTTCTGAGAATGATTCTGTCTAGTTTTTGTACGAAGATATTTCCTTTTCTGCCTTTGGCCTCAAAGCGCTTGAAATCTCCATTTGCAAATTCCACAAAAAGAGTGTTTCAAATCTGCTCTGTGTAAATGAAAGTTCAACTCTGTGAGTTGAACACACACAACACAAGGAAGTTACTGGGAATTCTTCTGTCTAGCCTTATATGAAAAAAACCCGTTTCCAACGAAGGCCTCAAAGAGGGCTGAATATCCACTTGCAGACTTTACAAGCAGAGTGTTTCCTAACTGCTCTATGAAAAGAAAGGTTAAACTCTGTGAGTTGAACGCACACATCACAAAGGAGTTTACTGAGAATCATTCTGTCTAGTTTCTATAGGAAGATATTTCCTATTCTACCATTGACCTCAAAGCGGCTGAAATCTCCACTTGCAAATTCCACAAAAAGAGTGTTTCAAGTCTGCTCTGTGTAAAGGATCCTTCAACTCTGTGAGTTGAATACACACAACACAAGGCAGTTACTGAGAATTCTTCTGTCTAGCAGAATATGAAGAAATCCCGCTTCCAACGAAGGCCTCAAAGAAGTCTGAATAAGCACTTGCAGACTTTACAAACAGAGTGTTTCCCAACTGCTCTATGAAAAGAAAGGTTGAACTCTGTGAGTTGAACGCACACATCACAAAGGAGTTTCTGAGAATCATTCTGTCTAGTTTTGAAACGAAGATATTTCCTTTTCTGCCTTTGGCCTCAAAGCGCTTGAAATCTCCACTTGCAAATTCCACAAAAAGAGTGTTTCAAATCTGCTCTGTGTAAATGAAAGTTCAGCTCTGTGAGTTGAACACACACAACACAAGGAAGTTACTGGGAATTCTTCTGTCTAGCCTTATATGAAAAAAACCCGTTTCCAACGAAGGCCTCAAAGAGGTCTGAATATCCACTTGCAGACTTTACAAACAGAGTGATTCCTAACTGTTCTATGAAAAGAAAGGTTAAACTCTGTGAGTTGAACACACACATCACAAAGGAGTTTCTGAGAATCATTCTGTCTAGTTTTTATAGGAAGATATTTCCTTTTCTACCTTTGACTTCAAAGCGGCTGAAATCTCCACTTGCAAATTCCACAAAAAGAGTGTTACAAGTCTGCTCTGTGTAAAGGATCGTTCAACTCTGTGACTTGAATACACACAACACAAGGAAGTTACTGAGAATTCTTCTGTCTAGCAGAATATGAAGAAATCCCGTTTCCAACGAAGGCCACAAGATGTCAGAATATCCACTTACAGAATTTACAAACAGACTGTTTCCTAACTGCTCTATGAAAACAAAGGTTAAACTCTGTGAGTTGAACGAACACATCACAACGCAGTTTGTGGGAATGATTCTGTCTAGTTTTGAAACGAAGATATTTCCTTTTCTGCCATTGACCTTAAAGCGCTTGAAATCTACACTTGCAAATTGCACAAATAGAGTGTTTCAAATCTGCTCTGTCTAAGGGAACGTTCAACTCTGTGAGTTTAATGCACCCAACACAAGGAAGTTACTGGGAATTCTTCTGTCTAGCCTTACAGGAAAGAAACCCGTTTCCAATGAAGGCCTCTAAGTGGTCAAAATATCCACGTGCAGACTTTACAAACAGAGTGTTTCCAAACTGCTGAATGAAAAGAAAAGTTAAACTCTGAGAGTTGAACGCACACATCGCAGAGCAGTTTCTGAGAATGATTCTGTCGAATTTTTATACGAAGATATTTCCTTTTCTGCCTTTGGCCTCAAAGCGCTTGAAATCTCCATTTGCAAATTCCACAAAAAGAGTGTTTCAAATCTGCTCTGTGTAAACGGAAGTTCAACTCTGTGAGTTGAACACACACAACACAAGGAAGTTACTGGGAATTCTTCTGTCTAGCAGAATATGAAGAAATCCCGTTTCCAACGAAGGCCTCAAAGAGGTCTGAATATCCACTTGAAGTCTTTACAAACAGAGTGTTTCCTAACTGCTCTATGAAAAGAAAAGTTAAACTCTATGAGTTGAACGCACACATCACAAAGGAGTTTCTGAGAATCATTCTGTCTAACTTTTATACGAAGATATTTCCTTTTCTACCATTGACCTCAATGCGGCTGAAATCTCCACTTGCAAATTCCACAAAAAGTGTGTTTCAAGTCCGCTCTGTGTAAAGGATCGTTCAACTCTGTGAGTTGAATACACACAACACAAGGAAGTTACTGAGAATTCTTCTGTCTTGGAGTATATGAAGAAATCCCATTTCCAACCAAGGCCACAAAATGTCAGAATATCCACTTACAGACTTTACAAACAGAGTGTTTCCTAACTGCTCTATGAACAGAAAGGTTAAACTCTGTGAGTTGAACGAACACATCACAACGCAGTTTGTGGGATTCATTCTGTCTAGTTTTGAAACCAAGATATTTCCTTTTCTGCCATTGACCTTAAAGCGCTTGAAATCTCCACTTGCCAATTGCACAAAAAGAGTATTTCAAATCTGCTCTGTCTAAGGGAACGTTCAACTCTGTGAGTTGAATGTACACAACACAAGGAAGTTACTGGGAATTCTTCTGTCTAGCCTTACAGGAAAAAAACCCGTTTCCAACGAAGGCCTCTAAGTGGTCAAAATATCCACGTGCAGACTTTACAAACAGAGTGTTTCCACACTGCTGAATGAAAAGAAAAGTTAAACTCTGAGAGTTGAACGCACACATCCCAGAGCAGTTTCTGAGCAATGATCTGTCTAGTTTTTATACGAAGATATTTCCTTTTCTGCCTTTGGCCTCAAAGCGCTTGAAATCTCCATTTGCAAATTCCACAAAAAGAGTGTTTCAAATCTGCTCTGTGTAAATGAAAGTTCAACTCTGTGAGTTGAATACACACAACACAAGGAAGTTACTGAGAATCTTCTCTGTCTAGCCTTATATGAAAAAAACCCGTTTCCAACGAAGGCCTCAAAGAGGTCTGAATATCCACTTGCAGTCTTTACAAACAGAGTGTTTCCTAACTGCTCTATGAAAAGAAAGATTAAACTCTGTGAGTTGAACGCACACATCACAAAGGAGTTTCTGAGAATCATTCTGTCTAGTTTTTATATGAAGATATTTCCTTTTCTACCATTGACCTCAAAGCGGCTGAAATGTCCACTTACAAATTCCACAAAAAGAGTGTCTCAAGTCTGCTCTGTGTAAATGATCGTTCAACTCTGTGAGTTGAATACACACAACACAAGGAAGTTTCTGAGAATTCTTCTGTATAGCAGAATATGAAGAAATCCAGTTTCCAACGAAAGCCTCAAAGATGTCTGAATATCCACTTGCAGACTTCACAAACAGAGTGTTTCCTAACTGCTCTATGAAAAGAAAGGTTAAACTCTGTGAGTTGAACGCACACATCACAAAGGAGTTTCTCAGAATCATTCTGTCTAGTTTTTATACGAAGATACTTCCTTTTCTACAATTGACCTCAAAGCGGCTTAAATCTCCACTTGCAAATTCCACAAAAAGAGTGTTTCAAGTCTGCTCAAAGGATCGTTCAACTCTGTGAGTTGAATACACACAACACAAGGAAGTTGCTGAGAATTCTTCTGTCTAGCAGAATATGAAGAAATCCCGTTTCCAACGAAGGCCACAAGATGTCAGAATATCCACTTACAGAAATGACAAACAGACTGTTTCCTAACTGCTCTATGAAAAGAAAGGTTAAACCCTGTGAGTTGAACGAACACATCACAACGCAGTTTGTGGGAATGATTCTGTCTAGTTTTGAAACGAAGATATTTCCTTTTCTGCCATTGAACTTAAAGCGCTTGAAATCTCCATTTGCCAATTGCACAAAAAGAGTGTTTCAAATCTGCTCTGTCTAAGGGAACGTTCAACTCTGTGAGTTGAATGTACACAACACAAGGAAGTTACTGGGAATTCTTCTGTCTAGCCTTACAGGAAAAAAACCCGTTTCCAACGAAGGCCTCTAAGTGGTGAAAATATCCACGTGCAGACTTTACAAACAGAGTGTTTCCAAACTGCTGAATGAAAAGAAAAGTTAAACTCTGAGAGTTGAACACCCACATCGCAGAGCAGTTTCTGAGAATGATTTCTGTCTAGTTTTTATACGAAGATATTTCCTTTTCGGCCTTTGGCCCCAAAGCGGCTGAAATCTCCACTTGCAAATTCCACAAAAACAGTGTTATAAATCTGCTCTCTCTAAATGAAAGTTCAACTCTGTCAGTTGAATACACACAACACAAGGAAGTTACTGAGAATTCTTCTGTCTAGCAGAATATGAAGAAATCCCGTTTCCAACGAAGGCCTCAAGGAGGTCTGAATATCCACTTGCAGACTTTACAAACAGAGTGTTTCCTAAATGCTCTATGAACAGAAAGGTTAAACTCTGTGAGTTGAACGCACACATCACAAAGGAGTTTCTGAGAATCATTCTGTCTAGTCTTTATACGAAGATATTTCCTTTTCTACCATTGACCTCAAAGCGGCTGAAATCTCCACTTGCAAATTCCACAAAAAGAGTGTTTAAAGTCTGCTCTCTGAAAAGGATCGTTCAACTCTGTGAGTTGAATACACACAGCACAAGGAAGTTACTGAGAATTCTTCTGTCTAGCAGAATATGAAGAAATCCCGTTTCCAACGAAAGCCTCAAAGAGGTCTGAATATCCACTTGCAGACTTTACAAACACAGTGTTTCCTAACTGCTCTATGAATAGAAAGGTTAAACTCTGTGAATTGAACGCACACATCACAAAGGAGTTTCTGAGAATCATTCTGTCTAGTTTTTATACGAAGATATTTCCTTTTCTACCATTGACCTCTAAGCGGCTGAAATCTCCACTTGCAAATTCCACAAAAAGAGTGTTTCAAATCTGCTCTGTGTAAACCATCGTTCAACTCTGTGAGTTGAATACACACAACACAAGGAAGATTCTGAGAATTCTTCTGTCTAGCAGAATATGAAGAAATCCCGTTTAAAACGAAGGCCACAAGATGTCAGAATATCCACTTACAGACTTTACAAACAGAGTGTATCCTAACTGCTCTATGAACAGAAAAGTTAAACTCTGTGAGTTGAACGAACACATCACAACGCAGTTTGTGGGAATGATTCTCTCTAGTTTTGAAACGAAGATATTTCCTTTTCTGCCATTGACCTTAAAGCGCTTGAAATCTCCACTTGCCAATTGCACAAAAAGAGTGTTTCAAATCTGCTCTGTCTAAGGGAACTGTTCAACTCTGTGAGTTGAATGTACACAACACAAGGAAGTTACTGGGAATTCTTCTGTCTAGCCTTACATGAAAAAAACCCGTTTCCAACGAAGGCCTCTAAGTGGTCAAAATATCCAGGTGCAGACTTTACAAACAGAGTGTTTCCAAACCGCTGAATGAAAAGAAAAGTTAAACTCTGAGAGTTGAACGCACACATCACGCAGCAGTTTCTGAGAATGATTCTGTCTAGTTTTTATACGAAGATATTTCCTTTTCTGCCTTTGGCCTCAAAGCGCTTGAAATCTCCACTTGCAAATTCCACAAAAAGAGTGTTTCAAATCTGCTCTGTGTAAATGAAAGCTCAACTCCGTGAGTTGAACACACACAACACAAGGAAGTTACTGGGAATTCTTCTGTCTAGCCTTACATGAAAAAAACCCGTTTCCAACGAAGGCCTCAAAGAGGTCTGAATATCCACTTGCAGACTTTACAAACAGAGTGTTTCCTAACTGCTCTATGAAAAGAAAGGTTAAACTCTGTGAGTTGAACACACACATCAGAAAGGAGTTTCTGAGAAACATTCTGTCTAATTTCTATAGGAAGATATTTCCTATTCTACCATTGACCTCAAAGCGGCTGAAATCTCCACTTGCAAATTCCACAAAAAGAGTGTTTCAAGTCTGCTCTGTGTAAAGGATCGTTCAAATCGGTGAGGTGAATACACACAACACAAGGAAGTTACTGAGAATTCTTCTGTCTAGCATAATATGAAGAAATCACGTTTCCAACGAAGGCCTCAAGGAGGTCTGAATATCCACATGCAGACTTTACAAACAGAGTGTTTCCTAACTTCTCTATGAAAAGAAAGGTTAAACTCTGTGAGTTGAACGCACAAATCACAAAGCAGTTTCTGAGAATCATTCGGTCTAGTTTCTATAGGAAGATATTTCCTATTCTACCATTGACCTCAAAGCGGCTGAAATCTCCACTTGCAAATTCCACTAAAACAGTGTTTCAAGTCTGCTCTGTGTAAAGGATCGTTCAACTCTGTGAGTTGAATACACACAACACAAGGAAGTTACTGAGAATTCTTCTGTCTAGCAGAATATGAAGAAATCCCGTTTCCAACGAAGGCCACAAGATGTCAAATTATCCACTTACAGAATTTACAAACAGACTGTTTCCTAACTGCTCTATGAAAAGAAAGGTTAAACTCTGTGAGATGAACGAACACATCACAACGCAGTTTGTGGGAATGATTCTGTCTAGTTTTGAAACGCAGATATTTCCTTTTCTGCCGTTGACCTTAAAGAGCTTGAAAACTACACTTGCAAATTGCACAAATAGAGTGTTTCAAATCTGCTCTGTCTAAGGGAACGTTCAACTCTGTGAGTTGAATGCACACAACACAAGGAAGTTACTGGGAATTCTTCTGTCTAGCCTTACATGAAAAAAACCCGTTTCCAACGAAGGCCTCTAAGTGGTCAAAATATCCACGTGCAGACTTTACAAACAGAGTGTTTCCAAACTGTAGAATGAAAAGAAAAGTTAAACTCTGAGAGTTGAACGCACACATCACAGAGCAGATTCTGAGAATGATTCTGTCTAGTTTTTATACGAAGATATTTCCTTTTCTGCCTTTGGCCCCAAAGCGCTTGAAATCTCCACTTGCAAATTCCACAAAAACAGTGTTTCAAATCTGCCCTCTCTAAATGAAAGTTCAACTCTGTCAGTTGAATACACACAACAGAAGGAAGTTACTGAGAATTCTTCTGTCTAGCACAGTATGAAGAAATCCCGTTTCCAACGAAGTCCTCAAAGAGGTCTGAATATACACTTGCAGAGTTTACAAACAGAGTGTTTCCTAACTGCTCTATGAAAAGAAAGGTTAAACTCTGTGAGTTGAACGCACACATCACAATGAAGTTTCTGAGAATCATTCTGTCTAGTTTTTCTATGAAGATATTTCCTTTTCTACCATTGACCTCAAAGCGGCTGAAATCTCCACTTGCAAATTCCACAAAAAGAGTGTTTCTAATCTGCTCTGTGTAAAGGATCGTTCAACTCTGTGAGTTGAATACACACAACACGAGGAAGTTACTGAGAATTCTTCTGTCTAGCATAATATGAAGAAATCCCGTTTCCAACGAAGGCCTCAAAGAGGTCTGAATATCCACTTGCAGACTTTACAAACAGAGTGTTTCCTAACTGCTCTCTGAAAAGAAAAGTTAAACTCTGTGAGTTGAACGCACACATCACATAGGAGTTTCTGAGAATCATTCTGTCTAGTTTTTATACGAAGATATTTCCTTTTCTACCATTGACCTCAAAGCGGCTGAAATCTCCACTTGCAAATTCCACACAAAGAGTGTTTCAAATCTGCTCTGTGTAAACCATCGTTCAACTCTGTGAGTGGAATACACACAACACAAGGGAAGATTCTGAGAATTCTTCTGTCTAGCAGAATATGAAGAAATCCTGTTTCCAACGAAGGCCACAAGATGTCAGAATATCCACTTTCAGACTTTACAAACAGAGTGTTTCCTAACTGCTCTATGAACAGAAAGGTTAAACTCTGTGAGTTGAACGAACACATCACAACGCAGTTTGTGGGAATGATTCTGTCTAGTTTTGAAACGAAGATATTTCCTTTTCTGCCATTGACCTTAAAGCGCTTGAAATCTCCACTTGCCAATTGCACAAAAAGAGTGTTTCAAATCAGCTCTGTCTAAGGGAACGTTCAAATCTGTGTGTTGAATGTACACAACACAAGGAAGTTACTGGGAATTCTTCTGTCTAGCCTTACAGGAATAAAACCCGTTTCCAACGAAGGCCTCTAAGTGGTCAAAATATCCACGTGCAGACTTTACAAAGAGAATGTTTCCAAACTGCTGAATGAAAAGAAAAATTAAACTCTGAGAGTTGAATGCACACATCGCAGAGCAGTTTCTGAGAATGATTCTGTCTAGTTTTTATACGAAGATATTTCCTTTTCTGCCTTTGGCCTCAAAGCGCTTGAAATCTCCACCTGCAAATTCCACAAAAAGAGTGTTTCAAATCTGCTCTGTGTAAAGGAAAGTTCAACTCTGTGAGTTGAACACACACAACACAAGGAAGTTACTGGGAATTCTTCTGTCTAGCAGAATAGGAAGAAATCCCGTTTCCAACGAAGGCCTCAAGGAGGTCTGAATATCCACTTGCAGACGTTACAAACAGAGTGTTTCCTAACTGCTCTATGAAAAGAAAGGTTAAACTCTGTGAGTTGAACGCACACATCACAAAGGAGTTTCTGAGAATCGTTCTGTCTAGTTTTTGTACGAAGATATTTCCTTTTCTACCATTGACCTCAAAGCGGCTGAAATCTCCACTTGCAAATTCCACAAAACGAGTGTTTCAAGTCCGCTCTGTGTAAAGGATCGTTCAACTCTGTGAGTTGAATCCACACAACACAAGGAAGTTACTGAGAATTCTTCTGTCTAGCCTTACATGAAAAAAACACGTTTCCAACGAAGGCCTCTAAGTGGCCAAATTATCCACGTGCAGACTTTACAAACAGAGTGTTTCCAAACCGCTGAATGAAAAGAAAAGTTAAACTCTGAGAGTTGAACGCACACATCGCAGAGCAGTTTCTGAGAATGATTCTGTCTAGTTTTTATACGAAGATATTTCGTTTTCTGCCTTTGGCCCCAAAGCGCTTGAAATCTCCATTTGCAAATTCCACAAAAACAGTGTTTCAAATCTGCTCTCTCTAAATGAAAGTTCAACTCTGTCAGTTGAATACACACAACACAAGGAAGTTACTGAGAATTCTTCTTTCTTGCAGAATATGAAGAAATCCCGTTTCCAACGAAAGCCTCAAGGATGTCGGAATATCCACTTGCAGACTTTACAAACAGAGTGTTTCCTAACTGCTCTATGAAAAGAAAGGTTAAACTCTGTGAGTTGAAGGCACACATCACAAAGGAGTTTCTGAGAATCATTCTGTCTAGTTTGTATAGGAAGATATTTCCTATTCTACCATTGACCTCAAAGCGGCTGAAATCTCCACTTGCAAATTCCACAAAAAGAGTGTTTCAAGTCTGCTCTGTGTAAAGGATCGTTCAACTCTGTGAGTTGAATACACACAACACAAGGAAGTTACTGAGAATTCTTCTGTCTAGCATAGTATGAAGAAATCCAGTTTCCAACGAAGGCCTCAAAGAGGTCTGAATATCCACTTGCAGAGTTTACAAACAGAGTGTTTCCTAACTGCTCTATGAAAAGAAAGGTTAAACTCTGTGAGTTGAACGCACACATCACAAAGAAGTTTCTGAGAATCATTCTGACTAGTTTTTATACAAAGATATTTCCTTTTCTACCATGGACCTCAAAGCGGCTGAAATCTCCACTTGCAAATTCCACAAAAAGAGTGTTTCAAGTCTGCTCTGTGTAAAGGATCGTTCAACTCTGTGAGTTGAATACACACAACACAAGGAAGATTCTGAGAATTCTTCTGTCTAGCAGAATATGAAGAAATCCCGTTTCCAACGAAGGCCTCAAGGAGGTCTGAATGTCCACTTGCAGACTTTACAAACAGAGTGTTTCCTAACTGCTCTATGAACAGAAAGGTTAAACTCTGTGAGTTGAACGAACACATCACAACGCAGTTTGTGGGAATGATTCTGTCTAGTTTTGAAACGAAGATATTTCCTTTTCTGCCATTGACCTTAAAACGCTTGAAATCTACACTTGCAAATTGCACAAATAGAGTGTTTCAAATCTGCTCTGTCTAAGGGAACGTTCAACTCTGTGAGTTGAATGCACACAACACAAGGAAGTTACTGGGAATTCTTCTGTCTAGCCTTACATGAAAAAAACCCGTTTCCAACGAAGGCCTCTAAGTGGTCAAAATATCCACGTGCAGACTTTACAAACAGAGTGTTTCCAAACTGTAGAATGAAAAGAAAAGTTAAACTCTGAGAGTTGAACGCACACATCACAGAGCAGTTTCTGAGAATGATTCTGTCTAGTTTTTATACGAAGATATTTCCTTGTCTGCCTTTGGCCTCAAAGCGCTTGAAATCTCCACTTGCAAATTCCACAAAAAGAGTGTTTCAAATCTGCTCTGTGTAAATGAAAGTTCAACTCTGTGAGTTGAACACACACAACACAAGGAAGTTACTGGGAATTCTTCTGTCTACCAGAATATGAAGAAATCCCGTTTCCAACGAAGGCCTCAAAGAGGTCTGAATATCCACTTGCAGACTTTATAAACAGAGTGTTTCCTAACTGCTCTAAGAAAAGAAAGGTTAAACTCTGTGAGTTGAACGCACACATCACAAAGGAGTTTCTGAGAATCATTCTGTCTAGTTTTTCTACGAAGATATTTGCTTTTCTACTATTGACCTCAAAGCGGCTGAAATCTCCACTTGCAAATTCCACAAAAAGAGTGTTTTAAGTCTGCTCTCTGTAAAGGATAGTTCAACTCTGTGAGTTGAATACACACAACACAAGGAAGTTACTGAGAATTCTTCTGTCTAGCAGAATATGAAGAAATCGCGTTTCCAACGAAGGCCTCAAGGAGGTCTGAATATCGACTTGCAGACTTTACAAACAGAGTTTTTCCTAACTGCTCTATGAAAAGAATGGTTAAACTCTGTGAGTTGAACGCACACATCACAAAGGAGTTTCTGAGAATCATTCTGTCTAGTTTTTATAGGAAGATATTTCCTTTTCTACCTTTGACTTCAAAGCGGCTGAAATCTCCACTTGCAAATTACACAAAAAGAGTGTTACACGTCTGCTCTGTGTAAAGGATCGTTCAACTCTGTGAGGTGAATACACACAACACAAGGAAGTTACTGAGAATTCTTCTGTCTAGCAGAATATGAAGAAATCCCGTTTCCAACGAAGGCCACAAGATGTCAGAATATCCACTTACAGACTTTACAAACAGAGTGTTTCCTAACTGCTCTATGAACAGAAAGGTTAAGCTCTGTGAGTTGAATGAACACATCACAACGCAGTTTGTGGGAATGATTTCTGTCTAGTTTTGAAACGAAGATATTTCCTTTTCTGCCATTGACCTTAAAGCGCTTGAAATCTACACTTGCAAATTGCACAAATAGAGTGTTTCAAATCTGCTCTGTCTAAGGGAACGTTCAACTCTGTGATTTGAATGCACACAACACAAGGAAGTTACTCGGAATTCTTCTGTCTAGCCTTACGTGAAAAAAACCCGTTTCCAACGAAGGCCTCTAAGTGGTCAAGTTATCCACGTGCAGACTTTACAAACAGAGTGTTTCCAAACTTCTGAATGAAAAGAAAAGTTAAACTCTGAGAGTTGAACGCACACATCGCAGAGCAGTTTCTGAGAATGATTCTGTCTAGTTTTTATACGAAGATATTTCCTTTTCTGCCTTTGGCCTCAAAGCGCTTGAAATCTCCACTTGCAAATTCCACAAAAAGAGTGTTTCAAATCTGCTCTGTGTAAATCAAAGTTCAACTCTATGAGTTGAACACACACAACACAAGGAAGTTACTGGGAATTACTCCTGTCTAGCAGAATATGAAGAAATCCCGTTTCCAACGAAGGCCTCAAGGAGGTCTGAATATCCACTTGCAGACTTTACAAACAGAGTGTTTCCTAACAGCTCTATGAACAGAAAGGTTAAACTCTGTGAGTTGAACGCACACATCACAAAGGAGTTTCTGAGAATCATTTTGTCTAGTTTCTATAAGAAGATATTTCCTATTCTACCATTGACCTCAAAGCGGCTGAAATCTCCACTTGCAAATTCCACAAAAAGAGTGTTTCAAGTCTGCTCTGGGTAAAGGATCATTCAACTCTGTGTGTTGAATAAACACAACACAAGGAAGTTACTGAGAATTCTTCTGTCTAGCCTTACATGAAAAAAACCCTTTTCCAACGAAGGCCTCTAAGTGGTCAAGTTATCCACGTGCAGACTTTACAAACAGAGTGTTTCCAAACTGCTGAATGAAAAGAAAAGTTAAACTCTGAGAGTTGAACGCACACATCGCAGAGCAGTTTCTGAGAATGATTCTGTCTAGTTTCTATAGGAAGATATTTCCTATTCTACCATTGACCACAAAGCGGCTGAAATCTCCACTTGCAAATTCCACAAAAAGAATGTTTCAAGTCTGCTCTGTGTAAACGATCGTTCAACTCTGTGAGTTGAATACACACAACACAAGGAAGTTACTGAGAATTCTTCTGTCTAGCAGAATATGAAGAAATCCCGTTTCCAACGAAGGCCTCAAGGAGGTCTGAATATCCACTTGCAGACTGTACAAATAGAGTGTTTCCTAACTGCTCTATGAAAAGAAAGGTTAAACTCTGTGAGTTGAACGCACACATCACAAAGGAGTTTCTGAGAATCATTCTGTCTAGTTTTTATACGAAGATATTTCCTTTTCTGCCATTGACCTCAAAGCGGCTGAAATCTCCACTTGCAAATTCCACAAAAAGAGTGTTTCAAGTCTGCTCTGTGTAAAGGATCGTTGAACTCTGTGAGTTGAATACACACAACACAAGGAAGTTACTGAGAATTCTTCTGTCTAGCATAATATGAAGAAATCCCGTTTCCAACGAAGGCCTCAAAGAGGTCTGAATATCCACTTGCAGACTTTACAAACAGAGTGTTTCCTAACTGCTCTATGAGAAGAAAAGTTAAACTCTGTGAGTTGAACACACACATCACAAAAGATTTTCTGAGAATCATTCTGTCTAGTTTTTATACGAAGATATTTCCTTTTCTTCCATTGACCTCAAAGCGGCTGAAATCTCCACCCTGCCAATTCCACAAAAAGGGTGTTTCAAGTCTACTCTGTGTAAAGGATCGTTGAACTCTGTGAGTTGAAAACACACAACACAACGAACTTTCTGAGAATTCTTCTGTCTAGCATAGTATGAAGAAATCCCGTTTCCAACGAAGGCCTCAAAGAGGTCTGAATATCCACTTGCAGAGTTTACAAACAGAGTGTTTCCTAACTGCTCTAAGAAAAGAAAGGTTAAACTCTGTGAGTTGAACGCACACATCACAAAGAAGTTTTTGAGAATCATTCTGTCTAGTTTCTATAGGAAGATATTTCCTATTCTACCATTGACCTAAAAGCGGCTGAAATCTTCTCTTGCAAATTCCACAAAAGGAGTGTTTCAAGTCTGCTCTGAGTAAAGGATCGTTCAACTCTGTGAGTTGAATACACACAACACAAGGAAGTTTCTGAGAATTCTTCTGTCTAGCAGAATATGAAGAAATCCCGTTTCCAACGAAGGCCACAAGATGTCAGAATATCCACTTACAGAATTTACAAACAGACTGTTTCCTAACTGCTCTATGAAAAGAAAGGTTAAACTCTGTGAGTTGAATGAACACATCACAACGCAGTTTGTGGGAATGATTCTCTCTAGTTTTGAAACGAAGATATTTCCTTTTCTGCCATTGACCTTAAAGCGCTTGAAATCTCCACTTGCCAATTGCACAAAAAGAGTGTTTCAAATCTGCTCTGTCTAAGGGAACGTTCAACTCTGTGAGTTGAATGTACACAACACAAGGAAGTTACTGGGAATTCTTCTGTCTAGCCTTACATGAAAAAAACCCGTTTCCAACGAAGGCCTCTAAGTGGTCAAATTATCCACGTGCAGACTTTACAAACAGAGTGTTTCCAAACTGCTGAATGAAAAGAAAAGTTAAACTGCTGAGAGTTGAACGCACACATCGCAGAGCAGTTTCTGAGAATGATTTCTCTCTAGTTTTGAAACGAAGTTATTTCCTTTTCTGCCTTTGGCCTCAAAGCGCTTGAAATCTCCATTTGCAAATTCCACAAAAAGAGTGTTTCAAATCTGCTCTGTGTAAATGAAAGTTCAACTCTGTGAGTTGAACACACACAACACAAGGGAGTTACTGGGAATTCTTCTGTCTAGCATAATATGAAGAAATCCCGTATCCAACGAAGGCCTCAAGCAGGTCTGAATCTCCACTTGCAGACTTTACAAACAGAGTGTTTCCTAACTGCTCTATGAAAAGAAAGGTTAACCTCTGTGAGTTGAACGCACACATCACAAAGGAGTTTCTGAGAATCATTCTGTCTAGTTTCTATAAGAAGATATTTCCTATTCTACCATTGGCTTCAAAGCGGCTGAAATCTCCACTTGCAAATTCGACAAAAAGAGTTTTTCAATCCTGCTCTCTGTAAAGGATCCTTCAACTCTGTGAGTTGAATACACACAACACAAGGAAGTTACTGAGAATTCTTCTGTCTAGCCTTACATGAAAAAAACCCGTTTCCAACGAAGGCCTCTAAGGGGTCAAAATATCCTCGTGCAGACTTTACAAACAGAGTGTTTCCAAACCGCTGAATGAAAAGAAAAGTTAAACTCTGAGAGTTGAACGCACACATCACGCAGCAGTTTCTGAGAATGATTCTGTCTAGTTTTTATACGAAGATATTTCCTTTTCTGCCTTTGGCCTCAAAGCGCTTGAAATCTCCATTTGCAAATTCCACAAAAAGAGTGTTTCAAACCTGCTCTGTGTAAATGAAAGTTCAACTCTGTGAGTTGAACACACACAACACAAGGAAGTTACTGGGAATTCTTCTGTCTAGCCTTATATGAAAAAAACCCGTTTCCAACGATGGCCTCAAAGAGGGCTGAATATCCACTTGGAGACTTTACAAGCAGAGTGTTTCCTAACTGCTCTATGAAAAGAAAGGTTAAACTCTGTGAGTTGAACACACACATCACAAAGGAGTTTCTGAGAATCATTCTGTCTAGTTTTTATACGAAGATATTTCCTTTTCTACCATTGACCTCAACGCGGCTGAAATCTCCACTTGCAAATTCCACAAAAAGAGTGTTTCAAGTCTGCTCTGTGTAAAGGATCGTTCAACTCTGTGAGTTGAATACACACAACACAAGGAAGTTACTGAGAACTCTTCTGTCTAGCATAATATGAAGAAATCCCGTTTCCAACGAAGGCCTCAAGGAGGTCTGAATATCCACTTGCAGACTTTACAGAGTGTTTCCTAACTGCTCTATGAAAAGAAAGGTTAAACTGTGTGAGTTGAACGCACACATCACAAAGGAGTTTCTGAGAATCATTCTGTCTAATTTCTATAGGGAGATACTTCCTATTCTACCATTGACCTCAAAGCGGCTGAAATCTCCACTTGCAAATTCCACAAAAAGAGTGTTTCAAGTATGCTCTGTGTAAAGGATCGTTTAACTCTGTGAGTTGAATACACACACTACAAGGAACTTACTGAGAATTCTTCTGTCTAGCATAATATGAAGAAATCCCGTTTCCAACGAAGGCCTCAAGCAGGTCTGAATCTCCACTTGCAGACATTACAAACAGAGTGTTTCCTAACTGCTCTATGAAAAGAAAGGTTAACCTCTGTGAGTTGAACGCACACATCACAAAGGAGTTTCTGAGAATCATTCTGTCTAGTTTTGAAACGAAGATATTTCCTTTTCAACCATTGACCTCAAAGCGGCTGAAATCTCCAATTGCAAATTCCACAAAAAGAGTGTTTCAAGTCTGCTCTGTGTAAAGCGTCGCTCAACTCTGTGAGTTGAATACACACAACACGAGGAAGTTACTTAGAATTCTTCTGTCTAGCCTTACATGAAAAAAACCCGTTTCCAACGAAGGCCTCTAAGTGGTCAAGTTATCCACGTGCAGACTTTACAAACAGAGTGTTTCCAAACTGCTGAATGAAAAGAAAAGTTAAACTCTGAGAGTTGAACGCACACATCGCAGAGCAGTTTCTGAGAATAATTCTGTCTAGTTTTTATACGAAGATATTTCCTTTTCTGCCTTTCGCCTCAAAGCGCTTGAAATCTCCACTTGCAAATTCCACAAAAAGAGTGTTTCAAATCTGCTCTGTGTAAATGAGAGTTCAACTCTCTGAGTTGAACACACACAACACAAGGAAGTTACTGGGAATTCTTCTGTCTAGCCTTATATGAAAAAAACCCGTTTCCAACGAAGGCCTCAAAGAGGTCTGAATATCCTCTTGCAGACTTTACAAACAGAGTGTTTCCTAACTGCTCTATGAAAAGAAAGGTTAAACTCTGTGAGTTGAACACACACATCACAAAGGAGTTTCTGAGAATCATTGTCTGTCTAGTTTTTATACGAAGATATTTCCTTTTCTACCATTGACCTCAAAGCGGCTGAAATCTCCACTTGCAAATTCCACAAAAAGAGTGTTTCAAGTCTGCTCTGTGTAAAGGATCGTTGAACTCTGTGAGTTGAATACACAAAACACAAGGAAGTTACTGAGAATTCTTCTGTCTAGCATAATATGAAGAAATCCCGTTTCCAAAGAAGGCCTCAAGGAGCTCTGAATATCCACTTGCAGACTTTACAAACAGAGTGTTTCCTAACTGCTCTATGAAAAGAAAGGTTAAACTCTGTGAGTTGAACGCACACATCACAAAGGAGTTTCTGAGAATCATTCTGTCTAGTCTTTATACGAAGATATATCCTTTTCTACCATTGACCTCAAAGCGGCTGAAATCTCCACTTGCGAATTCCACAAAAAGAGTGTTTCAAGTCTGCTCTCTGTAAAGGATCGTTGAACTCTGTGAGTTGAATACACACAACACAAGGGAAGTTACTGAGAATTATTCTGTCTAGCAGAATATGAAGAAATCCCGTTTCCAACGAAGGCCTCAAAGAGGTCTGAATATCCACTTGCAGACTTTACAACCAGAGTGTTTCCTAACTGCTCTATGAAAAGAAAGGTTAAACTCTGTGAGTTGAACGAACACATCACAACGCAGTTTGTGGGAATGATTCTGTCTAGTTTTGAAAGGAAGATATTTCCTTTTCTGCCATTGACCTGAAAGCGCTTGAAATCTACACTTGCAAATTGCACAAATAGAGTGTTTCAAATCTGCTCTGTCTAAGGGAACGTTCAAGTCTGTGAGTTGAATGCACACAACACAAGGAAGTTACTGGGAATTCTTCTGTCTAGCCTTACATGAAAAAAACCCATTTCCAACGAAGGCCTCTAAGGGGTCAAAATATCCACTTACAGACTTTACAAACAGAGTGTTTCCAAACCGCTGAATGAAAAGAAAAGTTAAACTCTGAGAGTTGAACGCACACATCACGCAGCAGTTTCTGAGAATGATTCTGTCTAGTTTTTATACGAAGATATTTCCTTTTCTGCCTTTGGCCCCAAACCTCTTGAAATCTCAACTTGCAAATTCCACAAAAACAGTGTTTCAAATCTGCTCTCTCTAAATGAATGTTCAACTCTGTCAGTTGAATACACACAACACAAGGAAGTTACTGAGAATTCTTCTGTCTAGCATAATATGAAGAAATCCCGTTTCCAACGAAGGCCTCAAGGAGGTCTGAATATCCACTTGCAGACTTTACAAACACAGTGTTTCCTAACTGCTCTATGAAAAGAAAGGTTAAACTCTGTGAGTTGCACGCACACATCACAAAGGAGTTTCTGAGAATCATTCTGTCTAGTTTTTATACGAAGATGTTTCCTTTTCTACCATTGACCTCAAAGCGGCTGAAAGCTCCACTTGCAAATTCCACAAAAAGAGTGTTTCAAGTCTGCTCTCTGTAAAGGATCGTTGAACTCTGTGAGTTGAATACACAAAACACAAGGAAGTTACTGAGAATTCTTCTGTCTAGCAGAATATGAAGATATCCCGCTTCCAACGAAGGCCTCAAAGAAGTTTGAATATCCACTTGCAGACTTTACAAACAGAGTGTTTTCCAACTGCTCTATGAAAAGAAAGGTTGAACTCTGTGAGTTGAACGCACACATCACAAAGGAGTTTCTGAGAATCATTCTGTCTAGTTTCTATAGGAAGATATTTCCTATTCTACCATTGACCTCAAAGCGGCTGAAATCTCCACTTGCAAATTCCAGAAAAAGAGTGTTTCAAGTCTGCTCTGTGTAAAGGATCGTTGAAGTCTGTGAGTTGAATACACACAACACAATGAAGTTACTGAGAATTCTTCTGTCTAGCAGAATATGAAGAAATCCCGTTTCCAACGAAGGCCACAAGATGTCAGAATATCCACTTACAGAATTTACAAACAGACTGTTTCCTAACTGCTCTACGAAAAGAAAGGTTAAACTCTGTGAGATGAACGAACACATCACAACGCAGTTAGTGGGAATGATTCTGTCTAGTTTTGGAACGAAGATATTTCCTTTTCTGCCATTGACCTTAAAGCCCTTGAAATCTACACTTGCAAATTGCACAAATAGAGTGTTTCAAATCTGCTCTGTCCAAGCGAACGTTCATCTCTGTGAGTTGAATGCACACAACACAAGGAAGTTACTGGGAATTCTTCTGTCTAGCCTTACATGAAAAAAACCAGTTTCTAACGAAGGCCTCTAAGTGGTCAAAATATCCACGTGCAGACTTTACAAACAGAGTGTTTCCAAACCGCTGAATGAAAAGAAAAGTTAAACTGTGAGAGTTGAACGCACACATCACGCAGCAGTTTCTGAGAATGATTCTGTCTAGTTTTTATACGAAGATATTTCCTTTTCTGCCTTTGGCCTCAAAGCGCTTGAAATCTCCACTTGCAAATTCCACAAAAAGAGTGTTTCAAATCTACTCTGTGTAAATCAAAGTTCAACTCTGTGAGTTGAACACACACAACACAAGGAAGTTACTGGGAATTCTTCTGTCTATCAGAATATGAAGAAATCCCGTTTCCAACGAAGGCCTCAAAGAGGTCTGAATATCCACTTGCAGACTTTACAAACAGAGTGTTTCCTAACTGCTCTATGAAAAGAAAGGTTAAACTCCGTGAGTTGAACGCACACATCACAAAGGAGTTTCTGAGAATCATTCTGTCTAGTTTCTATAGGAAGATATTTCCTTTTCTACCATTGACCTCAAAGCGGCTGAAATCTCCACTTGCAAATTCCACAAAAACAGTGTTTCAAGTAGGCTCTGTGTAAAGGATCGTTCAACTCTGTGAGTTGAATACACACAACACAAGGAAGTTACTGAGAATTCTTCTGTCTAGCCTTACATGAAAAAAACCCGTTTCCAACGAAGGCCTCTAAGTGGTCAAAATATCCACGTGCAGACTTTGCAAACAGAGTGTTTCCAAACTGCTGAATGAAAAGAAAAGTTAAACTACTGAGAGTTGAACGCACACATCGCAGAGCAGTTTCTGAGAATGATTCTGTCTCGTTTTTATACGAAGATATTTCCTTTTCTGCCTTTGGCCCCAAAGCGCTTGAAATCTCCACTTGCAAATTCCACAAAAACAGTGTTTCAAATCTGCTCTCTCTAAATGAAAGTTCAACTCTGTCAGTTGAATACACACAACACAAGGAAGTTACTGAGAATTCTTCTGTCTAGCCTTATATGAAAAAAACCCGTTTCCAACGAAGGCCTCAAAGAGGTCTGAATATCCACCTGCAGACTTTACAAACAGAGTGATTCCTAACTGCTCTATGAAAAGAAAGGTTAAACTCTGTGAGTTGAACACACACATCTCAAAGGAGTTTCTGAGAATCATTCTGTCTAGTTTCTTTACGAAGATATTCCCTTTTCTACCTTTGACCTCAACGCGGCCGAAATCTCCACTTGCAAATTCCACAAAAACAGTGTTTCAAGTCTGCTCTGTGTAAAGGATCGTTCAACTCTGTGAGTTGAATACACACAACACAAGGAAGTTACTGAGAATTCTTCTGTCTAGCAGAATATGAAGAACTCCCGTTTCCAAGGAAAGCCTCAAAGAGGTCTGAATATCCACTTGCAGACTTTACAAACAGAGTGTTTCCTAACTGCTCTATGAAAAGAAAGGTTAAACTCTGTGAGTTGAACGCACACATCACAAAGGAGTTTCTGAGAATCATTCTGTCTAGTCTTTATACGAAGATATTTACTTTTCTACCATTGACCTCAAAGCGGCTGAAATCTCCACTTGCAAATTCCACAAAAAGAGTGTTTCAAGTCTGCTCTGTGTAAAGGATCATTCAACTCTGTGAGTTGAATAAACACAACACAAGGAAGTTACTGAGAATTCCTTTCTGTCTAGCAGAATATGAAGAAATCCCGTTTCCAACGAAGGCCACAAGATGTCAGAATATCCACTTACAGAATTTACAAACAGACTGTTTCCTAACTGCTCTATGAAAAGAAAGGTTAAACTCTCTGAGATGAACGAACACATCACAACGCAGTTTTTGGGAATGATTCTGTCTAGTTTTGAAACGAAGATATTTCCTTTTCTGCCATTGACCTTAAAGCGCTTGAAGTCTCCACTTGCCAATTGCACAAAAAGAGTGTTTCAAATCTGCTCTGTCTAAGGGATCGTTCAACTCTGTGAGTTGAATATACACAACACAAGGAAGTTACTGGGAATTCTTCTGTCTAGCCTTAAATGAAAAAAACCCGTTTCCAACGAAGGCCTCTAAGTGGTCAAAATATCCACGTGCAGACTTTACAAACAGAGTGTTTCCAAACTGCTGAATGAAAAGAAAAGTTAAACTCTGAGAGTTGAACGCACACATCACAGAGTAGTTTCTGAGAATGATTCTGTCTAGTTTTTATACGAAGATATTTCCTTTTCTGCCTTTGGCCCCAAAGCGCTTGAAATCTCCACCTGCAAATTCCACAAAAAGAGTGTTTCAAATCTGCTCTGTGTAAATGAAAGTTCAACTCTGTGAGTTGAACACACACAACACAAGGAAGTTACTGGGAATTCTCTGTCTAGCAGAATATGAAGAAATCCCGTTTCCAACGAAGGCCTCAAAGAGGTCTGAATATCCACTTGCAGACTTTACAAACAGAGTGTTTCCTAACTGCTCTATGAAAAGAAAGGTTAAACTCTGTGAGTTGAACGTACACATCACAAAGGGGTTTCTGAGAATCATTCTGTCTAGTCTTTATACGAAGATATTTCCTTTTCTACCATTGACCTCAAAGCGGCTGAAATCTCCACTTGCAAATTCCACAAAAAGAGTGTTTCAACTATGCTCTGTGTAAAGGATCGTTCAACTCTGTGAGTTGAATACACACAACACAAGGAAGTTACTGAGAATTCTTCTGTCTAGCGGAATATGAAGAAATCCCGTTTCCAACGAAGGCCAGAAGATGTCAGAATATCCACTTACGGACTTTACAAAGAGAGTGTTTCCTAACTGCTCTATGAACAGAAAGGTTAAACTCTGTGAGTTGAACGAACACATCACAACGCAGTTTGTGGGAATGATTCTGTCTAGTTTCTATAGGAAGATATTTCCTATTCTACCATTGACCTCAAAGCGGCTGAAATCTCCACTTGCAAATTCCACAAAAAGAGTTTTTCAAGTCTGCTCTGTGTAAAGGATCGTTCAATTCTGTGAGTTGAATACACACAACACAAGGAAGTTACTGAGAATTCTTCTGTCTAGCAGAATATGAAGAAATCCCGTTTCCAACGAAGGCCACAAGATGTCAGAATATCCACTTACAGAATTGACAAACAGACTGTTTCCTAACTGCTCTATGAAAAGAAAGGTTAAACTCTGTGAGTTGAACAAACACATCACAACGCAGTTTGTGGGAATGATTCTGTCTAGTTTTTATATGAAGATATTTCCTTTTATACCATTGACCTCAAAGCGGCTGAAATCACCACTTGCCAATTGCACAAAAAGAGTGTTTCAAATCTGCTGTGTCTAAGGAAACGTTCAACTCTGTGAGTTGAATGTACACAACACAAGGGAAGTTACTGGGAATTCTTCTCTCTAGCCTTACATGAAAAAAACCCGTTTCCAACGAAGGCCTCTAAGTGGTCAAAATATCCACGTGCAGACTTTACAAACAGAGTGTTTCCAAACCGCTGAATGAAAAGAAAAGTTAAACTCTGAGAGTTGAACGCACACATCACGCAGCAGTTTCTGAGAATGATTCTGTCTAGTTTTTATACGAAGATATTCCCTTTTCAGCCTTTGGCCCCAAAGCGCTTGAAATCTCCACTTGCAAATTCCACAAAAACAGTGTTTCAAATCTGCTCTCTCTAAATGAAAGTTCAACTCTGTCAGTTGAATACACACAACACAAGGAAGTTACTGAGAATTCTTCTGTCTAGCATAATATGAAGAAATCCCGTTTCCAACGAAGGCCTCAAAGAGGTCTGAATATCCACTTGCAGACCTTACAAACAGAGTGTTTCCTAACTGCTCTATGAAAAGAAAAGTTAAACTCTGTGAGTTGAACGCACACATCACAAAGGAGTTTCTGAGAATCATTCTGTCTAGTTTCTATAGGAAGATATTTCCTATTCTACCATTGACCTCAAAGAGGCTGAAATCTCCACTTGCAAATTCCACAACAAGAGTGTTTCAAGTATGCTCCGTGTAAAGGATCGTTCAACTCTGTGAGTTGAATACACACAACACAAGGAAGTTACTGAGAATTCTTCTGTCTAGCATAGCATGAAGAAATCCCGTTTCCAACGAAGGCCTCAAAGAGGTCTGAATATCCACTTGCAGACTTTACAAACAGAGTGTTTCCTAACTGCTCTATGAAAAGAAAGGTTAAACTCTGTGAGTTGAACGCACACATCACAAAGAAGTTTCTGAGAATCATTCTGTCTAGTTTTTATACGAAGATATTTCCTTTTCTACCATTGACCTCAAAGAGGCTGAAATCTCCACTTGCAAATTCCACAAAAAGAGTGTTTCAAATCTGCTGTGTGTAAACCATCGTTCAACTCTGTGAGTTGAATACACACAACACAAGGAAGATTCTGAGAATTCTTCTGTCTAGCAGAATATGAAGAAATCCCGTTTCCAACGAAGGCCAGAAGATGTCAGAATATCCACTTACAGACTTTACAAACAGAGTGTTTCCTAACTGCTCTATGAACGGAAAGGTTAAACTCTGTGAGTTGAACGAACACATCACAACGCAGTTTGTGGGAATGATTCTGTCTAGTTTTGAAACGAAGATATTTCCTTTTCTGCCATTGACCTTAAAGCGCTTGAAATCTACACTTGCAAATTGCACAAATAGAGTGTTTCAAATCTGCTCTGTCTAAGGGAACGTTCATCTCTGTGAGTTGAATGCACACAACACAAGGAAGTTACTGGGAATACTTCTGTCTAGCCTTATATGAAAAAAACCCGTTTCCAACGAAGGCCTCTAAGTGGTCAAGTTATCCACGTGCAGTCTTTACAAACAGAGTGTTTCCAAACTTCTGAATGAAAAGAAAAGTTAAACTCTGAGAGTTGAACGCACACATCGCAGAGCAGTTTCTGAGAATGATTCTGTCTAGTTTTTATACGAAGATATTTCCTTTTCTGCCTTTGGCCTCAAAGCGCTTGAAATCTCCACTTGCAAATTCCACAAAAAGAGTGTTTCAAATCTGCTCTGTGTAAATGAAAGTTCAACTCTGTGAGTTGAACACACATAACACAAGGAAGTTACTGGGAATTCTTCTGTCTAGCATAATAGGAAGAAATCCCGTTTCCAACGAAGGCCTCAAGGAGGTCTGAATATCCACTTGCAGACTTTACAAACAGAGTGTTTCCTAACTGCTCTATGAAAAGAAAGGTTAAACTCTGTGAGTTGAACTGCACACATCACAAAGGAGTTTCTGAGAATCATTCTGTCTAGTTTCTATAGGAAGATATTTCCTATACTACCATTGACCTCAAAGCGGCTGAAATCTCCACTTGCAAATTCCACAAATAGAGTGTTTCAAGTCTGCTCTGTGTAAAGGATCGTTCAACTCTGTGAGTTGAATACACACAACACAAGGAAGTTACTGAGAATTCTTCTGTCTAGCATCATATGAAGAAATCCCGTTTCCAACGAAGGCCTCAAGGAGGTCTGAATATCCACTTGCAGACTTTACAAACAGAGTGTTTCCTAACTGCTCTATGAAAAGAAAGGTTAAACTCTGTGAGTTGAACGCACACATCACAAGGGAGTTTCTGAGAATCATTCTGTCTAGTTTTTATACGAAGATATTACCTTTTCTACCATGGACCTCAAAGCGGCTGAAATCTCCACTTGCAAATTCCACAAATAGAGTGTTTCAAATCTGCTCTGTGTAAACCATCGTTCAACTCTGTGAGTTGAATACACACAACACAAGGAAGATTCTGAGAATTCTTCTGTCTAGCAGAATATGAAGAAATCCCGTTTCCAACGAAGGCCTCAAGGAGGTCTGAATATCCACTTGCAGACTTTGCAAACAGAGTGTTTCCTAACTGCTCTATGAACAGAAAGGTTAAACTCTGTGAGTTGAACGAACACATCACAACGCAGTTTGTGGGAATGATTCTGTCTAGTTTTGAAACGAAGATATTTCCTTTCCTGCCATTGACCTTAAAGCGCTTGAAATCTCCATTTGCCAATTGCACAAAAAGAGTGTTTCAAATCTGCTCTGTCTAAGGGAACGTTCAACTCTGTGAGTTGAATGTACACAACACAAGGAAGTTACTGGGAATTCTTCTGTCTAGCCTTACAGGAAAAAAACCCGTTTCCAACGAAGGCCTCTAAGTGGTCAAAATATCCACGTGCAGACTTTACAAACAGAGTGTTTCCAAACTGCTGAATGAAAAGAAAAGTTAAACTCTGAGAGTTGAACGCACACATCGCAGAGTAGTTTCTGAGAATGATTCTGTCTAGTTTTTATACGAAGATATTTCCTTTTCTGCCTTTGGCCTCACAGCGCTTGAAATCTCCACTTGCAAATTCCAAAAAAAGAGTGTTTCAAATCTGCTCTGTGTAAATGAAAGTTCAACTCTGTGAGTTGAACACACACAACACAAGGAAGTTACTGGGAATTCTTCTGTCTAGCATAATATGAAGAAATCCCTTTTCCAACGAAGGCCCCAAAGAGGTCAGAATATCCACTTGCAGACTTTACAAACAGAGTGTTTCCTAACTGCTCTATGAAAAGAAAGGTTAAACTCTGTGAGTTGAACGCACAGAGCACAAAGCAGTTTCTGAGAATCATTCTGTCTAGTTTCTATAGGAAGATATTTCCTATTCTACCATTGACCACACAGCGGCTGAAATCTCCAGTTGCAAATTCCACAAAAAGAGTGTTTCAAGTCTGCTCTGTGTAAATCATCGTTCAACTCTGTGAGTTGAATACACACAACACAAGGAAGTTACTGAGAATTCTTCTGTCTAGCATAGTATGAAGAAATCCCGTTTCCAACGAAGGCCTCAAAGAGGTCTGAATATCCACTTGCAGAGTTTACAAACAGAGTGTTTCCTAACTGCTGTATGAAAAGAAAGGTTAAACTCTGTGAGTTGAACGCACACATCACAAAGAAGTTTCTGAGAATCATTCTGTCTAGTTTCTATACGAAGATATTTCCTTTTCTACAATTGACCTCAAAGCGGCTGAAATCTCCACTTGCAAATTCCACAAAAAGAGTGTTTCAAGTCTGCTCTGTGTAAAGGATCGTTCAACTCTGTGAGTTGAATACACACAACACCAGGAATTTACTGAGAATTCTTCTGTCTAGCAGAATATGAAGAAATCCCGTTTCCAACGAAGGCCACAAGATGTCAGAATATCCACTTACAGAATTTACAAACAGACTGTTTCCTAACTGCTCTATGAAAAGAAAGGTTAAACTACTGTGAGTTGAACGAACACATAACAACGCAGTTTGTGGGAATGATTCTGTCTAGTTTTGAAACGAAGATATTTCCTTTCCTGCCATTGACCTTAAAGCGCTTGAAATCTCCATTTGCCAATTGCACAAAAAGAGTGTTTCAAATCTGCTCTGTCTAAGGGAACGTTCAACTCTGTGAGTTGAATGTACACAACACAAGGAAGTTACTGGGAATTCTTCTGTCTAGCAGAATATGAAAAAACCCCGTTTCCAACGAAGGCCTCTAAGTGGTCAAAATATCCACGTGCAGACTTTACAAACAGAGTGTTTCCAAACCGCTGAATGAAAAGAAAAGTTAAACTCTGAGAGTTGAACGCACACATCACGCCACAGTTTCTGAGAATGATTCTGTCTAGTTTTTATAAGAAGATATTTCCTTTTCTGCCTTTGGCCTCAAAGCGCTTGAAATCTCCACTTGCAAATTCCACAAAAAGAGTGTTTCAAATCTGCTCTGTGTAAATGAAAGTTCAACTCTGTGAGTTGAACACTCACAACACAAGGAAGTTACTGGGAATTTTTCTGTCTAGCAGAATACGAAGAAATCCCGCTTCCAACGAAGTCCTCAAAGAAGTCTGAATATCCACTTGCAGACTTTACAAACAGAGTGTTTCCCAACTGCTCTATGAAAAGAAAGTTTGAACTCTGTGAGTTGAACGCACACATCACAAAGGAGTTTCTGAGAATCATTCTGTCTAGTTTTTATAGGAAGATATTTCCTTTTCTACCATTGACCTCAAAGCGGCTGAAATCTCCACTTGCAAATTCCACAAAAAGAGTGTTTCAACTCTGCTCTGTGTAAAGGATCGTTCAACTCTGTGAGTTCAATACACACAACACGCGGAAGTTACTGAGAATTCTTCTGTCTAGCAGAACATGAAGAAATCCCGTTTCCAACGAAGGCCTCAAAGATGTCTGTATATCCACTTGCAGACTTTACAAACAGAGTGTTTCCTAACTGCTCTATGAAAAGTAAGGTTAAACTCTGTGAGTTGAACGCACACATCACAAAGGAGTTTCTGAGAATCATTCTGTCTAGTTTTTATAGGAAGATATTTCCTTTTCTACATTTGACTTCAAAGCGGCAGGAATCTCCACTTGCAAATTCCACAAAAAGAGTGTTACAAGTCTGCTATGTGTAAAGGATCGTTCAACTGTGTGAGTTGAATACACACAACACAAGGAAGTTACTGAGAATTCTTCTGTCTAGCAGAATATGAAGAAATCCCGTTCCCAACGAAGGCCACAAGATGTCAGAATATCCACTTACAGACTTTACAAACAGAGTGTTTCCTAACTGCTCTATGAACAGAAAGGTTAAACTACTGTGAGTTGAACGAACACATCACAACGCAGTTTGTGGGAATCATTCTGTCTAGTTTTCAAACGAAGATATTTCCTTTTCTGCCATTGACCTTAAAGCGCTTGAAATCTACACTTGCAAATTGCACAAATAGAGTGTTTCAAATCTGCTCTGTCTAAGGGAACGTTCAACTCTGTGAGTTGAATGCACACAACACAAGGGAAGTTACTGGGAATTCTTCTGTCTAGCCTTACAAGAAAAAAACCCGTTTCCAACGAAAGCCTCTAAATGGTCAAAATATCCACGTGCAGACTTTACAAACAGAGGGTTTCCAAACTGCTGAATGAAAAGAAAAGTTAAACTCTGAGAGTTGAACGCACACATCGCAGAGCAGTTTCTGAGAATGATGCTGTCTAGTTTTTATACGAAGATATTTCCTTTTCTGCCTTTGGCCTCAAAGCGCTTGAAATCTCCACTTGCAAATTCCACAAAAAGAGTGTTTCAAATCTGCTCTGTGTAAATCAAAGTTCAACTCTGTGAGTTGAACACACACAACACAAGGAAGTTACTGGGAATTCTTCTGTCTAGCATAATATGAAGAAATCCCGTCTCCAAAGAAGGCCTCAAGGAGGTCTGAATATCCACTTGCAGACTTTACAAACAGAGTGTTTCCTAACTGCTCTATGAAAAGAAAGGTTAAACTCTGTGAGTTGAACGCACACATCACAAAGGAGTTTCTGAGAATCATTCTGTCTAGTTTCTATAGGAAGATATTTCCTATTCTACCATTGACCTCAAAGAGGCTGAAATCTCCACTTGCAAATTCCACAAAAAGAGTGTTTCAAGTCTGCTCTGTGTAAAGGATCGTTCAACTCTGTGAGTTGAATATACACAACACAAAGGAGTTACTGAGAATTCTTCTGTCTAGCAGAATATGAAGAAATCCCGTTTCCAACGAAGGCCTCTAGGAGGTCTCAATATCTACTTGCAGACTTTACAAACAGAGTGTTTCCTAACTGCTCTATGAACAGAAAGGTTAAACTCTGTGATTTGAACGAACACATCACAACGCAGTTTGTGGGAATGATTCTGTCTAGTTTTTATAGGAAGATATTTCCTTTTCTACCTTTGACCTGAAAGCGGCTGAAATCACCAATTGCCAATTGCACAAAAAGAGTGTTTCAAATCTGCTCTGTCTAAGGAAACGTTCAACTCTGTGGGTTGAATGTACAAAACACAAGGAAGTTACTGGGAATTCTTCTGTCTAGCCTTACATGAAGAAAACCCGTTTCCAACGAAGGCCTCTAAGTGGTCAAAATATCCACGTGCAGACTTTACAAAGAGAGTGTTTCCAAACCGCTGAATGAAAAGAAAAGTTAAACTCTGAGAGTTGAACGCACACATCACGCAGCAGTTTCTGAGAATGATTCTGTCTAGTTTTTATACGAAGATATTTCCTTTTCTGCCTTTGGCCCCAAAGCGCTTGAAATCTCCATTTGCAAATTCCACAAAAACAGTGTTTCAAATCTGCTCTCTCTAAATGAAAGTTCAACTCTGTCAGTTGAATACACACAACACAAGGGAAGTTACTGAGAAATTCTTTTGTCTAGCAGAATATGAAGAAATCCCGTTTCCAACGAAGGCCTCAAAGAGGTCTGAATATCCACTTGCAGACTTTACAAACAGAGTGTTTCCTAACTGCTCTATGAAAAGAAAGGTTAAACTCTGTGACTTGAACGCACACATCACAAAGGAGTTTCTGAGAATCATTCTGTCTAGTTTTTATACGAAGATATTTCCTTTTCTGCCTTTGGCTTCAAAGCGCTTGAAATCTCCACTTGCAAATTCCACAAAAAGAGTGTTTCAAGTCTGCTCTGTGTAAAGGATCGTTCAACTCTGTGAGTTGAATACACACAACACAAGGAAGTTACTGAGAATTCTTCTTTCTAGCAGAATATGAAGAAATCCCGTTTCCAACGAAAGCCTCAAGGATGTCTGAATATCCACTTGCAGACTTTACAAACAGAGTGTTTCCTAACTGCTCTATGAAAAGAAAGGTTAAACTCTGTGAGTTGAACGCGCACATCACAAAGGAGTTTCTGAGAATCATTCTGTCTAGTTTTTATTCGAAGGTATTTCCTTTTCTACCATTGACGTCAAAGCGGCTGAAATCTCCACTTGCAAATTCCACAAAAAGAGTGTTACAAGTCTGCTCTGTGTAAAGGATCGTTCAACTCCGTGAGTTGAATACACACAACACAAGGAAGTTACTGAGAATTCTTCTGTCTAGCATAATATGAAGAAATCCCGTTTCCAACGAGGGCCTCAAAGAGGTCTGAATATCCACTTGCAGACTTTACAAACAGAGTGTTTCCTAACTGCTATATGAAAAGAAAGGTTAAACTCTGTGAGTTGAACGAACACATCACAACGCAGTTTGTGGGAATGATTCTGTCTAGTTTTGAAACGAAGATATTTCCTTTTCTGCCATTGAACTTAAAGCGCTTGAAATCTCCGTTTGCCAATTGCACAAAAAGAGTGTTTCAAATCTGCTCTGTCTAAGGGAACGTTCAACTCTGTGAGTTGAATGTACACAACACAAGGAAGTTACTGGGAATTCTTCTGTCTAGCCTTACATGAAAAAAATCCGTTTCCAACGAAGGCCTCTAAGTGGTCAAAATATCCACGTGCAGACTTTACAAACAGAGTGTTTCCAAACCGCTGAATGAAAAGAAAAGTTAAACTCTGAGAGTTGAACGCACACATCACGCAGCAGTTTCTGAGAATGATTCTGTCTAGTTTTTACATGAAGATATTTCCTTTTCTACCATTGACCTCAAAGAGGCTGAAATCTCCACTTGCAAATTCCACAAAAAGAGTGTCTCAAGTCTGCTCTGTGTAAACGATCGTTCAACTCTGTGAGTTGAATACACACAACACAAGGAAGTTGCTGAGAATTCTTCTGTATAGCAGAATATGAAGAAATCCCGTTTCCAACGAAGGCCTCAAGGAGGTCTGAATATCCACTTGCAGACTTTTCAAACAGAGTGTTTCCTAACTGCTCTATGAAAAGAAAGGTTAAACTCTGTGAGTTGAACGCAGACATCCCAAAGGAGTTTCTGAGAATCACTCTGTCTAGTTTCTATAGGAAGATATTTCCTATTCTACCATTGACCTCAAAGCGGCTGAAATCTCTACTTGCAAATTCCACAAAAAGAGTGTTTCAAGTCTGCTCTGTGTAAAGGATCGTTCAACTCTGTGAGTTGAATACACACAACACAAGGATGTTACTGAGAATTCTTCTGTCTAGCCTTACATGAAAAAAACCCGTTTCCAACGAAGGCCTCTAAGTGGTCAAATTATGCACGTGCAGACTTTACAAACAGAGTGTTTCCAAACTGCTGAATGAAAAGAAAAGTTAAACTCTGAGAGTTGAACGCACACATCGCAGAGCAGTTTCTGAGAATGATTCTGTCTAGTTTTTATACGAAGATATTTCCTTTTCTGCCCTTGGCCTCAAAGCGCTTGAAATCTCCACTTGCAAATTCCACAAAAAGAGTGTTTCAAATCTGCTCTGTGTAAATGAAAGTTCAACTCTGTGAGTTGAACACACACAACACAAGGAAGTTACTGGGAATTCTTCTGTCTAGCATAATATGAAGAAATCCCGTTTCCAACGAAGGCCTCAAAGGGGTCTGAATATCCACTTGCAGACTTTATAAACAGAGTGTTTACTAACTGCTCTATGAAAAGAAAGGTTAAACTCTGTGAGATGAACACACACATCACAAAGGAGTTTCTGAGAATCATTCTCTGTCTAGTTTTTATACGAAGATATTTCCTATTCTACCATTGACCTCAAAGCGGCTGAAATCTCCACTTGCCAATTCCACAAAAACAGTGTTTCAAGTCTACTCTGTGTAAAGGATCGTTGAACTCTGTGAGTTGAAAACACACAACACAAGGAAGTTTCTGAGAATTCTTCTGTCTAGCCTTACATGAAAAAAACCCGTTTCCAACGAAGGCCTCTAAGTGGTCAAGTTATCCACGTGCAGACTTTACAAACAGATTGTTTCCAAACTGCTGAATGAAAAGAATAGTTAAACTCTGAGAGTTGAACGCACACATCGCAGAGCAGTTTCTGAGAATGATTCTGTCTAGTTTTTATACGAAGATATTTCCTTTTCTGGCTTTGGCCCCAAAGCGCTTGAAATCTCCACTTGCAAATTCCACAAAAACAGTGTTTCAAATCTGCTCTCTCTAAATGAAAGTTCAACTCTGTCAGTTGAATACACACAACACAAGGAAGTTACTGAGAATTCTTCTGTCTAGCATAATATGAAGAAATCCCATTTCCAACGAAGGCCTCAGAGAGGTCTGAATATCCCCTTGCAGACTTTACAAACAGAGCGTTTCCTAACTGCTCTATGAAAAGAAAGGTTAAACTCTGTGAGTTGAACGCACACATCACAAAGGAGTTTCTGAGAATCATTCTGTCTAGTCTTTATACGAAGATATTTCCTTTTCTACCATTGACCTAAAAGCGGCTGAAATCTCCCATTGAAAATACCAAAAAAAGTGTGTTTCAAGTCTGCTCTGTGTAAATGATCGTTCAACTCTGTGAGTTGAATACACACAACACAAGGAAGTTTCTGAGAATTCTTCTGTCTAGCCTTATATGAAAAAAACCCGTTTCCAACGAAGGCCTCAAAGAGGTCTGAATATCCACTTGCAGACTTTACAAACAGAGTGTTTCCTAACTTCTCTATGAAAAGAAAGGTTAAACTCTGTGAGTTGAACGCAGACATCACAAAGGAGTTTCTGAGAATCATTCTGTCTAGTTTTTATAGGAAGATATTTCCTTTTCTACCTTTGACTTCAAAGCGGCTGAAATCTCCACTTGCAAATTCCACAAAAAGAGTGTGACAAGTCTGCTCTGTGTAAAGGATCGTTCAACTCTGTGAGTTGAACACACACAACACAAGGAAGTTACTGAGAATTCTTCTGTCTAGCAGAATATGAAGAAATCCCGTTTCGAACGAAGGCCACAAGATGTCAGAATATCCACTTACAGACTTTACAAACAGAGTGTTTCCTAACTGCTCTATGAACAGAAAGGTTAAACTCTGTGAGTTGAACGCACACATCACAAAGGAGTTTCTGAGAATCATTCTGTCTAGTTTTGAAACGAAGATATTTCCTTTTCTGCCATTGACCTTAAAGCTCTTGAAATCTCCACTTGCCAATTGCACAAAAAGAGTGTTTCAAATCTGCTCTGTCTAAGGGAACGTTCAACTCTGTGAGTTGAATGTACACAACACAAGGAAGTTACTGGGAATTCTTCTGTCTAGCCTTACATGAAAAAAACCCGTTTCCAACGAAGGCCTCTAAGTGGTCAAATTATCCACGTGCAGACTTTACGAACAGAGTGTTTCCAAACTGCTGAATGAAAAGAAAAGTTAAACTCTGAGAGTTGAACGCACACATCACAGAGCAGTTTCTGAGAATGATTCTGTCTAGTTTCTATAGGAAGATATTTCCTATTCTACCATTGACCTCAAAGCGGCTGAAATCTCCACTTGCAAATTCCACAAGAAGAGTGTTTCAAGAATGCTCTGTGTAAAGGATCGTTCAACTCTGTGAGTTGAATACACACAACACAAGGAAGTTTCTGAGAATTCTTCTGTATAGCATAATATGAAGAAATCCCGTTCCAACAAAGGCCTCAAGGAGGTCTGCATATCCACTTGCAGACTTTACAAACAGAGTGTTTCCTAACTGCTCTATGAAAAGAAAGGTTAACCTCTGTGAGTTGAACGCACACATCACAAAGGAGTTTCTGAGAATCATTCTGTCTAGTTTCTATAGGAAGATATTTCCTATTCTACCATTGAACTCAAAGCGGCTGAAATCTCCACTTGCAAATTCCACAAAAAGAGTGTTTCAAGTCTGCTCTGTGTAAAGGATCGTTCAACTCTGTGAGTTGAATACACACAACACAAGGGAGTTACTGAGAATTCTTCTGTCTAGCATAGTATGAAGAAATCCCGTTTCCAACGAAGGCCTCAAAGAGGTCTGAATATCCACTTGCAGAGTTTACAAACAGAGTGTTTCCTAACTGCTCTATGAAAAGAAAGGTTAAACTCTGTGAGTTGAACGCACACATCACAAAGAAGTTTGCTGAGAATCATTCTGTCTAGTTTCTATAGGAAGATATTTCCTTTTCTACCATTGACCTCAAAGCGGCTGAAATCTCCACTTGCAAATTCCACAAAAAGAGTGTTTCAAGTCTGCTCTGTGTAAAGGATCGTTCAACTCTGTGAGTTGAATACACACAACACAAGGAAGTTCCTGAGAATTCTTCTGTCTAGCAGAATATGAAGAAATCCCGTTTCCAACGAAGGCCTCAAGGAAGTCTGAATATCCACTTGCAGACTTTACAAACAGAGTGTTTCCTAACTGCTCTATGAACAGAAAGGTTAAACTCTGTGAGTTGAACGAACACATCACAACGCAGTTTGTGGGAATGATTCTGTCTAGTTTTGAAACGAAGATATTTCCTTTTCTGCCATTGACCTTAAAGCCCTTGAAATCTCCACTTGCCAATTGCACAAAAAGAGTGTTTCAAATCTGCTCTGTCTAAGGGAACGTTCAACTCTGTGAGTTGAATGTACACAACACAAGGAAAGTTACTGGGAATTCTTCTGTCTAGCCTTACGTGAAAAAAACCCGTTTCCAACAAAGACCTCTAAGTGGTCAAAATATCCTCGTGCAGACTTTACAAACAGAGTGTTTCCAAAGTGCTGAATGAAAAGAAAAGTTAAACTCTGAGAGTTGAACGCACACATCACAGAGCATTTTCTGAGAATGATTCTGTCTAGTCTTTATACGAAGATATTTCCTTTTCTACTATTGACCTCAAAGCGGCTGAAATCTCCCCTTGCAAATTCCACAAAAAGAGTGTTTCAAGTCTGCTCTCTGTAAAGGATCGTTCAACTCTGTGAGTTGAATACACACAACACAAGGAAGTTACTGAGAATTCTTCTGTCTAGCCTTATATGAAAAAAACCCGTTTCCAACGAAGGCTTCAAAGAGGTCTGAATATCCTCTTGCAGACTTTACAAACAGAGTGTTTCCTAACTGCTCCATGAAAAGAAAGGTTAAACTCTGTGAGTTGAACACACACATCACAAAGGAGTTTCTGAGAATCATTCTGTCTAGTTTTTCTACGAAGATATTTCCTTTTCTACTATTGACCTCAAAGCGGCTGAAATCTCCACTTGCAAATTCCACAAAAAGAGTGTTTCAAGTCTGCTCTGTGTAAAGGATCGTACAACTCTGCGAGTTCAATACACACAACACAAGGAAGTTACTGAGAATTCTTCTGTCTAGCACAGTATGAAGAAATCCCGTTTCCAACGAAGACCTCAAAGAGGTCCGAATATCCACTTGCAGACTTTACAAACAGAGTGTTTCCTAACTGCTCTATGAAAAGAAAGGTTAAACTCTGTGAGTTGAACGCACACGTCACAATGAAGTTTCTGAGAATCATTCTGTCTAGTTTTTATACGAAGATATTTCCTTTTCTACCATTGACCTCAAAGCGGCTGAAATCACCACTTGCCAATTGCACAAAAAGAGTGTTTCAAATCTGCTCTGTCTAAGGGAACGTTCAACTCTGTGAGTTGAATGTACACAACACAAGGAAGTTACTGGGAATTCTTCTGTCTAGCCATACATGAAAAAAACCCGTTTCCAACGAAGGCCTCTAAGTGGTCAAAATGTCCACGTGCAGACTTTACAAACAGAGTGTTTCCAAACCGCTGAATGAAAAGAAAAGTTAAACTCTGAGAGTTGAACGCACACATCACGCAGCAGTTTCTGAGAATGATTCTGTCTAGTTTTTATACGAAGATATTTCCTTTTCTGCCTTTGGCCTCAAAGCGCTTGAAATCTCCACCTGCAAATTCCACAAAAAGAGTGTTTCAAATCTGCTCTGTGTAAATGAAAGTTCAACTCTGTGAGTTGAACACACACAACACAAGGAAGGTACTGGGAATTCTTCTGTCTAGCATAATATGAAGAAATCCCGTTTCCAACGAAGGCCTCAAAGGGGTCTGAATATCCACTTGCAGACTTTATAAACAGAGTATTTACTAACTGCTCTATGAAAAGAAAGGTTAAACTCTGTGATTTGAACGCACACATCACAAAGGAGTTTATGAGAATCATTCTGTCTAGTTTCTATAGGAAGATATTTCCTATTCTACCATTGAGCTCAAAGCGGCTGAAATCTCCACTTGCAAATTCCACAAAAAGAGTGTTTCAAGTCTGCTCTGTGTAAAGGATGGTTCAACTCTGTGAGTTGAATACACACAAAACAAGGAAGTTACTGAGAATTCTTCTGTCTAGCAGAATATGAAGAAATCCCGTTTCCAACGAAGGCGTCAAAGAGGTCTGAATATCCACTTGCAGACCTTAGAAACAGAGTGTTTCCTAACTGCTCTATGAAAAGAAAAGTTAAACTCTGTGAGTTGAACGCACACATCACAAAGGAGTTTCTGAGAATCATTCTGTCTAGTTTCTATAGGAAGATATTTCCTATTCTACCATTGACCTCAAAGCGGCTGAAATCTCCAGTTGCAAATTCCACAAAAAGAGTGTTTCAAGTCTGCTCTGTGTAAAGTATCGTTCAACTCTGTGAGTTGAATACACACAACACAAGGAAGTTACTGAGACTTCTTCTGTCTAGCAGAATTTGAAGAAATCCCGTTTCCAACGAAGGCCACAAGATGTCAGAATATCCACTTACAGAATTTACAAACAGAGTGTTTCCTAACTGCTCTATGAAAAGAAAGGTTAAACTCTGTGAGATGAACCAACACATCACAACGCAGTTTGTGGGAATGATTCTGTCTAGTTTTGAAACGAAGATATTTCCTTTTCTGCCATTGAACTTAAAGCGCTTGAAATCTCCACTTGCCAATTGCACAAAAAGACTGTTTCAAATCTGCTCTGTCTAAGGGAACGTTCAACTCTGTGAGTTGAATGTACACAACACAAGGGAAGTTACTGCGAATTCTTCTGTCTAGCCTTACAGGAAAGAAACCCGTTTCCAACGAAGGCCTCTAAGTGGTCAAAATATCCACGTGCAGACTTTACAAACAGAGTGTTTCCAAAATGCTGAATGAAAAGAAAAGTTAAACTCTGAGAGTTGAACGCACACATCGCAGAGCAGTTTCTGAGAATGATTCTGTCTAGTTTTTATACGAAGATATTTCCTTTTCTGCCTTTGACCTCAAAGCGCTTGAAATCTCCACTTGCAAATTCCACAAAAAGAATGTTTCCAATCTGCTCTGTGTAAATGAAAGTTCAACTCTGTGAGTTGAACACACACAACACAAGGAAGTTACTGGGAATTCTTCTGTCTAGCAGAATATGAAAAAATCCCGTTTCCATCGAAGGCCTCAAAGTAGGTCTGAATATCCACTTGCAGACTTTACAAACAGAGTGTTTCCTAACTGCTCTATGAAAAGAAAGGTTAAACCCTGTGAGTTGAACGCACACATCACAAAGGAGTTTATGAGAATCATTCTGTCTATTTTCTATAGGAAGATATTTCCTATTCTACCATTGACCTCAAAGCGGCTGAAATCTCCACTTGCAAATTCCACAAAAAGAGTGTTTCAATTCTGCTCTCTGTAAAGGATCGTTCAACTCTGTGAGTTGAATACACACAACACAAGGAAGTTACTGAGAATTATTCTGTCTAGCCTTACATGAAAAAAACCCGTTTCCAACGAAGGCCTCTAAGTGGTCAAGTTATCCACGTGCAGACTTTACAAACAGAGTGTTTCCAAACTGCTGAATGAAAAGCAAAGTTAAACTCTGAGAGTTGAACGCACACATCGCAGAGCAGTTTCTGAGAATGATTCTGTCTAGTTTTTATACGAAGATATTTCCTTTTCTACCTTTGGCCACAAAGCGCTTGAAATCTCCACTTGCAAATTCCACAAAAACAGTGTTTCAAATCTGCTCTCTCTAAATGAAAGTTTAACTCTGTCAGTTGAATACACACAACACAAGGAAGTTACTGAGAATTCTTCTGTCTAGCAGAATATGAAGAAATCTCGTTTCCAACGAAGGCCTCAAAGAGGTCTGAATATCCACTTGCAGACTTTACAAACAGAGTGTTTCCTAACTGCTCTATGAAAAGAAAAGTTAAACTCTGTGAGTTGAACGCACACATCACAAAGGAGTTTCTGAGAATCATTCTGTCTAGTCTTTATACGAAGATATTTCCTTTTCTACCATTGACCTCAAAGCGGCTGAAATCTCCACTTGGAAATTCCACAAAAAGAGTGTTTCAAGTCTGCTCTGTGTAAAGGATCGTTCAACTCTGTGAGTTGAATACACACAACACAAGGAAGTTACTGAGAATTCTTCTGTCTAGCCTTACATGAAAAAAACCCGTTTCCAACGAAGGCCTCTAAGTGGTCAAAATATCCACGTGCAGACTTTACAAACACAGTGTTTCCAAACCGCTGAATGAAAAGAAAAGTTAAACTCTGAGAGTTGAACGCACACATCTCGCAGCAGTTTCTGAGAATGATTCTGTCTAGTTTTTATACGAAGATATTTCCTTTTCTGCCTTTGGCCTCAAAGCGCTTGAAATCTCCATTTGCAAATTCCACAAAAAGAGTGTTTCAAATCTGCTCTGTCTAAATGAAAGTTCAACTCTGTGAGTTGAACACACACAACACAAGGGAAGTTACTGGGAATTCTTCTTTCTAGCAGAATATGAAGAAATCCCGTTTCCAACGAAAGCCTCAAGGATGTCTGAATATCCACTTGCAGACTTTACAAACAGAGTGTTTCCTAACTGCTCTATGAAAAGACAGGTTAAACTCTGTGAGTTGAACGCACACATCACAAAGGAGTTTCTGAGAATCATTCTGTCTAGTTGTTATACGAAGATATTTCCTTTTCTACCATTTACCTCAAAGCGGCTGAAATCTCCACTTGCAAATTCCACCAAATGAGTGTTTCAAATCTGCTCTGTGTAAACTATCGTTCAACTCTGTGAGTTGAATACACACAACACAAGGAAGATTCTGAGAATTCTTCTGTCTAGCCTTATATGAAAAAAACCCGTTTCCAACGAAGGCCTCAAAGAGGTCTGAATATCCACTTGCAGACTTTACAAACACAGTGTTTCCTAACTGCTCTATGAAAAGAAAGGTTAAACTCTGTGAGTTGAACGCACACATCACAAAGGAGTTTCTGAGAATCATTTCTGTCTAGTTTTTATAGGAAGTTATTTCCTTTTCTACCTTTGACTTCAAAGTGGCTGAAATCTCCACTTGCAAATTCCACAAAAAGAGTGTTACAAGTCTGCTCTGTGTAAAGGATCGTTCAACTCTGTGAGTTGAATACACACAACACAAGGAAGTTACTGGGAATTCTTCTGTCTAGCAGAATATGAAGAAATCCCGTTTCCAACGAAGGCCACATGATGTCAGAATATCCACTTACAGAATTGACAAACAGACTGTTTCCTAACTGCTCTATGAAAAGAAAGGTTAAACTCTGTGAGTTGAACGAACACATCACAACGCAGTTTGTGGGAATGATTCTGTCTAGTTTTGAAACGAAGATATTTCCTTTTCTGCCATTGAACTTAAAGCGCTTGAAATCTCCATTTGCCAATTGCACAAAAAGAGTGTTTCAAATCTGCTCTGTCTAAGGGAACGTTCAACTCTGTGAGTTGAATGTACACAACACAAGGAAGTTACTGGGAATTCTTCTGTCTAGCCTTACAAGAAAAAAACCCGTTTCCAACGAAGGCCTCTAAGTGGTCAAAATATCCACGTGCAGACTTTACAAACATAGTGTTTCCAAACTGCTGAATGAAAAGAAAAGTTAAACTCTGAGAGTTGAACGCACACATCGCAGAGCAGTTTCTGAGAATGATTCTGTCTAGTTTTTATACGAAGATATTTCCTTTTCTGCCTTTGGCCCCAAAGCGTTTGAAATCTCCACTTGCAAATTCCACAAAAACAGTGTTTCAAATGTGCTCTCTCTAAATGAAAGTTCAGCTCTGTCAGTTGAATACACACAACACAAGGAAGTTACTGAGAATTCTTCTGTCTAGCAGAATATGAAGAAATCCCTTTTCCAACGAAGGCCTCAAGGAGGTCTGAATATCCACTTGCAGACTTTACAAACAGAGTGTTTCCTAACTGCTCTATGAAAAGAAAGGTTAAACTCTGTGAGTTGAACGCACACATCACAATGGAGTTCATGAGAATCATTCTGTCTAGTTTTTATAGGAAGATATTTCCTTTTCTACCTTTGACTTCAAAGCGGCTGAAATCTCCACTTGCAAATTCCACAAAAAGTGTGTTACAAGTCTGCTCTGTGTAAAGGATCGTTCAACTCTGTGAGTTGAATACACACAATACAAGGAAGTTACTGAGAATTCTTCTGTCTAGCATAGTATGAAGAAATCCCGTTTCCAACGAAGGCCTCAAAGAGGTCTGAATATCCACTTGCAGAGTTTACAAACAGAGTGTTTCCTAACTGCTCTATTAAAAGAAAGGTTAAACTCTGTGAGTTGAACGCACACATCACAAAGAAGTTTCTGAGAATCATTCTGTCTAGTTTCTATAGGAAGATATTTCCTATTCTACCATTGACCTCAAAGAGTCTGAAATCTCCACTTGCAAATTCCACAAAAAGAGTGTTTCTACTCTGCTCTGTGTAAAGGATCGTTCAACTCTTTGAGTTGAATACACACAACACAAGGAAGTTACTGAGAATTCTTCTGTCTAGCATAATAGGAAGAAACCCCGTTTCCAACGAAGGCCTCAAGGAGGTCTGAATATCCACTTGCAGAGTTTACAAACAGAGTGTTTCCTAACTGCTCTTTGAAAAGAAAGGTTAAACTCTGTGAGTTGAACGCACACATCACAAAGGAGTTTCTCAGAATCATTCTGTCTAGTTTTGAAACGAAGATATTTCCTTTTCTGCCATTGAACTTAAAGCGCTTGAAATCTCCATTTGCCAATTGCACAAAAAGAGTGTTTCAAATCTGCTCTGTCTAAGGGAACGTTCAACTCTGTGAGTTGAATGTACACAACACAAGGAAGTTACTGGGAATTCTTCTGTCTACCCTTACATGAAAAAAACCCGTTTCCAACGAAGGCCTCTAAGTGGGCAAAATATCCACGTGCAGACTTTACAAACAGAGTGTTTCCAAACTGCTGAATGAAAAGAAAAGTTAAACTCTGAGAGTTGAACGCACACATCACAGAGCAGTTTCTGAGAATGATTCTGTCTAGTTTTTATACGAAGATATTTCCTATTCTGCCTTTGGCCTCAAAGCGCTTGAAATCTCCACTTGCAAATTCCACAAAAAGAGTGTTTCAAGTCTGCTCTGTGTAAAGGATCGTTCAACTCTGTGAGTTGAATACACACAACACAAGGAAGATTCTGAGAATTCTTCTGTCTAGCAGAATATGAAGAAATCCCGCTTCCAACGATGGCCTCAAAGAAGTCTGAAAATCCACTTGCAGACTTTACAAACAGAGTGTTTCCCAACTGCTCTATGAAAAGAAAGGTTGAACTCTGTGAGTTGAACGCACACATCACAAAGGAGTTTCTGAGAATCATTCTGTCTAGTTTCTATAGGAAGATATTTCCTATTCTACCATTGACCTCAAAGCGGCAGAAATCTGCACTTGCAAAATCCACAAAAAGACTGTTTCAAGACTGCTCTGTGTAAAGGATCGTTCAACTCTGTGAGTTGAATACACACAACACAAGGAAGTTACTGAGAATTCTTCTGTCTATCAGAATATGAAGAAATCCTGTTTCCAACGAAGGCCTCAAAGATGTCTCAATATCCACTTGCAGACTTTACAAACAGAGTGTTTCCTAACTGCTCTATGAAAAGAAAGGTTAAACTCTGTGAGTTGAACGCACCCATCACAAAGGAGTTTCTGAGAATCATTCTGTCTAGTTTTTATAGGAAGTTATTTCCTTTTCTACCTTTGACTTCAAAGTGGCTGAAATCTCCACTTGCAAATTCCACAAAAAGAGTGTTACAAGTCTGCTCTGTGTAAAGGATCGTTCAACTCCATGAGTTGAATACACACAACACAAGGAAGTTACTGAGAATTCTTCTGTCTAGCATAATATGAAGAAATCCCGTTTCCAACGAAGGCCTCAAAGAGGTCTGAATATCCACTTGCAGGCTTTACAAACTGAGTGTTTCCTAACTACTCTATGAAAAGAAAGGTTAAACTCTGTGAGGTAACGAACACATCACAACGCAGTTTGTGGGAATGATTCTGTCTAGTTTTGAAACGAAGATATTTCCTTTTCTGCCATTGACCTTAAAGCGCTTGAAATCTCCACTTGCCAATTGCACAAAAAGAGTGTTTCAAATCTGCTCTGTCTAAGGGAACGTTCAACTCTGTGAGTTGAATGTACACAACAGAAGGAAGTTACTGGGAATTCTTCTGTCTATCCTTACATGAAAAAAACCCGTTTCCAACGAAGACCTCTAAGTGGTGAAATTATCCACGTGCAGACTTTACAAACAGAGTGTTTCCAAACTGCTGAATGAAAAGAAAAGTTAAACTCTGAGAGTTGAACGCACACATCGCAGAGCAGTTTGCTGAGAATGATTCTGTCTAGTTTTTATACGAAGATATTTCCTTTTCTGCCTTTGGCCTCAAAGCGCTTGAAATCTCCATTTGCAAATTCCACAAAAAGAGTGTTTCAAATCTGCTCTGTGTAAATGAAAGTTCAACTCTGTGAGTTGAACACACACATCACAAGGAAGTTACTGGGAATTCTTCTGTCTAGCAGAATATGAAGAAATCCCGTTTCCAACGAAGGCGTCAAAGAGGTCTGAATATCCACTTGCAGACTTTACAAACAGAGTGTTTCCTAACTGCTCTATGAAAAGAAAAGTTAAACTCTGTGAGTTGAATGCACACATCACAAAGGAGTTTCTGAGAATCATTGTGTCTAGTTTCTATAGGAAGATACTTCCTATTCTACCATTGACCTCAAAGCGGCTGAAATCTCCACTTGCAAATTCCACAAAAAGAGTGTTTCAAGTCTGCTCTGTGTAAAGGATCGTTCAACTCTGTGAGTTGAATACACACAACACCAGGAAGTTACTGAGAATTCTTCTGTCTAACATAATATGAAGAAATCCCGTTTCCAACGAAGGCCTCAAGGAGGTCTGAATATCCACTTGCAGACTTTACAAACAGAGTGTTTCCTAACTGCTCTATGAAAAGAAAGGTTAAACTCTGTGAGTTGAACGCACACATCACAAAGGAGTTTCTGAGAATCATTCTGTCTAGTTTTTATACCAAGATATTTCCTTTTCTACCATGGACCTCAAAGCGGCTGAAATCTCCACTTGCAAATTCCACAAAAAGAGTGTTTCAAGTCTGCTCTGTGTAAAGGATCGTTCAACTCTGTGAGTTGAATACACACAACACAAGGAAGATTCTGAGAATTCTTCTGTCTAGCAGAATATGAAGAAATCCCGTTTCCAACGAAGGCCACAAGATGTCAGAATATCCACTTACAGACTTTACAAATAGAGTGTTTCCTAACTGCTCTATGAACAGAAAGGTTAAACTCTGTGAGTTGAACGAACACATCACAACGCAGTTTGTGGGAATGATTCTGTCTAGTTTTGAAACGAAGATATTTCCTTTTCTGCCATTGACCTTAAAGCGCTTGAAATCTCCACTTGCCAATTGCACAAAAAGAGTGTTTCAAATCTGCTCTGTCTAATGGAACGTTCAACTCTCTGAGTTGAATGTACACAACACAAGGAAGTTACTGGGAATTCGTCTGTCTAGCCTTACATGAAAAAAACCCGTTTCCAACGAAGGCCTCTAAGTGGTCAAAATATCCATGTGCAGACTTTACAAACAGAGTGTTTCCAAACCGCTGAATGAAAAGAAAAGTTAAACTCTGAGAGTTGAACGCACACATCACGCAGCAGTTTCTGAGAATGATTCTGTCTAGTTTTTATACGAAGATATATCCTTTTCTGCCTTTGGCCCCAAAGCGCTTGAAATCTCCACTTGCAAATTCCACAAAAACAGTGTTCCAAATCTGCTCTCTCTAAATGAAAGTTCAACTCTGTCAGTTGAATACACACAACACAAAGAAGTTACTGAGAATTCTTCTGTCTAGTATAATAGGAAGAAATCCCGTTTCCAAAGAAGGCCTCAAGGAGGTCTGAATATCCACTTGCAGACTTTACAAACAGAGTGTTTCCTAACTGCTCTATAAAAAGAAAGGTTAAACTCTGTGAGTTGAACGCACACATCACAAAGGAGTTTCTGAGAATCATTCTGTCTAGTTTTTATACGAAGATATTTCCTTTTCTACCATGGACCTCAAAGCGGCTGAAATCTCCACTTGCAAATTCCACAAAAAGAGTGTTTCAAGTCTGCTCTGTGTAAAGGATCGTTCAACTCTGTGAGTTGAATACACACCACACAAGGAAGATTCTGAGAATTCTTCTGTCTAGCCTTATATGAAAAAAACCCGTTTCCAACGAAGGCCTCAAAGAGGTCTGAATATCCACTTGCAGACTTTACAAACCGAGTGTTTCCTAACTGCTCTATGAAAAGAAAGGTTAAACTCTGTGAGTTGAACGCACACATCACAAAGGAGTTTCTGAGAATCATTCTGTCTAGTTTTTATACGAAGATATTTCCTTTTCTACCATTGACCTCAAAGCGGCTGAAATCTCCACTTGCAAATTCCACAAAAAGAGTGTTTCAAATCTGCTCTGTGTAAACCATCGTTCAACTCTGTGAGTTGAATACACACAACACTAGGAAGATTCTGAGAATTCTTCTGTCTAGCAGAACATGAAGAAATCCCGTTTCCAACGAAGGCCTCAAAGAGGTCTGAATATCCACTTGCAGACTTTACAAACAGAGTGTTTCCTAACTGCTCTATGAAAAGAAAGGTTAAACTCTGTGAGTTGAACGAACACATCACAACGCAGTTTGTGGGAATGATTCTGTCTAGTTTTGAAACGAAGATATTTCCTTTTCTGCCATTGACCTGAAAGCGCTTCAAATCTACACTTGCAAATTGCACAAATAGAGTGTTTCAAATCAGCTCTGTCTAAGGGAACGTTCAACTCTGTGAGTTGAATGCACACAACACAAGGAAGTTACTGGGAATTCTTCTGTCTAGCACAGTATGAAGAAATCCCGTTTCCAACGAAGGCCTCTAAGTGGTCAAATTATCCACGTGCAGACTTTACAAACAGAGTGTTTCCAAACTGCTGAATGAAAAGAAAAGTTAAACTCTGAGAGTTGAACGCACACATCGCAGAGCAGTTTCTGAGAATGATTCTGTCTAGTTTTTATACGAAGATATTTCCTTTTCTGCCTTTGGCCCCAAAGCGCTTGAAATCTCCACTTGCAAATTCCAAAAAAACAGTGTTTCAAATCTGCTCTCTCTAAATGAAAGTTCAACTCTGTCAGTTGAATACACACAACACAAGGAAGTTACTGAGAATTCTTCTGTCTAGCATAATATGAAGAAATCCCGTTTCCAACGAAGGCCTCAAAGAGGTCTGAATATCCACTTGCAGACTTTACAAACAGAGTGTTTCCTAACTGCTGTATGAAAAGAAAAGTTAAACTCTGTGTGTTGAACGCACACATCACAAAGGAGTTTCTGAGAATCATTCTGTCTAGTTTCTATAGGAAGATATTTCCTATTCTACCATTGAACTCAAAGCGGCTGAAATCTCCACTTGCAAATTCCACAAAAAGAGTGTTTCAAGTCTGCTCTGTGTAAAGGATCGTTCAATTCTGTGAGTTGAATACACACAACACAAGGAAGTTACTGAGAATTCTTCTGTCTAGCATTGTATGAAGAAATCCCGTTTCCAACGAAGGCCTCAAAGAGGTCTGAATATCCACTTGCAGACTTTACAAACAGAGTGTTTCCTAACTGCTCTATGAAAAGAAAGGTTAAACTCTGTGAGTTGAACGCACACATCACAAAGAAGTTTCTGAGAATCATTCTGTCTAGTTTTTATACGAAGATATTTCCTTTTCTACCATTGACCTCAAAGCGGCTGAAATCTCCACTTGCAAATTCAACCAAAAGAGTGTTTCAAATCTGCTCTGTGTAAACCATCGTTCAACTCTGTGAGTTGAATACACACAACACAAGGAAGATTCTGAGAATTCTTCTGTCTAGCAGAATATGAAGAAATCCCCTTTCCAACGAAGGCCACAAAATGTCAGAATATCCACTTACAGACTTTACAAACAGAGTGTTTCCTAACTGCCGTATGAACAGAAAGGTTAAACTCTGTGAGTTGAACGAACACATCACAACGCAGTTTGTGGGAATGATTCTGTCTAGTTTTAATACGAAGATATTTCCTTTTCTACCATTGACCTCAAAGCGGCTGAAATCACCACTTGCCAATTGCACAAAAAGAGTGTTTCAAATCTGCTCTGTCTAAGGGAACGTTCAACTCTGTGAGTTGAATGTACACAACACAAGGAAGTTACTAGGAATTCTTCTGTCTAGCCTTACATGACAAAAACCGGTTTCCAACGAAGGCCTCTAAGTGTTCAAAATATCCACGTGCAGACTTTACAAACAGAGTGTTTCCAAACTGCTGAATGAAAAGAAAAGGTAAACTCTGAGAGCTGAACGCACGCATCGCAGAGCAGTTTCTGAGAATGATTCTGTCTAGTTTTTATACGAAGATATTTCCTTTTCTCCCTTTGGCCTCAAAGCGCTTGAAATCTCCACTTGCAAATTCCACAAAAAGAGTGTTTCAAATCTGCTCTGTCTAAATGAAAGTTCAACTCTGTCAGTTGAATACACACAACACAAGGAAGTTACTGAGAATTCTTCTGTCTAGCAGAATATGAAGAAATCCCGTTTCCAACGAAGGCCTCAAAGAGGTCTGAATATCCACTTGCAGAGTATACAAACAGAGTGTTTCCCAACTGCTCTATTAAAAGAAAGGTTAAACTCTGTGAGTTGAACGCACACATCACAAAGGAGTTTCTGAGAATCTTTCTGTCTAGTTTTTCTACGAAGATATTTCCTTTTCTACTATTGACCTCAAAGCGGCTGAAAGCTCCACTTGCAAATTCCACAAAAAGAGTGTTTCAAGTCTGCTCTGTGTAAAGGATCGTTCAACTCTGTGAGTTGAATACACACAACACAAGGAAGTTAGTGAGAATTCTTCTGTCTAGCAGAATATGAAGAAATCCCGTTTCCACCGAAGACCTCAAGTAGGTCTGAATATCCACTTGCAGAATTTACAAACAGAGTGTTTCCTAACTGCTCTATGAACAGAAAGGGTAAACTCTGTGAGTTGAACGCACACATCACAAAGGAGTTTCTGAGAATCATTCTGTCTAGTTTTTATATGAAGATATTTCCTTTTCTACCATTGACCTCAAAGCGGCTGAAATCTCCACTTGCAAATTCCACAAAAAGAGTGTTTCAAATCTGCTCTGTGTAAACAATCGTTCAACTGTGTGAGTTGAATACACACAACACAAGGAAGATTCTGAGAATTCTTCTGTCTAGCAGAATATGAAGAAATCCCGTTTCCCACGAAGGCCACAAGATGTCAGAATATCCACTTACAGACTTTACAAACAGAGTGTTTCCTAACTGCTCTATGAACAGAAAGGTTAAACTCTGTGAGTTGAACGAACACATCACAACGCAGTTTGTGGGAATGATTCTGTCTAGTTTTGAAACGAAGATATTTCCTTTTCTGCAATTGACCTTAAAGAGCTTGAAATCTACACTTGCAAATTGCACAAATAGAGTGTTTCAAATCTGCTCTGTCTAAGGGAACGTTCAACTCTGTGAGTTGAATGCAGACAACACAAGGAAGTTACTCGGAATTCTTCTGTCTAGGCTTACATGAAAAAAACCCGTTTCCAAGGAAGGCCTAAAAGAGGTCAAAATATCCACGTGCAGACTTTACAAACAGAGTGTTTCCTAACTGCTCTATGAAAAGAAAGGTTAAAATCTGTGAGTTGAACGCACTCATCACAAAGAAGTTTCTGAGAATCATTCTGTCTAGTTTTGAAACGAAGATATTTCTTTTTCTGCCTTTGGCCTCAAAGCGCTTGAAATCTCCACTTGCAAATTCCACAAAAAGAGTGTTTCAAATCTGCTCTGTGTAAATGAAAGTTCAACTCTGTGAGTTGAACACACACAACACAAGGAAGTTACTGGGAATTCTTCTGTCTAGCCTTATATGAAAAAAACCCGTTTCCAACGAAGGCCTCAAAGAGGTCTGAATATCCTCTTGCAGACTTTACAAACAGAGTGTTTCCTAACTGCTCTATGAAAAGAAAGGTTAAACTCTGTGAGTTGAACACACACTTCACAAAGGAGTTTCCGAGAATCATTCTGTCTAGTTTTTATACGAAGATATTTCCTTTTCTACCATTGACCTCAAAGCAGCTGAAATCTCCACCCTGCCAATTCCACAAAAAGAGTGTTTCAAGTCTACTCTGTGTAAAGGATCGTTGAACTCTGTGATTTGAAAACACACAACACAACGAAGTTTCTGAGAATTCTTCTTTCTAGCAGAATATGAAGAAATCCCGTTTCCAAGGAAAGCCTCAAGGATGTCTGAATATCCACTTGCAGACTTTACAAACAGAGTGTTTCCTAACTGCTCTATGAAAAGAAAGGTTAAACTCTGTGAGTTGAACGCACACATCACAAAGGAGGTTCTGAGAATCATTCTGTCTAGTATCTATAGGAAGATATTTCCTATTCTACCATTGACCTCAAATCGGCTGAAATCTCCACTTGCAAATTCCAGAAAAAGAGTGTTTCAAGTCTGCTCTGTGTAAAGGATCGTTCAACTCTGTGAGTTGAATACACACAACACAAGGAAGTTACTGAGAATTCTTCTGTCTAGTATTATAGGACGAAATCCTGTTTCCAACGAAGTCCTCAAAGAGGTCAGAATATCCACTTGCAGACTTGACAAACAGAGCGCTTACAAACGGCTCTATGAAAAGAAAGGTTAAACTCTGTGAGTTGAACGCACACATCACAATGCAGTTTGTGGGAATGATACTGTCTAGTTTTGAAACGAAGTTATTTCCTTTTCTGCCATTGACCTCAAAGCGCTTGAAATCTCCACTTGCAAATTGCACAAAAAGAGTGTTTCAAATCTGCTCTGTCTAAAGGAACGTTCAACTCTGTGAGTTGAATGCACACAACACAAAGAAGTTACTGGGAATTCTTCTGTCTAGCCTTACAGGAAAAAAACCCGTTTCCAACGAAGGCCTCTAAGTGGTCAAAATATCCACGTGCAGACTTTACAAACAGAGTGTTTCAAAACTGCTGAATGAAAAGAAAAGTCAAACTCTGAGAGTTGAACGCACACATCGCAGAGCAGTTTCTGAGAATGATTCTGTCTAGTTTTTATACGAAGATATTTCCTTTTCTGCCTTTGGCCCCAAAGCGCTTGAAATCTCCACTTGCAAATTCCACAAAAACAGTGTTGCAAATCTGCTCTCTATAAATGAAAGTTCAACTCTGTGAGTGGAATACACACAACACAAGGAAGTTACTGAGAATTCTTCTGTCTAGCATAATATGAAGAAATCCCGTTTCCAACGAAGGACCTCAAAGGGGTCTGAATATCCACTTGCAGACTTTATAAACAGAGTGTTTCCTAACTGCTCTATGAAAAGAAAGGTTAAACTCTGTGAGTTGAACACACACATCACAAAGGAGTTTCTGAGAATCATTCTGTCTAGTTTTGAAACGAAGATATTTCCTTTTCTGCATTTGGCCTCAAAGCGCTTGAAATCTCCACTTGCAAATTCCACAAAAAGAGTGTTACAAGTCTGCTCTGTGTAAAGGATCGTTCAACTCTGTGAGTTGAATACACACAACACAAGGAAGTTACTGAGAATTCTTCTGTCTAGCGGAATATGAAGAAATCCCGTTTCCAACGAAGGTCTCAAGGAGGTCTGAATATCCACTTGCAGACTTTACAAACAGAGTGTTTCCTAACTGCTCTATGAACAGAAAGGTTAAACTCTGTGAGTTGAACGCACACATCCCAAAAGAGTTTCTGAGAATCATTCTGTCTATTTTCTATAGGAAGATATATCCTATTCTACCATTGACCTCAAAGCGGGTGAAATCTCCACTTGCAAATTCCACAAAAAGAGTGTTTCAAGTCTCCTCTGTGTAAAGGATCGTTCAACTCTGTGAGTTGAATACACACAACACAAGGAAGTTACTGAGAATTCTTCTGTCTAGCAGAATATGAAGAAATCCCGTTTCCAACGAAGGCCTCAAAGAGGTCTGAATATCCACTGGCAGACTTTAAAAACAGAGTGTTTCCTAACTGCTCTATGAACAGAAAGGTTAAACTCTGTGAGTTGAACGAACACATCACAACGCAGTTTGTGGGAATGATTCTGTCTAGTTTTGAAACGAAGATATTTCCTTTTCTGCCATTGACCTTAAAGCGCTTGAAATCTACACTTGCAAATTGCACAAATAGAGTGTTTCAAACCTGCTCTGTCTAAGGGAACGTTCAACTCTGTGAGTTGAATGCACACAACACAAGGAAGTTACTGGGAATACTTCTGTCTAGCCTTACATGAAAAAAACCCGTTTCCAACGAAGGCCCCTAAGTGGTCAAAATTTCCACGTGCAGACTTTACAAACAGAGTGTTTCCAAACCGCTGAATGAAAAGAAAAGTTAAACTCTGAGAGTTGAACGCACACATCACGCAGCAGTTTCTGAGAATGATTCTGTCTAGTTTTTATACAAAGATATTTCCTTTTCTGCCTTTGGCCTCAAAGCGCTTGAAATCTCCATTTGCAAATTCCACAAAAAGAGTGTTTCAAATCTGCTCTGTGTAAATGAAAGTTCAACTCTGTGAGTTGAACACACACAACACAAGGAAGTTACTGGGAATTTCTTCTGTCTAGCAGAATATGAAGAAATCCCATTTCCAACGAAGGCCTCAAGGAGGTCTGAATATCCACTTGCAGACTTTACAAACAGAGTGTTTCCTAACTGCTCTAAGAAAAGAAAGGTTAAACTCTGTGAGTTGAACGCACACATCACAAAGGAGTTTCTGAGAATCATTCTGTCTAGTTTCTATAGGAAGATATTTCCTATCCTACCATTGACCTCAAAGCGGCTGAAATCTCCAATTGCAAATTCCACAAAAAGAGTGTTTCAAGTCTGCTCTGTGTAAAGTGTCGTTCAACTCTTTGAGTTGAATACACACAACACAAGGAAGTTACTGAGAATTCTTCTGTCTAGCAGAATATGAAGAAATCCCGTTTCCACCGAAGGCCTCAAGGAGGTCAGAATATCCACTTGCAGACTTTACAAACAGTGTGTTTCCTAACTGCTCTATGTAAACAAAGGTTAAACTCTGTGAGTTGAACGCACACATCACAAAGGAGTTTGTGAGAATCATTCTGTCTAGTTTCTATAGGAAGATATTTCCTATTCTACCATTGACCTCAAAGAGGCTGAAACCTCCACTTGCAAATTCCACTAAAAGAGTGTTTCAAGTCTGCTCTTTGTAAAGGATCGTTCAAATCTGTGAGGTGAATACACACAACACAAGGAAGTTACTGAGAATTCTTCTGTCTAGCAGAATATGAAGAAATCCCGTTACCAATAAGGCCACAAGATGTCAGAATATCAACTTACAGACTTTACAAACAGAGTGTTTCCTAACTGTTCTATGAAAAGAAAAGTTTAACTCTGTGAGTTGAACGAACACATCACAACGCAGTTTGTGGGAATGATTCTGTCTAGTTTTGAAACGAAGATATTTCCTTTTCTGCCATTGACCTCAAAGCGCTTGAAATCTACACTTGCAAATTGCACAAATAGAGTGTTTCAAATCTGGTCTGTCTAAGGGAACGTTCAACTCTGTGAGTTGAATGCACACAACACAAGGAAGTTGCTGGGAATTCTTCTGTCTAGCCTTACATGAAAAAAACCCGTTTCCAACGAAGGCCTCTAAGTGGTCAATATATCCACGTGCAGACTTTACAAACAGAGTGTTTCCAAACCGCTGAATGAAAAGAAAAGTTAAATTCTGAGAGTTGAACGCACACATCACGCAGCAGTTTCTGATAATGATTCTCTGTCTAGTTTTTATACGAAGATATTTCCTTTTCTGCCTTTGGCCCCAAAGCACTTGAAATCTCCAATTGCAAATTCCACAAAAACAGTGTTTCAAATCTGCTCTCTCTAAATGAAAGTTCAACTCTGTGAGTTGAATACACACAACACAAGGAAGTTACTGAGAACTCTTCTGTCTAGCCTTATATGAAAAAAACCCGTTTCCAACGAAGGCCTCAAAGAGGTCTGAATATCCACTTGTAGACTTTACAAACAGAGTGTTTCCTAACTGCTCTATGAAAAGAAAGGTTAAACTCTGTGAGTTAAACGCACAAATCACAAAGGAGTTTCTGAGAATCATTCTGTCTAGTTTCTATAGGAAGGTATTTCCTATTGTACCATTGACCTCAAAGCGGCTGAAATCTCCACTTGCAAATTCCACAAAAAGAGTGTTTCAAGACTGTTCTGTGTAAAGGATCATTCAACTCTGTGAGTTGAATACACACAACACAAGGAAGTTACTGAGAATTCTTCTGTCTAGCCTTACATGAAAAAAACCCGTTTCCAACGAAGGCCTCCAAGTGGTCAAGTTATCCACGTGCAGACTTTACAAACAGAGTGTTTCCAAACTGCTGAATGAAAAGAAAAGTTAAACTCTGAGAGTTGAACGCACACATCCCAGAGCAGTTTCTGAGAATGATTCCGTCTAGTTTTTATACGAAGATATTTCCTTTTCTGCCTTTGGCCCCAAAGTGCTTGAAATCTCCACTTGCAAATTCCACAAAAACAGGGTTTCAAATCTGCTCTCTCTAAATGAAAGTTCAACTCTGTCAGTTGAATACACACAACACAAGGAAGTTACTGAGAATTCTTCTGTCTAGCAGAATATGAAGAAAACCCGTTTCCAACGAAGGCCTCAAAGAGGTCTGAATATCCACTTGCAGACTTTACAAACAGAGTGTTTCCTAACTGCTCTATGAAAAGAAAAGTTAAACTCTGTGAGTTGAACGCACACATCACAAAGGAGTTTCTGAGAATCATTCTGTCTAGTTTCTGTAGGAAGATATTTCCTATTCTACCATTGAACTCAAAGCGGCTGAAATCTCCACTTGCAAATTCCACAAAAAGAGTGTTTCAAGTCTGCTCTGTGTAAAGGATCGTTCAACTCTGTGAGTTGAATACACACAACACAAGGAAAGTTACTGAGAATTCTTCTGTCTAGCAGAATATGAAGAAATCCCGTTTCCAACGAAGGCCACAAGGTGTCAGAATATCCACTTACAGACTTTACAAACAGAGTGTTTCCTAACTGCTCTATGAACAGAAAGGTTAAACTCTGTGTGTTGAACGCACACATCACAAAGGAGTTTATGAGAATCATTCTGTCTAGTTTCTATAGGAAGATATTTCCTATTCTACCATTGACCTCAAAGCGGCTGAAATCTCCACTTGCAAATTCCACAAAAAGAGTGTTTCAAGTCTGCTCTGTGTAAAGGATCGTTCAACTCTGTGAGTTGAATACACACAACACATGGAAGTTACAGAGAATTATTCTGTCTAGCAGAATATGAAGAAATCCCGTTTCCAACGAAGGCCACAAGATGTCAGAATATCCACTTACAGAATTGACAAACAGACTGTTTGCTAACTGCTCTATGAAAAGAAAGGTTAAACTCTGTGAGTTGAACAAACACATCACAACGCAGTTTGTGGGAATGATTCTGTCTAGTTTTGAAACGAAGATATTTCCTTTTCTGTCATTGACCTTAAAGCGCTAGAAATCTACACTTGCAAATTGCACAAATAGAGTGTTTCAAATCTGCTCTGTCTAAGGGAACGTTCAACTCTGTGAGTTGAATGCACACAACACAAGGAAGTTACTGGGAATTCTTCTGTCTAGCCTTACAGGAAAAAAACCCGTTTCCAACGAAGGCCTCTAAGTGGTCAAAATATCCACGTGCAGACTTTACAAACAGAGTGTTTCCAAACTGCTGAATGAAAAGAAAAGTTAAACTCTGAGAGTTGAACGCACACATCGCAGAGCAGTTTCTGAGAATGATTATCTGTCTAATTTTTATACGAAGATATTTCCTTTTCTGCATTTGGCCTCAAAGCGCTTGAAATCTCCATTTGCAAATTCCACAAAAAGAGTGTTTCAAATCTGCTCTGTGTAAATGAAAGTTCAACTCTGTGAGTTGAACACACACAACACAAGGAAGTTACTGGGAATTCTTCTGTTTAGCCTTATAAGTAAAAAACCCGTTTCCAACGAAGGCCTCAAAGAGGTCTGAATATCCACTTGCAGACTTTACAAACAGAGTGTTTCCTAACTGCTCTATGAAAAGAAAGGTTAAACTCTGTGAGTTGAACGCACACATCACAAAGGAGTTTCTGAGAATCATTCTGTCTAGTTTTTATACGAAGATATTTCCTTTTCTACCATTGACCTCAAAGCGGCTGAAATCTCCACTTGCAAATTACACAAAAAGAGTGTTTCAAGTCTGCTCTGTGTAAAGGATCGTTCAACTCTGTGAATTGAATACACACAACACAAGGAAGTTACTGAGAATTCTTCTGTCTAGCATAATATGAAGAAATCCTGTTTCCAACGAAGGCCTCAAGGAGGTCTGAATATCCACTTGCAGACTTTACAAACAGAGTGTTTCCTAACTGCTCTATGAAAAGAAAGGTTAAACTCTGTGAGTTGAACGCACACATCACAAAGGAGTTTCTGAGAATCATTCTGTCTAGTTTCTATAGGAAGATATTTCCTATTCTACCATTGACCTCAAAGCGGCTGAAATCTCCACTTGCAAGTTCCACAAAAAGAGCGTTTCAAGTCTGCTCTGTGTAAACGATCGTTCAACTCTGTGAGTTGAATACACACAACACAAGGCAGTTACTGAGAATTCTTCTGTCTAGCAGAATATGAAGAAATCCCGTTTCCAACGAAGGCCACAAGATGTCAGAATATCCACTTACAGAATTGACAAACAGACTGTTTCCTAACTGCTCTATGAAAAGAAAGGTTAAACTCTGTGAGTTGAACGAACGCATCACAACGCAGTTTGTGGGAATGATTCTGTCTAGTTTTGAAACGAAGATATTTCCTTTTCTGCCATTGACCTTAAAGCGCTTGAAATCTACACTTGCAAATTGCACAAATAGAGTGTTTCAAATCTGTTCTGTCTAAGGGAACGTTCATCTCTGTGAGTGGAATGCACACAACACAAGGAAGTTACTGGGAATTCTTCTGTCTAGCCTTACATGAAAAACACCCGTTTCCAACGAAGGCCTCTAAGTGGTCAAATTATGCACGTGCAGACTTTACAAACAGAGTGTTTCCAAACTGCTGAATGAAAAGAAAAGTTAAACTCTGAGAGTTGAACGCACACATCGCAGAGCAGTTTCTGAGAATGATTCTGTCTAGTTTTTATACGAAGATATTTCCTTTTCTGCCTTTGGCCTCAAAGCGCTTGAAATCTCCATTTGCAAATTTCACAAAAAGAGTGTCTCAAATCTGCTCTGTGTAAATGAAAGTTCAACTCTGTGAGTTGAACACACACAACACAAGGAAGTTACTGGGAATTCTTCTGTCTAGCAGAATATGAAGAAATCCCGTTTCCAACGAAGGCCTCAAGGAGGTCTGAATATCCACTTGTAGACTTTACACACAGAGTGTTTCCTAACTGCTCTATGAAAAGAAAGGTTGAACTCTGTGAGTTGAACGCACACATCACAAAGTAGTTTCTGAGAATCTTTCTGTCTAGTTTCTATAGGAAGATATTTCCTATTCTACTATTGACCACAAAGCGGCTGAAATCTCCACTTGCAAATTCCACAAAAAGAGTGTTTCAAGTCTGCTCTGTGTAAAGGATCGTTCAACTCTGTGAGTTGAATACACACAACACAAGGAAGTTACTGAGAATTCTTCTGTCTAACATAGTATGAAGAAATCCCGTTTCCAACGAAGGCCTCAAAGAGGTCTGAATATCCACTTGCAGAGTTTACAAACAGAGTGTTTTCTAACTGCTCTATGAATAGAAAGGTTAAACTCTGTGAGTTGAACGCACACATCACAAAGAAGTTTCTGAGAATCATTCTGTCTAGTTTTTATACGAAGATATTTCCTTTTCTACCATTGACCTCAAAGCGGCTGAAATCTCCATTTGCAAATTCCACCAAAAGAGTGTTTCAAATCTGCTCTGTGTAAAGGATCCTTCAACTCTGTGAGTTGAATACACACAACACAAGGAAGATTCTGAGAATTCTTCTGTCTAGCAGAATATGAAGAAATCCTGTTTCCAACGAAGGCCACAAGATGTCAGAATATCCACTTACATAATTTACAAACAGACTGTTTCCTAACTGCTCTATGAAAAGAAAGGTTAAACTCTGTGAGTTGAACGAACACATCACAACGCAGTTTGTGGGAATGATTCTGTCTAGTTTTGAAACGAAGATATTTCCTTTTCTGCCATTGACCTTAAAGCGCTTGAAATCTACACTTGCAAATTGCACAAATAGTGTGTTTCAAATCTGCTCTGTCTAAGGGAACGTTCAACTCTGTGAGTTGAATGCACACAACACAAGGAAGTTACTGGGAATTCTTCTGTCTAGCCTTACAGGAAAAAAACCCGTTTCCAACGAAGGCCTCTAAGTGGTCAAAATATCCACGTGCAGACTTTACAAACAGAGTGTTTCCACACTGCTGAATGAAAAGAAAAGTTAAACTCTGAGAGTTGAACGCACACATCGCAGAGCAGTTTCTGAAAATGATTCTGTCTAGTTTTTATACGAAGATATTTCCTTTTCTGCCTTTGGCCTCAAAGCGCTTGAAATCTCCACTTGCAAATTCCACAAAAAGAGTGTTTCAAATCTGCTCTGTGTAAATCAAAGTTCAACTCTGTGAGTTGAACACACACAACACAAGGAAGTTACTGGGAATTCCTCTTTCTAGCAGAATATGAAGAAATCCCGTTTCCAACGAAAGCCTCAAGGATGTCTCAATATCCACTTGCAGACTTTACAAACAGAGTGTCTCCTAACTGCTCTATGAAAAGAAAGGTTAAACTCTGTGAGTTGAACGCACACATCACAAAGGAGTTTCTGAGAATCATTCTGTCTAGTTTTTATACGAAGATATTTCCTTTTCTACCATTGACCAAAAAGCGGCTGAAATCTCCACTTGCAAATTCCACAAAAAGAGTGTTTCAAATCTGCTCTGTGTAAACCATCGTTCAACTCTGTGAGTTGAATACACACAACACAAGGAAGATTCTGAGAATTCTTCTGTCTAGCATAATATGAAGAAATCCCGTTTCCAACGAAGGCCACAAAGAGGTCTGAATATCCACTTGCAGACTTTACAAACAGAATGTTTCCTAACTGCTCTATGAAAAGAAAAGTTAAACTCTGTGAGTTGAACGCACACATCACAAAGGAGTTTCTGAGAATCATTCTGTCTAGTTTTTATACGAAGATATTTCCTTTTCTACCTTTGACCTCAAAGCGGCTGAAATCTCCACTTTCAAATTCCACAAAAAGAGTGTTTCAACTCTGCTCTGTGTAAACCATCGTTCAACTCTGTGAGTTGAATACACACAACACAAGGGAAGATTCTGAGAATTCTTCTGTCTAGCAGAATATGAAGAAATCCCGTTTCCAACGAAGGCCACAAGATGTCAGAATATCCACTTAACAGACTTTACAAACAGAGTGTTTCCTAACTGCTCTATGAACAGAAAGGTTAAACTCTGTGAGTTGAACGAACACATCACAACGCAGTTTGTCGGAATGATTCTGTCTAGTTTTTATAGGAAGATATTTCCTTTTCTAACTTTGACTTCAAAGCGGCTGAAATCTCCACTTGCAAATTCCACAAAAAGAGTGTTACAAGTCTGTTCTGTGTAAAGGATCGTTCAACTCTGTGAGTTGAATACACACAACACAAGGAAGTTACTGAGAATTCTTCTGTCTAGCCTTACATGAAAAAAACCCGTTTCCAAAGAAGGCCTCTAAGTTGTCAAATTATCCACGTGCAGACTTTACAAACAGAGTGTTTCCAAACTGCTGAATGAAAAGAAAAGTTAAACTCTGAGAGTTGAACGCACACATCACAGAGCAGTTTCTGAGAATGATTCTGTCTAGTTTTGAAAGGAAGATATTTCCTTTTCTGCCTTTGGCCTCAAAGCGCTTGAAATCTCCACTTGCAAATTCCACAAAAAGAGTGTTTCAAATCTGCTCTGTGTAAATGGAAGTTCAACTACTGTGAGTTGAACACACACAACACAAGGAAGTTACTGGGAATTCTTCTGTCTAGCATAATATGAAGAAATCCCGTTTCCAACGAAGGCCACAAAGGAGGTCTGAATATCCACTTGCAGACTTTACAAACAGAGTGTTTCCTAACTGGTCTATGAAAAGAAAAGTTAAACTCTGTGAGTTGAACGCACACATCACAAAGGAGTTTCTGAGAATCATTCTGTCTAGTCTTTATACGATGATATTTCCTTTTCTACCATTGACCTCAAAGCGGCTGAAATCTCCACTTGCAAATTCCACAAAAAGAGTGTTTCAAGTCTGCTCTGTGTAAAGGATCGTTCAACTCTGTGAGTTGAATACACACAACACAAGGAAGTTAGTGAGAATTCTTCTGTCTAGCAGAATATGAAGAAATCCCGTTTCCAAGGAAGGCCTCAAGGAGGTCGGAATATCCACTTGCAGACTTTACAAACAGAGTGTTTCCTAACTGCTCTATGAAAAGAAAGGTGAAACTCTGTGAGTTGAATGCACACATCACAAAGGAGTTTATGAGAATCATTCTGTTTAGTTTTTCTACGAAGATATTACCTTTTCTACTACTGACCTCAAAGCGGCTGAAATCTCCAATTGCAAATTCTACAAATAGAGTGTTTCAAGTCTGCTCTGTGTAAAGGATCATTCAACTCTGTAAGTTGAATACACACAACACAAGGAAGTTACTGAGAATTCTTCTGTCTAGCAGAATATGAAGAAATCCCGTTTCCAACGAAGGCCACAAGATGTCAGAATATCCACTTACAGAATTTACAAACAGACTGTTTCCTAACTGCTCTATGAAAAGAAAGTTTAAAGTCTGTGAGTTGAACGAACACATCACAACGCAGTTTGTGGGAATGATTCTGTCTAGTTTTGAAACGAAGATATTTCCTTTTCTGCCATTGACCTTAAAGCGCTTGAAATCTCCATTTGCCAATTGCACAAAAAGAGTGTTTCAAATCTGCTGTGTCTAAGGGAACTTTCAACTCTGTGAGTTGAATGTACACAACACAAGGAAAGTTACTGGGAATTCTTCTGTCTAGCCTTACAGGAAAAAAACCCATTTCCAACGAAGGCCTCTAAGTGGTCAAAATATCCACGTGCAGACTTTACAAACAGAGTGTTTCCAAACTGCTGAATGAAAAGAAAAGTTAAACTCTGAGAGTTGAACGCACACATCGCAGAGTAGTTTCTGAGAATGATTCTGTCTAGTTTTTATACGAAGATATTTCCTTTTCTGCCTTTGGCCTCAAAGCGCTTGAAACCTCCATTTGCAAATTCCACAAAAAGAGTGTTTCAAATCTGCTCTGTGTAAATGAAAGTTCAACTCTGTGAGTTGAACACACACAATACAAGGAAGTTACTGGGAATTCTTCTGTCTAGCCTTATATGAAAAAAACCCGTTTCCAACGAAGGCCTCAAAGAGGTCTGAATATCCACTTGCAGACTTTACAAACAGAGTGATTCCTAACTGCTCTATGAAAAGAAAGGTTAAACTCTGTGAGTTGAACAAACACATCTCAAAGGAGTTTCTGAGAAACATTCTGTGTATTTTCTATAGGAAGATATTTCCTATTCTACCATTGACCTCAAAGCGGCAGAAATCTCCACTTGCAAATTCCACAAAAAGAGTGTTTCAAGTCTGCTCTGTGTAAAGGATCGTTCAACTCCGTGAGTTGAATACACACAACACAAAGAAGTTACTGAGAATTCTTCTGTCTAGCCCTATATGAAAAAAACCCGTTTCCAACGAAGGCCTCAAAGAGGTCTGAATATCCACTTGCAGACTTTACAAACAGAGTGTTTCCTAACTGCTCTATGAAAAGAAAGGTTAAACTCTGTGAGTTGAACACACACATCACAAAGGAGTTTCTGAGAATCATTCTGTCTAGTCTTTATAAGAAGATATTTCCTTTTCTACCATTGACCTCAAAGCGTCTGAAATCTCCACTTGCAAATTCCACAAAAAGAGGGTTTCAAGTCTGCTCTGTGTAAAGGATCGTTCAACTCTGTGAGTTGAATACACACAACACAAGGAAGTTACTGAGAATTCTTCTGTCTAGCAGAATATGAAGAAATCCCGTTTCCAACGAAGGCCTCAAGGAGGTCTGAATATCCACTTGCAGACTTTACAAACAGAGTGTTTCCTAACTGTTCTATGAACAGAAAGGTTAAACTCTGTGAGTTGAACGAACACATCACTACGCAGTTTGTGGGAATGATTCTGTCTAGTTTTGAAACGAAGATATTTCCTTTTCTGCCATTGACCTCAAAGCGCTTGAAATCTCCACTTGCCAGTTGCACAAAAAGAGTGTTTCAAATCTGCTCTGTCTAAGGGAACGTTCAACTCTGTGAGTTGAATGTACACTACACAAGGAAGTTACTGGGAATTCTTCTGTCTAGCCTTACAAGAAAAAAACCCGTTTCCAACGAAGGCCTCTAAATGGTCAAAATATCCACGTGCAGACTTTACAAACAGAGTGTTTCCAAACTGCTGAATGAAAAGAAAAGTTAAACTCTGAGAGTTGAACGCCCACATCGCAGAGCAGTTTCTGAGAATGATTCTGTCTAGTTTTTATACGAAGGTATTTCCTTTTCTGCCTTTGGCCTCAAAGCGCTTGAAACCTCCACTTGCAAATTCCACAAAAAGAGTGTTTCAAATCTGCTCTGTGTAAATGAAAGTTCAACTCTGTGAGTTGAACACACACAACACAAGGAAGTTACTGGGAATTCTTCTGTCTAGCAGAATATGAAGAAATCCCGTTTCCAATGAAGGCCTCAAGGAGGTCTGAATATCCACTTGCAGACTTTACAAACAGAGTGTTTCCTATCTGCTCTATGAAAAGAAAGGTTAAACTCTGTGAGTTGAACGCACACATCACAAAGGAGTTTCTGAGAATCACTCTGTGTAGTTTTTATAGGAAGATATTTCCTTTTCTACCTTTGACTTCAAAGCGGCTGAAATCTCCACTTGCAAATTCCACAAAAAGAGTGTTACAAGTCTGCTCTGTGTAAAGAATCGTTCAACTCTGTGAGTTGAATACACACAACACAAGGAAGTTACTGAGAATTCTTCTGTCTAGCCTTACATGAAAAAAACCCGTTTCCAACGAAGGCCTCTAAGTGGTCAAAATATCCACGTGCAGACTTTACAAACAGAGTGTTTCCAAACTGCTGAATGAAAAGAAAAGTTAAACTCTGAGAGCTGAACGCACACATCGCAGAGCAGTTTCTGAGAATGATTCTGTCTAGTTTTTATACGAAGATATTTCCTTTTCTGCCTTTGGCCCCAAAGCGCTTGAAATCTCCACTTGCAAATTCCACAAAAACAGTTTTTCAAATCTGCTCTCTCTAAATGAAAGTTCAACTCTGTCAGTTGAATACACACAACACAAGGAAGTTACTGAGAATTCTTCTGTCTAGCAGAATATGAAGAAATCCCGTTTCCAACGAAGGCCTCAAAGAGGTCTGAATATCCACTTGCAGACTTTACAAACAGAGTGTTTCCTAACTGCTCTATGAAAAGAAAGGTTAAACTCTGTGAGTTGAACGCATACATCACAAAGGAGTTTCTGAGAATCGTTCTGTCTAGTTTTTATACGAAGATATTTCCTTTTCTATCATTGACCTCAAAGTGTCTGAAATCTCCACTTGCAAATTCCACAAAAAGAGTGTTTCTAATCTGCTCTGTGTAAAGGATCGTTCAACTCCGTGAGTTGAAAGCACACAACACAAGGAAGTTACTGAGAATTCTTCTGTCTATCCTTACATGAAAAAAACCCGTTTCCAAAGAAGGCCTCTAAGTGGTCAAAATATCCACGTGCAGAGTTTACAAACAGAGTGTTTCCAAACTGCTGAATGAAAAGAAAAGTTAAACTCTGAGAGTTGAACGCACACATCACAGAGCAGTTTCTGAGAGTGATTCTGTCTAGTTTGTATGCGAAGATATTTACTTTTCTGCCTTTGGCCCCAAAGCGCTTGAAATCTCCACTTGCAAATTCCACAAAAATAGTGTTTCAAATCTGCTCTCTCTAAATGAAAGTTCAACTGTGTCAGATGAATACACACAACACAAGGAAGTTACTGAGAATTCTTCTGTCTAGCATAATATGAAGAAATCCCGTTTCCAACGAAGGCCGCAAGGAGGTCTGAATATCCACTTGCAGACTTTACAAACAGAGTGTTTCCCAACTGCTCTATGAAAAGAAAGGTTAAACTGTGTGAGTTGAACGCACACATCACAAAGGAGTTTCTGAGAATCATTCTGTCTAGTTTCTATAGGAAGATATTTCCTATTCTACCATTGACCTCAAAGCGGCTGAAATCTCCACTTGCAAATTCCGCAAAAAGAGTGTTTCAAGTCTGCTCTGTGTAAAGGATCGTTCAACTCCTGTGAGTTGAATACACACAACACAAGGAAGTTACTGAGAATTCTTCTGTCTAGCCTTATATGAAAAAATCCCGTTTCCAACGAAGGCCTCAAAGAGGTCTGAATATCCACTTGCAGACTTTACAAACAGAGTGTTTCCTAACTGCTCTATGAAAAGAAAGGTTAAACTCTGTGAGTTGAATGCACACATCACAAAGGAGTTTCTGAGAATCACTCTGTCTAGTTTTTATACGAAGATATTTCGTTTTCTACCATTGACCCCAAAGCGGCTGAAATCACCACTTGCCAATTGCACAAAAAGAGTGTTTCAAATGTGTTCTCTCTAAGGGAACGTTCAACTCTGTGAGTTGAATGTACACAACACAAGGAAGTTACTGGGAATTCTTCTGTCTAGCCTTACATGAAAAAAACCCGTTTCCAAGGAAGGCCTCTAAGTGGTCAAATTATCCACGTGCAGACTTTACAAACAGAGTGTTTCCAAACTGCTGAATGATAAGAAAAGTTAAACTCTGAGAGTTGAACGCACACATCGCAGAGCAGTTTCTGAGAATGATTTCTGTCTAGTTTTTATACGAAGATATTTCCTTTTCTGCCTTTGGCCCCAAAGCTCTTGAAATCTCCACTAGCAAATTCCACAAAAACAGTGTTTCAAATCTGCTCTCTCTAAATGAATGTTCAACTCTGTCAGTTGAATACACACAACACAAGGAAGTTACTGAGAATTCTTCTGTCTAGCAGAACATGAAGAAATCCCGTTTCCAACGAAAGCCTCAAGGATGTCTGAATATCCACTTGCAGACTTTACAAACAGAGTGTTTCCCAACTGCTCTAGGAAAAGAAAGGTTGAACTCTGTGAGTTGAACGCACACATCACAAAGGAGTTTTTGAGAATCATTCTGTCTAGTTTCTATAGGAACATATTTCCTATTCTACCATTGACCTCAAAGCGGCTGAAATCTCCACTTGCAAATTCCACAACAAGAGTGTTTCAAGACTGCTCTGTGTAAAGGATCGTTCAACTCTGTGAGTTGAATACACACAACACAAGGAAGTTACTGAGAATTCTTCTGTCTAGCCTTACAGGAAAAAAACCCGTTTGCAACGAAGGCCTCTAAGTGGTCAAAATATCCACGTGCAGACTTTACAAACAGAGTGTTTCCAAACTGCTGAATGAAAAGAAATGTTAAACTCTGAGAGTTGAACGCACACATCGCAGAGCAGTTTCTGAGAATGATTCTGTCTAGTTTTTATACGAAGATATTTCCTTTTCTGCCTTTGGCCCCAAAGCGCTTGAAATCTCCACTTGCAAATTCCACAAAAACAGTGTTTCAAATCTGCTCTCTCTAAATGAAACTTCAACTCTGTCAGTTGAATACACACAACAGAAGGAAGTTACTGAGAATTCTTCTGTCTAGCAGAATAGGAAGAAATCCCGTTTCCAACGAAAGCCTCAAGGAGGTCTGAATATCCACTTGCAGACTTTACAAACAGAGTGTTTCCTAACTGCTCTATGAAAAGAAACGTTAAACTCTGTGAGTTGAACGCACACATCACAAAGGAGTTTCTGAGAATCATTCTGTCTAGTTTCTATAGGAAGATATTTCCTATTCTACCATTGAACTCAAAGCGGCTGAAATCTCCACTTGCAAATTCCACAAAAAGAGTGTTTCAAGTCTGCTCTGTGTAAAGGATCGTTCAACTCTGTGAGTTGAATACACACAACACAAGGAAGTTACTGAGAATTCCTCTGTCTAGCCTTACAGGAAAAAAACCCGTTTCCAACGAAGGCCTCTAAGTGGTCAACATATCCACCTTCAGACTTTACAAACAGAGTGTTTCCACACTGCTGAATGAAAAGAAAAGTTAAACTCTGAGAGTTGAACGCACACATCGCAGAGCAGTTTCTGAGAATGATTCTGTCTAGTTTCTATAGGAAGATATTTCCTATTCTACCATTGACCTCAAAGCGGCTGAAATCTCCACTTGCAAATTCAACAAAAAGTGTGTTTCAAGTCTACTCTGTGTAAAGCATCGTTGAACTCTGTGAGTTGAACACACACAACACAAGGAAGTTACTGAGAATTCTTCTGTCTAGCAGAATATGAAGAAATCCCGTTTCCAACGAAGGCCTCAAAGAGCTCTGAATATCCACTTGCAGACTTTACAAACAGAGTGTTTCCTAACTGCTCTATGAAAAGAAAAGTTAAACTCTGTTTGTTGAACGCACACATCACAAAGGAGTTTCTGAGAATCATTCTGTCTAGTCTTTATACGAAGATATTTCCTTTTCTACCATTGACCTCAAAGCGGCTGAAATCTCCACTTGCAAATTCCACAAAAAGTGTGTTTCAAGTCTGCTCTCTGTAAAGGATCGTTCAACTCTGTGAGTTGAATACACACAACACAAGGAAGTTACTGAGAATTCTTCTGTCTAGCACAGTATGAAGAAATCCCGTTTCCAACGAAGGCCTCAAAGAGGTCTGAATATCCACTTGCAGACTTTACAAACAGAGTGTTTCCTAACTGCTCTATGAAAAGAAAGGTTAAACTCTGTGACTTGAACGCACACGTCACAATGAAGTTTCTGAGAATCATTCTGTCTAGTTTTTATACGAAGATATTTCCTTTTCTACCATTGACCTCAAAGCGGCTGAAATCACCACTTGCCAATTGCACAAAAAGAGTGTTTCAAATCTGCTCTGTCTAAGGGAACGTTCAACTCTGTGAGTTGAATGTACACAACAGAAGGAAGTTCCTGGGAATACTTCTCTCTAGCCTTACATGAAAAAAACCCGTTTCCAACGAAGGCCTCTAAGTGGTCAAATTATCCACGTGCAGACTTTACAAACAGAGTGTTTCCAAACTGCTGAATGAAAAGCAAAGTTAAACTCTGAGAGTTGAACGCACACATCGCAGAGCAGTTTCTGAGAATGATTCTGTCTAGTTTTGAAATGAAGATATTTCCTTTTCTGCCTTTGGCCTCAAAGCGCTTGAAATCTCCACTTGCAAATTCCACAAAAAGAGTGTTTCAAATCTGCTCTGTGTAAATGAAAGTTCAACTCTGTGAGTTGAACACACACAACACAAGGAAGTTACTGGGAATTCTTCTGTCTAGCAGAATATGAAGAAATCCCGTTTCCAACGAAGGCCTCAAAGAGGTCTGAATATCCACTTGCAGACTTTATAACCAGAGTGTTTCCTAACTGCTCTATTAAAAGAAAGGTTAAACTCTGTGAGTTGAACGCACACATCCCAAAGGAGTTTCTGAGAATCATTCTGTCTAGTTTTTATAGGAAGATATTTCCTTTTCTACCTTTGACTTCAAAGCTGCTGAAATCTCCACTTGCGAATTCCACAAAAAGAGTGTTACAAGTCTGCTCTGTGTAAAGGATCGTTCAAATCTGTGAGTTGAATACACACAACACAAGGAAGTTACTGAGAATTCTTCTGTCTAGCAGAATATGAAGAAATCCCGTTTCAAACGAAGGACTCAAAGAGGTCTGAATATCCACTTGCAGACTTTACAAACAGAGTGTTTCCTAACTGCTCTATGAAAAGAAAGGTTAAACTCTGTGAGTTGAACGCACACATCACAAAGGAGTTTATGAGAATCATTCTGTCTAGTTTCTATAGGAAGATATTTCCTATTCTACCATTGACCTCAAAGCGGATGAAATCTCCACTTGCAAATTCCACAAAAAGAGTGTTTCAAGTCTGCTCTGTGTAAAGGATCGTTCAACTGTGTGAGTTGAATACACACAACACAAGGAAGTTACTGAGAATTCTTCTGTCTAGCAGAATATGAAGAAATCCCGTTTCCAACGAAGGCCTCAAGGAGGTCTGAATATCCACTTGCAGACTGTATAAACAGAGTGTTTCCTAACTGCTCTATGAACAGAAAGGTTAAACTCTGTGAGTTGAACGAACACATCACAACGCAGTTTGTGGGAATGATTCTGTCTAGTTTTGAATCGAAGATATTTCCTTTTCTGCCATTGACCTTAATGCGCTTGAAATCTACACTTGCAAATTGCACAAATAGAGTGTTTCAAACCTGCTCTGTCCTAGGGAACGTTCAACTCTGTGAGTTGAATGCACACAACACAAGGAAGTTACTGGGAATACTTCTGTCTAGCCTTACATGAAAAAAACCCGTTTCCAACGAAGGCCTCTAAGTGGTCAAATTATCCACGTGCAGACTTTAAAAAAAGAGTGTTTCCAAACTGCTGAATGAAAAGAAAAGTTAAACTCTGAGAGTTGAACGCACACATCGCAGAGCAGTTTCTGAGAATGATTCTGTCTAGTTTTTATACAAAGATATTTCCTTTTCTGCCTTTGGCCCCAAAGCGCTTGAAATCTCCACTTGCAAATTCCACAAAAACAGTGTTTCAAATCAGCTCTCTCTAAATGAAAGTTCAACTCTGTCAGTTGAATACACACAACACAAGGAAGTTACTGAGAATTCTTCTGTCTAGCAGAATATAAAGAAATCCCGTTTCCAACGAAGACCTCAAGGAGGTCTGAATATCCACTTGCAGACTTTACAAACAGAGTGTTTCCTAACTGCTCTATGAACAGAAAGGTTAAACTCTGTGAGTTGAACGCACACATCACAAAGGAGTTTCTGAGAATCATTCTGTCTAGTTTCTATAGGAAGATATTTCCTATTCTACCATTGACCTCAAAGCGGCTGAAATCTCCACTTGCAAATTCCACAAAAAGAGTGTTTCAAGTCTGCTCTCTGTAAAGGATCGTTCAACTCTGACAGTTGAATACACACAACACAAGGAAGTTACTGAGAATTATTCTGTCTAGCAGAATATGAAGAAATCCTGTTTCCAACGAAGGCCACAAGATGTCAGAATATCCACTTACAGACTTTACAAACAGAGTGTTTCCTCACTGCTCTATGAACAGAAAGGTTAAACTCTGTGAGTTGAACGAACACATCACAACTCAGTTTGTGGGAATGATTCTGTCTAGTTTTGAAACGAAGATATTCCCTTTTCTGCCATTGACCTTTAAAGCGCTTGAAATCTACACTTGCAAATTGCACAAATAGAGTGTTTCAAATCTGCTCTGTCTAAGGGAACGTTCAACTCTGTGAGTTGAATGCACACAACACATGGAATTTACTGGGAATTCTTCTGTCTAGCCTTACAGGAAAAAAACCAGTTTCCAACGAAGGCCTCTAAGTGGTCAAAATATCCACGTGCAGACTTTACAAACAGAGTGATTCCAAACTGCTGAATGAAAAGAAAAGTTAAACTCTGAGGGTTGAACGCACACATCGCAGAGCAGTTTCTGAGAATGATTCTGTCTAGTTTTTATACGAAGGATATTTCCTTTTCTGCCTTTGGCCTCAAAGCGCTTGAAATCTCCACTTGCAAATTCCACAAAAAGAGTGTTTCCAATCTGCTCTGTGTAAATGAAAGTTCAACTCACAGAGTTGAACACACACAACACAAGGAAGTTACTGGGAATTCTTCTGTATAGCAGAATATGAAGAAATACCGTTTCCAACGAAGGCCTCAAGGAGGTCTGAATATCCACTTGCAGACTTTACAAACAGAGTGTTTCCTAACTGCTCTATGAAAAGAAAGGTTAAACTCTGTGAGTTGAACGCAGACATCACAAAGGAGTTTCTGAGAATCACTCTGTCTAGTTTCTATAGGAAGATATTTCCTATTCTACCATTCAACCCAAAGCGGCTGAAATCTCCACTTGCAAATTCCACAAAAAGAGTGTTTCAAGTCTGCTCTGTGTAAAGGATCGTTCAACTCTGCGAGTTGAATACACACAACACAAGGAAGTTACTGAGAATTCTTCTGTCTAGCATAATATGAAGAAATCCCGTTTCCAACGAAGGCCTCAAAGGGGTCTGAATATCCACTTGCAGACTTTATAAACAGAGTGTTTACTAACTGCTCTATGAAAAGAAAGGTTAAACTCTGTGAGTTGAAGGCACACATCACAAAGGAGTTTATGAGAATCATTCTGTCTAGTTTCTATACGAAGATATTTCATTTTCTACCATTAACCTCAAAGAGGCTGAAATCTCCGCTTGCAAATTCCACAAAAAGAGTGTTTTAAGTCTGCCCTGTGTAAAGTATCGTTCAACTCTGTGAGTTGAATGCACACAACACAAGGAAGTTACTGAGAATTCTTCTGTCTAGCAGAATATGAAGAAATCCCGTTTCCAACGAAGGCCACAAGATGTCAGAATATCCACTTACAGAATTTACAAACAGACTGTTTCCTAACTGCTCTATGAAAAGAAAGGTTAAACTCTGTGAGATGAAGGAACACATCACAACGCAGTTTTTGGGAATGATTCTGTCTAGTTTTTATAAGAAGATATTTCCTTTTCTACCATTGACCTCAAAGCGGCTGAAATCACCACTTGCCAATTGCACAAAAAGAGTGTTTCAAATCTGCTCTGTCTAAGGGAACGTTCAACTCTGTGAGTTGAATGTACACAACACAAGGAAGTTCCTGGGAATTCTTCTGTCTAGCCTTACAAGAAAAAAACCCGTTTCCAACGAAGGCCTCTAAGTGGTCAAGTTATCCACGTGCAGACTTTACAAACAGAGTGTTTCCAAACTGCTGAATGAAAAGAAAAGTTAAACTCTGAGAGTTGAACTCACACATCGCAGAGCAGTTTCTGAGAATGATTCTGTCTAGTTTTTATACGAAGATATTTCCTTTTCTGCCTTTGGAATCAAAGCGCTTGAAATCTCCACTTGCAAATTCCACAAAAAGAGTGTTTCAAATCTCCTCTGTCTAAATGAAAGTTCAACTCTGTCAGTTGAATACACACAACACAAGGAAGTTACTGAGAATTCTTCTGTCTAGCATAGTATCAAGAAATCCCGTTTCCAACGAAGGCCTCAAAGAGGTCTGAATATCCACTTGCAGACTTTATAAACAGAGTGTTTCCTAACTGCTCTATGAAAAGAAAGGTTAAACTCTGTGAGTTGAACGCACACATCACAAAGGAGTTTCTGAGAATCATTCTGTCTAGTTTTTATACGAAGATATTTCCTATTCTACCACTGACCTCAAAGCGGCTGAAATCTCCACTTGCAAATTCCACAAAAAGAGTGTTTCAAGTCTGCTCTTTGTAAAGGATCATTCAACTCTGTGAGTTGAATACACACGACACAAGGAAGTTACTGAGAATTCTTCTGTCTAGCCTTATATGAAAAAAACCCGTTTCCAACGAAGGCCTCAAAGAGGGCTGAATATGCACTTGCAGACTTTACAAGCAGAGTGTTTCCTAACTGCTCTATGAAAAGAAAGGTTAAACTCTGTGAGTTGAACGCACACATCACAAAGGAGTTTCTGAGAATCATTCTGTCTAGTTTTTATACGAAGATATTTCCTTTTCTGCCTTTGGCCTCAAAGCGGCTGAAATCTCCACTTGCAAATTCCACAAAACGAGTGATTCAAGTCTGCTCTGTGTAAAGCATCGTTCAACTCTGTGAGTTGAATACACACAACACCAAGAAGTTACTGAGAATTCTTCTGTCTAGCAGAATATGAAGAAATCCCGTTTCCAACGAAGGCCACAAGATGTCAGAATATCCACTTACAGAATTTACAAACAGACTGTTTCCTAACTGCTCTATGAAAAGAAAGGTTAAACTCTGTGAGTTGAACGAACACATGACAACGCAGTTTGTGGGAATGATTCTGTCTAGTTTTGAAACGAAGATATTTCCTTTTCTGCCATTGACCTTAAAGCGCTTGAAATCTACACTTTCAAATTACACAAATAGAATGTTTCAAATCTGCTCTGTCTAAGGGAACGTTCAACTCTGTGAGTTGAATGCACACAACACAAGGAAGTTACTGGGAATTCTTCTGTCTAGCCTTACAGGAAAAAATCCCGTTTCCAACGAAGGCCTCTAAGTGGTCAAAATATCCACGTGCAGACTTTACCAACAGAGTGTTTCCAAACTGCTGAATGAAAAGAAAAGTTAAACTCTGAGAGTTGAACGCACACATCGCAGAGCAGTTTCTGAGAATGATTCTGTCTAGTTTTTATACGAAGATATTTCCTTTTCTGCCTTTGGCTCCAAAGCGCTTGAAATCTCCACTTGCAAATTCCACAAAAACAGTGTTTCAAATCTGCTCTCTCTAAATGAAAGTTCAACTCTGTCAGTTGAATACACACAACACAAGGAAGTTACTGAGAATTCTTCTGTCTAGCCTTTTATGAAAAAAACCCGTTTCCAACGAAGGCCTCAAAGAGGTCTGAATATCCACTTGCAGACTTTACAAACAGAGTGTTTCCTAACTGCTCTATGAAAAGAAAGGTTAAACTCTGTGAGTTGAACGCACACATCACAATGAAGTTTCTGAGAATCATTCTGTCTAGTCTTTATACGAAGATATTTCCTTTTCTACCATTGACCTCAAAGCGGCTGAAATCTCCACTTGCCAATTCCACAAAAAGAGTGTTTCAAGTCTGCTCTGTGTAAAGGATCGTTCAACTCTGTGAGTTGAATACACACAACACAAGGAAGTTACTGAGAATTCTTCTGTCTAGCAGAACATGAAGAAATCCCGTTTCCAACGAAGGCCTCAAGGAGGTCTGAATATCCACTTGCAGACTTTACAAACAGAGTGTTTCCTAACTGCTCTATGAACAGAAAGGTTAAACTCTGTGAGTTGAACGCACACATCACAAAGGAGTTTCTGAGAATCATTCTGTCTAGTTTTAATACGAAGATATTTCCCTTTCTACCATTGACCTCAAAGCGGCTGAAATCACCACTTGCCAATTGCACAAAAAGAGTGTTTCAAATCTGCTCTGTCTAAGGGAACGTTCAACTCTGTGAGTTGAATGTACACAACACAAGGAAGTTACTAGGAATTCTTCTGTCTAGCCTTACATGAAAAAAACCCGTTTCCAACGAAGACCTCTAAGTGGTCAAAATATCCACGTGCAGACTTTACAAACAGAGTGTTTCCAAACCGCTGAATGAAAAGGAAAGTTAAACTCTGAGGGTTGAACACACACATCACGCAGCAGTTTCTGAGAATGATTCTGTATAGTTTTTATACGAAGATATTTCCTTTTCTGCCTTTGGCCTCAAAGCGCTTGAAATCTCCACTTGCAAATTCCACAAAAAGAGTGTTTCAAATCTGCTCTGTGTAAATCAAAGTTCAACTCTGTGAATTGAACACACACAACACAAGGAAGTTACTGGGAATTCTTCTGTCTAGCATAATATGAAGAAATCCCGTTTCCAACGAAGGCCTCAAAGGGTTCTGAATATCCACTTGCAGACTTTATAAACAGAGTGTTTACTAACTGCTCTATGAAAAGAAAGGTTAAACTCTGTGAGTTGAACACACACATCACAAAGGAGTTTCTGAGAATCATTCTGTCTAGTTTTTCTACGAAGATATTTCCTTTTCTACTATTGACCTCAAAGCGGCTGAAATCTCCACTTGCAAATTCCACAAAAAGAGAGTTTCAAGTCTGCTCTGTGTAAAGGATCGTTCAACTCTGTGAGTTGAATACACACAACACAAGGAAGTTACTGAGAATTATTCTGTCTAGCAGAATAGGAAGAAATCCCGTTTCCAACGAAGGCCTCAAAGAGGTCTGAATATCCACTTGCAGACTTTACAAACAGAGTGTTTCCTAACTGCTGTATGAAAAGAAAGGTTAAACTCTGTGAGTTGAACGCACACATCACAAAGGAGTTTCTGAGAATCGTTCTGTCTAGTTTCTATAGGAAGATATTTCCTATTCTACCATTGACCTCAAAGCGGCTGAAATCTCCTCTTGCAAATTCCACAAAAAGAATGTTTCTAGTCTGCTCTGTGTAAAGGATCGTTCAACTCTGTGAGTTGAATACACACAACACAAGGAAGTTACTGAGAATTCTTCTGTCTAGCATAGTATGAAGAAATCCCGTTTCCAACGAAGGCCTCAAACAGGTCTGAATATCCACTTGCAGAGTTTACAAACAGAGTGTTTCCTAACTGCTCTATGAAAAGAAAGGTTGAACTCTGTGAGTTGAACGCACACATCACAAAGAAGTTTCTGAGAATCATTCTGTCTAGCTTCTATAGGAAGATATTTCCTATTCTACCATTGAACTCAAAGCGGCTGAAATCTCCACTTGCAAATTCCACAAAAAGAGTGTTTCAAGTCTGCTCTGTGTAAAGGATCGTTCAACTCTGTGAGTTGAATACACACAACACAAGGAAGTTTCTGAGAATTCTTCTGTCTAGCCTTAAATGAAAAAAACCCGTTTCCAACGAAGGCCTCAAAGAAGTCCAAATATCCACGTGCAGACATTACAAACAGAGTGTTTCCTAACTGCTCTATGAAAAGAAAGGTTAAACTCTGTGAGTTGAACACACACATCACAAAGGAGTTTCTGAGAATCATTCTGTCTAGTTTTTATACGAAGATATTCCCTTTTCTACCATTGACCTCAAAGCGGCTGAAATCTCCACTTGCAAATTACACAAAAAGAGTGTTTCAGGTCTACTCTGTGTAAAGCATCGTTCAACTCTGTGAGTTGAAAACACACAACACAAGGAAGTTTCTGAGAATTCTTCTGTCTAGCAGAGTATGAAGAAATCCCGTTTCCAACGAAGGCCTGAAAAAGGTCTGAATATCTACTTGCAGACTTTACAAACAGAGTGTTTCCTAACTGCTCTATGGAAAGAAAGGTTAAACTTTGTGAGATGAACGCACACATCACAAAGGAGTTTCTGAGAATCCTTCTGTCTAGTTTCTATAGGAAGATATTTCCTATTCTACCATTGACCTCAAAGCGGCTGAAATCTCCACTTGGAAATTCCACAACAAGAGTGTTTCAAGTCTGCTCTGTGTAAAGGATCGTTTAACTCTGTGAGTTGAATACACACACTACAAGGAAGTTACTGAGAATTCTTCTGTCCATCATAATATGAAGAAATCCCATTTCCAACGAAGCCCTGAAGGAGGTCAGAATATCCACTTGCAGACTTTTCAAACAGAGTGTTTCCTAACTGCTCTATGAAAAGAAAGGTTAAACTCTGTGAGCTGAACGCACACATCACAAAGGAGTTTCTGAGAATCATTCTGTCTAGTTTTTCTACGAAGATATTTCCTTTTCTACTACTGACCTCAAAGCGGCTGAAACCTCCACTTGCAAATTCCACAAAAAGAGTGTTTCAAGTCTGCTCTGTGTAAAGGATCGTCCAACTCTGTGAGTTGAATACACACAACACAAGGAAGTTACTGAGAATTCTTCTGTCTAGCAGAATAGGAAGAAATCCCGTTTCCAATGAAGGCCTCAAAGAGGTCTGAATATCCACTTGCAGACTTTACAAACAGAGTGTTTCCTAACTGCTCTATGAAAAGAAAGGTTAAACTCTGTGAGTTGAACGCACACATCACAAAGGAGTTTCTGAGAATCGTTCTGTCTAGTTTTTATACGAAGCATATTTCCTTTTCTACCATTGACCTCAAAGCGGCTGAAATCTCCACTTGCCAATTCCACAAAAAGAGTGTTTCAAGTCTACTCTGTGTAATGGATCGTTGAACTCTGTGAGTTGAAAACACACAACACAAGGAAGTTTCTGAGAATTCTTCTGTCTAGCAGAATATGAAGAAATCCCGTTTCCAACGAAAGCCACAAAGATGTCTGAATATCCACTTGCAGACTTTACAAACAGAGTGTTTCCTAACTGCTCTATGAAAAGAAAGGTTAAACTCTGTGAGCTGAACGCACACAGCACAAAGTAGTTTCTGAGAATCATTCTGTCTAGTTTTTATACGAAGATATTTCCTTTTCTACCATTGACCTCAAAGCGGCTGAAATTTCCATTTGCAAATTCCACAAAAAGAGTGTTTCAAGTCTGCCCTGTGTAAAGGATCGTTCAACTCTGTGAGTTGAATACACACAACACAAGGAAGTTTCTGAGAATTCTTCTGTCTAGCCTTATATGAAAAAAACCCGTTTCCAACGAAGGCCTCAAAGAGGTCTGAATATCCACTTGCAGACTTCACAAACAGAGTGTTTCCTAACTGCTCTATGAAAAGAAAGGTTAAACTCTGTGAGTTGAACGCACACATCACAAAGGAGTTTCTGAGAATCATTCTGTCTAGTTTCTATAGGAAGATATTTCCTATCCTACCATTGACCTCAAAGCGGCTGAAATCTCCACTTGCAAATTCCAGAAAAAGAGTGTTTCAAGTCTGCTCTGTGTAAAGGATCGTTGAAATCTGTGAGTTGAATACACACAACACAATGAAGTTACTGAGAATTCTTCTCTCTAGCAGAATATGAAGAAATCCCATTTCCAACGAAGGCCTCAAAGAGGTCTGAATATCCACTTGCAGACTTTACAAACAGAGTGTTTCCTAACTGCTCTATGAAAAGAAAGGTTAAACTCTGTGAGTTGAATGCACACATCACAAAGGAGTTTCTGAGAATCATTCTGTCTAGTTTTTATACGAAGATATTTCCTTTTCTACCATTGACCTCAACGCGGCTGAAATCTCCACTTGCAAATTCCACAAAAAGAGTGTTTCAATTCTGCTCTGTGTAAAGGATCGTTCAACTCTGTGAGTTGAATACACACAACACAAGGAAGTTACTGAGAATTCTTCTGTCTAGCAGAATATGAAGAAATACCGTTTCCAACGAAGGCCTCAAAGGGGTTTGAATATCCACTTGCAGACTTTACAAACAGAGTGTTTCCTAACTGCTCTATGAAAAGAAAGGTTAAACTCTGTGATTTGAACGCACACATCACAAAGGAGTTTCTGAGAATCATTCTGTCTAGTTTCTATAGGAAGATATTACCTATTCTACCGTTGACCACAAAGCGGCTGAAATCTCCACTTGAAAATTCCACAACAAGAGTGATTCAAGTCTGTTCTGTGTAAAGGATCATTCAACTCTGTGAGTTGAATACACACAACACAAGGAAGTTACTGAGAATTCTTCTGTCTAGCAGAATATGAAGAAATACCGTTTCCAACGAAGGCCTCAAAGAGGTCTGAATATCCACTTGCAGACTTTACAAACAGAGTGTTTCCTAACTGCTCTATGAAGAGAAAGGTTAAACTCTGTGAGTTGAACGCACACATCACAAAGGAGTTTCTGAGAATCATTCTGTCTAGTTTTTATACGAAGATATTTCCTATTCTACCATTGACCTCAAAGCGGCTGAAATCTCCACTTGCAAATTCCACAAAAAGAGTGTTTCAAGTCTGCTCTGTGTAAAGGATCGTTCAACTCTGTGAGTTGAAAACACACAACACAAGGAAGTTTCTGAGAATTCTTCTGTCTAGCATAATATGAAGAAATCCCGTTTCCAACGAAGGCCTCAAAGGGATCTGAATATCCACATGCAGAATTTATAAACAGAGTGTTTACTAACTGCTCTATGAAAAGAAAGGTTAAACTCTGTGAGTTGAACACACCCATCACAAAGGAGTTTCTGAGAATCATTCTGTCTAGTTTCTATAGGAAGATATTTCCTATTCTACCATTGACCTCAAAGGGGCTGAAATCTCCAATTGCAAATTCCACAAAAAGAGTGTTTCAAGTCTGCTCTGTGTAAAGGATCGTTCAACTCTGTGAGTTGAATACACACAACACAAGGAAGTTACTGAGAATTCTTCTTTCTAGCATAATATGAAGAAATCCCGTTTCCAACGAAGGCCTCAAAGAGGTCTGAATATCCACTTGCAGACTTTACAAACAGAGTGTTTCCTAACTGCTCTATGAAAAGAAAGGTTAAACTCTGTGAGTTGAATGCACACATCACAAAAGAGTTTCTGAGAATCATTCTGTCTAGTCTTTATATGAAGATAGTTTCCTTTTCTACCATTGACCTCAAAGCGGCTGAAATCTCCACTTGCAAATTCCACAAAAAGAGTGTTTGAAGTCTGCTCTGTGTAAAGGATCGTTCAACTCTGTGAGTTGAATACACACAACACAAGGAAGTTACTGAGAATTCTTCTTTCTAGCAGAATATGAAGAAATCCCGTTTCCAACGAAAGCCCCAAGGATGTCTGAATATCCACTTGCAGACTTTACAAACAGAGTGTTTCCTAACTGCTCTATGAAAAGAAAGGATAAACTCTGTGAGTTGAACACACACATCACAAAGGAGTTTCTGAGAATCATTCTGTCTAGTCTTTATACGAAGATATTTCCTTTTCTACCATTGACCTCAAAGCGGCTGAAATCTCCACTTGCAAATCCCACAAAAAGAGTGTTTCAAGTCTGCTCTGTGTAAAGGATCGTTCAACTCTGTGAGTTGAATACACACAACACAAGGAAGTTACTGAGAATTCTTCTGTCTAGCAGAATATGAAGAAACCCCGTTTCCAACGAAGGCCTCAAAGAGGTCTGAATATCCACTTGCAGACTTTACAAACAGAGTGTTTCCTAACTGCTCTAAGAAAAGAAAACTTCAACTCTGTGAGTTGAACGCACACATCACAAAGGAGTTTCTGAGAATCATTCTGTCTAGTTTTTATACGAAGATATTTCCTTTTCTACCATTGACCTCAACGCGGCTGAAATCTCCACTTGCAAATTCCACAAAAACAGTGTTCCAAGTCTGCTCTGTGTAAAGGATCGTTCAACTCTGTGAGTTGAATACACACAACACAAGGAAGTTACTGAGAATTCTTCTGTCTAGCAGAATATGAAGAAATCCCGTTTCCAACGAAGGCCTCAAAGAGGTCTCAATATCCACTTGCAGACTTTACAAACAGAGTGTTTCCTAACTACTCTATGAAAAGAAAGGTTAAACTCTGTGAGTTGAACGCACACATCACAAAGGAGTTTCTGAGAAACATTCTGTCTAGTCTTTATACGAAGATAGTTACCTTTTCTACCATTGACCTCAAAGCGGCTGAAATCTCCACTTGCAAATTCCACAAAAAGAGTGTTTCAAGTCTGCTCTGTGTAAAGGATCGTTCAAGTCTGTGAGTTGAATACACACAACACAAGGAAGTTACTGAGAATTCTTCTGTCTAGCATAATATGAAGAAATCCCATTTCCAACGAAGTCCTCAAAGGTGTCTGAATATCCACTTGCAGACTTTATAAACAGAGTGTTTACTAACTGCTCTATGAAAAGAAAGGTTAAACTGCTGTGAGTTGAACACACACATCACAAAGGATTTTCTGAGAATCATTCTGTCTAGTTTTTATACGAAGATATTTCCTATTCTACCATTGATCTCAAAGCGGCTGAAATCTCCACTTGCAAATTCCACAAGAAGAGTGTTCCAAGTATGCTCTGTGTAAAGGATCGTTCAACTCTGTGGGTTGAATACACACAACACAAGGAAGTTACTGAGAATTCTTCTGTCTAGCATAATATGAAGAAATCCCGTTTCCAACGAAGGCCTCAAAGAGGTCTGAATATCCACTTGCAGACATTATAAACAGAGTGTTTCCTAACTGCTCTATGAAAAGAAAGGTTAAACTCTGTGAGTTGAACGCACACATCACAAAGGAGTTTCTGAGAATCATTCTGTCTAGTTTCTATAGGAAGATATTTCCTATTCTACCATTGACCTCAAAGCGGCTGAAATCTCCACTTGCAAATTCCACAAAAAGAGTGTTTCAAGTCTGCTCTGTGTAAAGGATCGTTCAACTGTGTGAGTTGAATACACACAACACAAGGAAGTTTCTGAGAATTCTTCTGTCTAGCAGAATATGAAGAAATCCCGTTTCCAACGAAGGCCTCAAAGAGGTCTGAATATCCACTTGCAGAGTTTACGAACAGAGTGTTTCCCAACTGCTCTATGAAAAGAAAGGTTAAACTCTGTGAGTTGAACGCACACATCACAAAGGAGTTTCTGAGAATCATTCTGTCTAGTTTTTATACGAAGATATTTCCTTTTCTACCATTGACCTCAAAGCGGCTGAAATCTCCACTTGCAAATTCCACAAAGAGAGTGTTTCAATTCTGCTCTGTGTAAAGGGTCGTTCAACTCTGTGAGTTGAAAACACACAACACAAGGAAGTTTCTGAGAATTCTTCTGTCTAGCAGAATATGAAGAAATCCCGCTTCCAACGAAGGCCTCAAAGAAGTCTGAATATCCACTTGCAGACTTTACAAACAGAGTGTTTCCCAACTACTCTATGAAAAGAAAGGTTGAACTATGTGAGTTGAACGCACACATCACAAAGGAGTTTCTGAGAATCATTCTGTCTAGTTTCTATAGGAAGATATTTCCTATTCTACCATTGACCTCAAAGCGGCTGAAATCTCCACTTGCAAATTCCACAAAAAGAGTTTTTCAAGTCTGCTCTCTGTAAAGGATCGTTCAACTCTGTGAGTTGAATACACACAACACAAGGAAGTTACTGAGAATTCTTCTGTCTAGCAGAATATGAAGAAATCCCGTTTCCAACGAAGGCCTCAAAGAGGTCTGAATATCCACTTGAAGACTTTACAAACAGAGTGTTTCCTAACTGCCCTAATAAAAGAAAAGTTAAACTCTGTGAGTTGAACGCACACATCACAAAGGAGTTTCTGAGAATCATTCTGTCTAGTTTCTATAGGAAGATATTTCCTATTCTACTATTGACCTCAAAGCGGCTGAAATCTCCACTTGCAAATTCCACAAAAAGAGTGTTTCAAGTCTGCTCTTTGTAAAGGATCGTTCAGCTCTGTGATTTGAAAACACGCAACACAAGGAAGTTACTGAGAATTCTTCTGTCTAGCAGAATATGAAGAAATCCCGTTTCCAACGAAGGCCTAATAGAGGTCTGAATATCCAATTGCAGACTTTACAAACAGAGTGTTTCCTAACTGCTCTATGAAAAGAAAGGTTAAACTCTGTGAGTTGAACGCACGCATCACAAAGGAGTTTCTGAGAATCATTCTGTCTAGTCTTTATACGAAGATATTTCCATTTCTACCATTGACCTCAAAGCGGCTGAAATCTCCACTTGCAAATTCCACAAAAAGAGTGTTTCAAGTCTGCTCTGTGTAAAGGATCGTTCAACTCTGTGAGTTGAATACACACAACACAAGGAAGTTACTGAGAATTCTTCTGTCTAGCAGAATATGAAGAAAGCCCGTTTCCAACGAAGGCTGCAAGATTTCAGAATATCCACTTACAGAATTTACAAACAGAGTGTTTCCTAACTGCTCTATGAAAAGAAAGGTTAAATTCTGTGAGTTGAACGAACACATCAAAACGCAGTTTGTGGGAATGATTCTGTCTAGTTTTGAAACGAAGATATTTCCTTTTCTGTCATTGACCTTAAAGCGCTTGAAATCTACACTTGCAAATTGCACAAATAGAGTGTTTCAAATCTGCTCTGTCTAAGGGAACGTTCATCTCTGTGAGTTGAATGCACACAACACAAGGAAGTTACTGGGAATTCTTCTGTCTAGCCTTACATGAAAAAAACCCGTTTCCAACGAAGGCCTCTAAGTGTTCAAAATATGCACGTGCAGACTTTACAAAGAGAGAGTTTCCAAACTGCTGAATGAAAAGAAAAGTTAAACTCTGAGAGTTGAACGCACAAATCACAGAGCAGTTTCTCAGAATGATTCTGTCTAGTTTTTATACGAAGATATTTCCTTTTCTGCCTTTGGCCTCAAAGCGCTTGAAATCTCCACTTGCAAATTCCACAAAAAGAGTGTTTCAAATCTGTTCTGTGTAAATCAAAGTTCAACTCTGTGAGTTGAACACACACAACACAAGGAAGTTACTGGGAATTCTTCTGTCTAGCAGAATATGAAGAAATCCCGTTTCCAACGAAGGCTTCAAAGAGGTCTGAATATCCACTTGCAGACTTTACAAACAGAGTGTTTCCTAACTGCTCTATGAAAAGAAAAGTTAAACTCTGTGAGTTGAACGCACACATCACAAAGGAGTTTCTGAGAATCATTCTGTCTAGTTTCTATAGGAAGATATTTCCTATTCTACCATTGACCTCAAAGCGGCTAAAATCTCCACTTGCAAATTCCACAAAAAGAGTGCTTCAAGTCTGCTCTGTGTAAAGGATCGTTGAACTCTGAGAGTTGAATACACACAACACAAGGAAGTTACTGAGAATTCTTCTGTCTAGCAGAACATGAAGAAATCCCGCTTCCAACGAAGGCCTCAAGGAGGACTGAATATCCACTTGCAGACTTTACAAACAGAGTGTTTCCTAACTGCTCTATGAAAAGAAAGGTTAAACTCTGTGAGTTGAACGCACACATCACAAAGAAGTTTCTGAGAATCATTCTGTCTAGTCTTTATACGAAGATATTTACTTTTCTACCATTGACTTCAAAGCGGCTGAAATCTCCACTTGCAAATTCCAAAAAAAGAGTGTTTCAAGTCTGCTCTGTGTAAAGGATCATTCAACTCTGTGAGTTGAATAAACACAACACAAGGAAGTTACTGAGAATTCTTCTGTCTAGCATAATATGAAGAAATCCCGTTTCCAACGAAGGCCTCAAAGAGGTCTGAATATCCACTTGCAGACTTTACAAACAGAGTGTTTCCTAACTGCTCTATGAAAAGAAAGGTTAAACTCTGAGTTGAACGCACACATCACAAAGGAGTTTCTGAGAATCATTCTGTCTAGTTTCTATAAGAACATATTTCCTATTCTACCATTGACCTCAAAGCGGCTGAAATCTCCACTTGCAAATTCGACAAAAAGAGTGTTTCAAGCCTGCTCTCTGTAAAGGATCCTTCAACTCTGTGAGTTAAATACACACAACACAAGGAAGTTACTGAGAATTATTCTGTCTAGCATAATATGAAGAAATCCCGTTTCCAACGAAGGCCTCAAAGAGGTCTGAATATACACTTGCAGACTTTACAAACAGAGTGTTTCGTAACTGCTCTATGAGAAGAAAAGTTAAACTTTGTTAGTTGAACGCACACATCACAAAAGATTTTCTGAGAATCATTCTGTCTAGTTTCTATAGGAAGGTATTTCCTATTCTACCATTGACCCCAAAGCGGCTGAAATCTCCACTTGCAAATTCCACAAAAAGAGTGTTTCAAGACTGTTCTGTGTAAAGGATCATTCAACTCTGTGAGTTGAATACACACAACACAAGGAAGTTACTGAGAAATCTTCTGTCTAGCAGAATATGAAGAAATCCCGTTTAAAACGAAGGCCACAAGATTTCAGAATATCCACTTACAGACTTTACAAACAGAGTGTTTCCTAACTGCTCTATGAACAGAAAGGTTAAACTCTGTGAGTTGAACGAACACATCACAACGCAGTTTGTGGGAATGATTCTGTCTAGTTTTGAAACGAAGATATTTCCTTTTCTGCCGTTGACCTTAACGCGCTTGAAATCTACACTTGCAAATTGCACAAATAGAGTGTTTCAAATCTGCTCTGTCTAAGGGAACGTTCAACTCTGTGAGTTGAATGCACACAACACAAGGAAGTTACTGGGAATTCTTCTGTCTAGCCTTACATGAAAAAAAACCGTTTCCAACGAAGGCCTCTAAGCGGTCAAAATATCCACGTGCAGACTTTACAAACAGAGTGTTTCCACACTGCTGAATGAAAAGAAAAGTTTAACTCTGAGAGTTGAACGCACACATCGCAGAGCAGTTTCTGAGAATGATTCTGTCTAGTTTTTATACGAAGATATTTCCTTTTCTGCCTTTGGCGCCAAAGCGCTTGAAATCTCCAGTTGCAAATTCCACAAAAACAGTGTTTCAAATCTGCTCTCTCTAAAAGAAAGTTCAACTCTGTCAGTTGAATACACACAACACAGGGAAGTTACTGAGAATTCTTCTGTCTAGCATAGTATGAAGAAATCCCGTTTCCAACGAAGGCCTCAAAGAGGTCTGATTATCCACTTGCAGACTTTACAAAAAGAGTGTTTCCTAACTGCTCTATGAAAAGAAAGGTTAACCTCTGTGAGTTGAATGCACACATCATAAAGGAGTTTCTGAGAATCATTCTGTCTAGTTTTTCTACGAAGATATTTCCTTTTCTACTATTGACCTCAAAGCGGCTGAAATCTGCACTTGAAAATTCCACAAAAAGAGTGTTTCAAGTCTGCTCTGTGTAAAGGATCGTTCAACTCTGCGAGTTCAATACACACAACACAAGGAAGTTACTGAGAATTCTTCTGTCTAGCAGAATATGAAGAAATCCCGTTTCCAACGAAGGTCTCAAGGAGGTCTGAATATCCACTTGCAGACTTTACAAACAGAGTGTTTCCTAACTGCTCTATGAAAAGAAAGGTTAAACTCTGTGAGTTGAACGCACACATCACAAAGGAGTTTATGAGAATCATTCTGTCTTGTTTCTATACGAAGATTTTTCCTTTTCTACCATTGACCTCAAAGCGGCTGAAATCTCCACTTGCACATTCCACAAAAAGAGTGTGTCAAGTCTGCTCTGTGTAAAGGATCGTTCAATTCTGTGAGTTGAATACACACAACAGAAGGAAGTTACTGAGAATTCTTCTGTCTAGCCTTATATGAAAAAAACCCGTTTCCAACGAAGGCCTCAAACAGGTCTGAATATCCACTTGCAGACTTTACAAACAGAGTGTTTCCTAACTGCTCTATGAAAAGAAAGGTTAAACTCTGTGAGTTGAACGCACACATCACAAAGGAGTTTCTGAGAATCTTTCTGTCTAGTTTCTTTAGGAAGATATTTCCTATTCTACCATTGAGCTCAAAGCGGCTGAAATCTCCACTTGCAAATCCCACAAAAAGAGTTTTTCAAGTCTGCTCTCTGTAAAGGATCGTTCAACTCTGTGAGTTGAATACACACAACACAAGGAAGTTACTGAGAATTATTCTGTCTAGCAGAATATGAAGAAATCCCGTTTCCAAGGAAGGCCTCAAAGAGGTCTGAATATCCACATGCAGACTTTACAAACAGAGTGTTTCCTAACTGCTCTATGAAAAGAAAGGTTAAACTACTGTGAGTTGAACGCACACATCACAAAGGAGTTTATGAGAATCATTCTGTCTAGTCTTTATACGAAGATATTTACTTTTCTACCATTGACTTCAAAGCGGCTGATATCTCCACTTGCAAATTCCACAAAAAGAGTGTTTCAAGTCTGCTCTGTGTAAAGGATCATTCAACTCTGTGAGTTGAATAAACACAACACAAGGAAGTTACTGAGAATTATTCTGTCTAGCATAATATGAAGAAATCCCGTTTCCAACGAAGGCCTCAAAGAGGTCTGAATATCCACTTGCAGACTTTACAAACAGAGTGTTTCCTAACTGCTCTATGAGAAGAAAAGTAAAACTCTGTGAGTTGAACGCACACATCACAAAAGATTTTCTGAGAATCATTCTTTCTAGTTTTTCTACGAAGATATTTCCTTTTCGACTATTGACCTCAAAGCGGCTGAAATCTCCACTTGCAAATTCCACAAAAAGAGTGTTTCAAGTCTGCTCTCTGTAAAGGATCGTTCAACTCTGTGACTTGAATACACACAACACAAGGAATTTACTGAGAATTATTCTGTCTAGCAGAATATGAAGAAATCCCGTTTCCAACGAAGGCCACAAGATGTCAGAATATCCACTTATAGACTTTACAAACAGAGTGTTTCCTAACTGCTCTATGAAAAGAAAAGTTAAACTCTGTGAGTTAAACGCACACATCACAAAGGAGTTTATGAGAATCATTCTGTCTAGTTTTGAAACGAAGATATTTCCTTTTCTGCCGTTGACCTTAAAGATCTTGAAATCTACACTTGCAAATTGCACAAATAGAGTGTTTCAAATCTGCTCTGTCTAAGGGAACGTTCAACTCTGTGAGTTGAATGCACACAACACAAGGAAGTTACTGGGAATTCTTCTGTCTAGCCTTACATGAAAAAAACCCGTTTCCAACGAAGGTCTCTCGGTGGTCAAATTATCCACGTGCAGACTTTACAAACAGAGTGTTTCCAAACTGCTGAATGAAAAGAAAAGTTAAACTCTGAGAGTTGAACGCACACATCGCAGAGCAGTTTCTGAGAATGATTCTGTCTAGTTTTTCTACGAAGATATTTCCTTTTCTGCCTTTGGCCCCAAAGAGCTTGAAATCTCCACTTGCAAATTCCACAAAAACAGTGTTTCAAATCTGCTCTCTCTAAATGAAAGTTCAACTCTGTCAGTTGAATACACACAACACAAGGAAGTTACTGAGAATTCTTCTGTCTAGCAGAATATGAAGAAATCCCGTTTCCAACGAAGGCCACAAAGAGGTCTGAATATCCACTTGCAGACTTTACAAACAGAATGTTTCCTAACTGCTCTATGAAAAGAAAAGTTAAACTCTGTGAGTTGAACGCACACATCACAAAGGAGTTTCTGAGAATCATTCTGTCTAGTTTTTCTACGAAGATATTTCCTTTTCTACTATTGACCTCAAAGCGGCTGAAATCTCCACTTGCAAATTCCACAAAAGGAGTGTTTCAAGTCTGCTCTGTGTAAAGGATCGTTCAACTCTGTGAGTTGAATACACACAACACAAGGAAGTTACTGAGAATTCTTCTGTCTAGCAGAATATGAAGAAATCCCGTTTCCAACGAAGGCCTCAAAGAGGTCTGAATATCCACTTGCAGACTTTACAAACAGAGTGTTTCCTAACTGCTCTATGAAAAGTAAGGTTAAACTCTGTGAGTTGAACGCACACATCACAAAGGAGTTTCTGAGAATCATTCTGTCTAGTTTTCATACGAAGATATTTCCTTTTCTGCCATTGACCTCAAAGCGGCTGAAATCTCCACTTGCAAATTCCACAAAAAGAGTGTTTCAAGTCTGCTCTGTGTAAAGGATCGTTCAACTCTGTGAGTTGAATACACACAACACAAGGAAGATTCTGAGAATTCTTCTGTCTACCATAGTATGAAGAAATCCCGTTTCCAACGAAGGCCTCAAGGAGGTCTGAATATCCACTTGCAGAGTTTAGAAACAGAGTGTTTCCTAACTGCTCTATGAAAAGAAAGGTTAAACTCTGTGAGTTGAACGCACACATCACAAAGAAGTTTCTGAGAATCATTCTGTCTAGTTTTTATACGAAGATATTTCCTTTTCTACCATTGACCTCAAAGCGGCTGAAATCTCCAATTGCAAATTCCACAAAAAGAGTGTTTCAAGTCTACTCTGTGTAAAGCATCGTTCAACTCCGTGAGTTGAAAACACAAAACACAAGGAAGTTTCTGAGAATTCTTCTGTCTAGCAGAATATGATGAAATCCCGTTTCCAACGAAAGCCTCAAAGATGTCTGAATATCCACTTGCAGACTTTACAAACAGAGTGTTTCCTAACTGCTCTATGAAAAGAAAGGTTAAACTCTGTGAGTTGAACGCACACATCACAAAGGAGTTTCTGACAATCATTCTGTCTAGTTTTTATACGAAGAGATTTCCTTTTCTACCATTGACCTCAATGCGGCTGAAATCTCCACTTGCAAATTCCACAAAAAGAGTGTTTCAAGTCCGCTCTGTGTAAAGGATCGTTCAACTCTGTGAGTTGAATACACACAACACAAGGAAGTTACTGAGAATTCTTCTGTCTAGCAGAATATGAAGAAATCCCGTTTCCAACGAAGGCCTCAAAGAGGTCTGAATATCCACTTGCAGACTTTACAAACAGAGTGTTTCCTAACTGCTCTATGAAAAGAAAGGCTAAACTCTGTGAGTTGAACGCACACATCACAAAGGAGTTTCTGAGAATCATTCTGTCTAGTTTCTATAGGAAGATATTTCCTTTTCTACCGTTGACCTCAAAGCGGCTGAATTCTCCACTTGCAAATTCCACAACAAGAGTGTTTCAAGTCTGTTCTGTGTAAAGGATCATTGAACTCTGTGAGTTGAATACACACAACACAAGGAAGTTACTGAGAATTCTTCTGTCTAGCATAATATGAGGAAATCCCGTTTCCAACGAAGGCCTCAAAGAGGTCTGAATATCCACTTGCAGACTTTACAAACAGAGTGTTTCCTAACTGCTCTATGAAAAGAAAGGTTAAACTCTGTGAGTTGAACGCACACATCACAAAGGAGTTTCTGAGAATCATTCTGTCTAGTTTTTATACGAAGATATTTCCTTTTCTACCATTGACCTCAACGCGGCTGAAATCTCCACTTGCAAATTCCACAAAAAGAGTGTTTCAAGTCCGCTCTGTGTAAAGGGTCTTTCAACTCTGTGAGTTGAATACACACAACACAAGGAAGATTCTGAGAATTCTTCTGTCTAGCAGAATATGAAGAAATCCCGTTTCCAACGAAGGCCTCAAAGAGGTCTGAATATCCACTTGCAGACTTTACAAACAGAGTGTTTCCTAACTGCTCTATGAAAAGAAAGGTTAAACTCTGTGAGCTGAACGCACACAGCACAAAGGAGTTTCTGAGAATCATTCTGTCTACTTTCTATAGGAAGATATTTCCTATTCTACCATTGACCTCAAAGCGGATGAAATCTCCACTTGCAAATTCCACAAAAGAAGTGTTTCAAGTCTGCTCTGTGTAAAGGATCGTTCAACTCTGTGAGTTGAAAACACACAACACAAGGAAGTTTCTGAGAATTCTTCTGTCTAGCCTTATATGAAAAAAACCCGTTTCCAACGAAGGCCTCAAAGAGGTCTGAATATCCACTTGCAGACATTACAAACAGAGTGTTTCCTAACTGCTCTAAGAAAAGAAAGGTTAAACTCTGTGAGTTGAACGTACACATCACAAAGGAGTTTCTGAGAATCATTCTGTCTAGTTTTTATACGAAGATATTTCCTTTTCTACCATTGACCTCAAAGCGGCTGAAATCTCCACTTGCAAATTCAACAAAAAAAGTGTTTCTAATCAGCTCTGTGTAAAGGATCGTTGAACTCTGTGAGTTGAATGCACACTACACAAGGAAGTTACTGAGAATTCTTCTGTCTAGCAGAATATGAAGAAATCCCGTTTCCAACGAAAGCCTCAAAGAGGTCTGAATATCCCCTTGCAGACTTTACAAACAGAGTGTTTCCTAACTGCTCTATGAAAATAAAGGTTAAACTCTGTGAGTTGAACGCACATATCACAAAGGAGTTTCTGAGAATCATTCTGTCTACTCTTTATACGAACATAGTTTCCTTTTCTACCTTTGACCTCAAAGCGGCTGAAATCTCCACTTGCAAATTCCACAAAAAGAGTGTTTCAAGTCTGCTCTGTGTAAAGGATCGTTCAACTCTGTGAGTTGAATACACACAACACAAGGAAAGTTACTGAGAATTCTTCTGTCTAGCTGAACATGAAGAAATCCCGCTTCCAACGAAGGCCTCAAGGAGGTCTGAATATCCACTTGCAGACTTTACAAACAGAGTGTTTCCTAACTGCTCTATGAAAAGAAAGGTTAAACTCTGTGAGTTGAACGCACACATAACAAAGGAGTTTCTGAGAATCATTCTGTCTAGTTTTTATAGGAAGTTATTTCCTTTTCTACCTTTGACTTCAAAGTGGCTGAAATCTCCACTTGCAAATTCCACAAAAAGAGTGTTACAAGTCTGCTCTGTGTAAAGGATCGTTCAACTCTGTGAGTTGAATACACACAACACAAGGGAGTTACTGAGAATTCTTCTGTCTAGCAGAATATGAAGAAATCCCGCTTCCAACGAAGGCCTCAAAGAACTCTGAATATCCACTTGCAGACTTTACAAACAGAGTGTTTCCCAACTGCTCTATGAAAAGAAAGGTTGAACTCTGTGAGTTGAACGCACACATCACAAAGGAGTTTCTGAGAATCATTCTGTCTAGTTTCTATAGGAAGATATTTCCTATTCTACCATTGACCTCAAAGCGGCTGAAATCTCCACATGCAAATTCCACAAAAAGAGTGTTTCAAGTCTGCTCTGTGTAAAGGATCGTTCAACTCTGTGAGTTGAATACACACAACACAAAGAAGTTACTGAGAATTCTTCTGTCTAGCACAGTATGAAGAAATCCCGTTTCCAACGAAGGCCTCAAAGAGGTCTGAATATCCACTTGCAGAGTTTACAAACAGAGTGTTTCCTAACTGCTCTATGAAAAGAAAGGTTAAACTCTGTTAGTTGAACGCACACATCACAAAGAAGTTTTTGAGAATCATTCTGTCTAGTTGTTATACGAAGATATTTCCTTTTCTACCATGGACCTCAAAGCGGCTGAAACCTCCACTTACAAATTCCACCAAATGAGTGTTTCAAATCTGCTCTGTGTAAAGGATCGTTCAACTGTGTGAGTTGAATACAAACAACACAAGGAAGATTCTGAGAATTCTTCTGTCTAGCAGAATATGAAGAAATCCCGTTTCCAACGAAGGCCACAAGATGTCTGAATATCCACTTACAGACTTTACAAACAGAGTGTTTCCTAACTGCTCTATGAACAGAAAGGTTAAACTCTGTGAGTTGTACGAACACATCACAACGCAGTTTGTGGGAATCATTCTGTCTAGTTTTGAAACGAAGATATTTCCTTTTCTGCCGTTGACCTTAAAGCGCTTGAAATCTACACTTGCAAATTACACAAATAGAGTGTTTCAAATCTGCTCTGTCTAAGGGAACGTTCAACTCTGTGAGTGGAATGCACACAACACAAGGAAGTTACTGGGAATTCTTCTGTCTAGCCTTACAGGAAAAAAACCCATTTCCAACGAAGGCTTCTAAGTGGTCAAAATATCCACGTGCAGACTTTACAAACAGAGTGTTTCCAAACTGCTGAATGAAAAGAAAAGTTAAACTCTGAGAGTTGAACGCACACATCGCAGAGCAGTTTCTGAGAATGATGCTGTCTAGTTTTTATACGAAGATATTTCCTTTTCTGCCTTTGGCCTCAAAGCGCTTGAAATCTCCACTTGCAAATTCCACAAAAAGAGTGTTTCAAATCTGCTCCTGTGTAAATCAAAGTTCAACTCTGTGAGTTGAACACACACAACACAAGGAAGTTACTGGGAATTCTTCTGTCTAGCCTTATATGAAAAAAACCCGTTTCCTACGAAGGCCTCAAAGAGGTCTGAATATCCACTTGCAGACTTTACAAACAGAGTGTTTCCTAACTGCTCTATGAAAAGAAACGTTAAACTCTGTGAGTTGAACGCACACATCACAAAGGAGTTTCTGAGAATCATTCTGTCTAGTTTTTATAGGAAGATATTTCCTTTTCTACCTTTCACTTCAAAGCGGCTGAAATCTCCACTTGCAAATTCCACAAAAAGAGTGTTACAAGTCTGCTCTGTGTAAAGGATCGTTCAACTCTGTGAGTTGAATACACACAACACAAGGAAGTTACTGAGAATTCTTCTGTCTAGCACAGTATGAAGAAACCCGTTTCTAACGAAGGCCTCAAAGAGGTCTGAATATCCACTTGCAGAGTTTAAAAACACAGTGTTTCCTAACTGCTCTATGAAAAGAAAGGTTAAACTGTGTGAGTTGAACACACACATCACAAAGAAGTTTCTGAGAATCATTCTGCCTAGTTTCTATAGGAAGATATTTCCTATTCTACCATTGACCTCAAAGCGGCTGAAATCTCCACTTGCAAATTCCACAAAAAGAGTGTTTCAAGACTGTTCTGTGTAAAGGATCATTCAACTCTGTGAGTTGAATACACACAACACAAGGAAGTTACTGAGAATTCTTCTGTCTAGCAGAATATGAAGAAATCCCGTTTCCAACGAAGGCCACAAGATGTCAGAATATCCTCTTACAGAATTTACAAACAGACTGTTTCCTAACTGCTCTATGAAAAGAAAGGTTAAACTCTGTGAGTTGAACGAACACCTCACAACGCAGTTTGTGGGAATGATTCTGTCTAGTTTTGAAACGAAGATATTTCCTTTTCTGCCATTGACCTTAAAGCGCTTGAAATCTCCACTTGCCAATTGCACAAAAGGAGTGTTTCAAATCTGCTCTGTCTAAGGGAACGTTCAACTCTGTGAGTTGAATGTACACAACACAAGGAAGTTACTGGGAATTCTTCTGTCTAGCCTTACAGGAAAAAAACCCGTTTCCAACGAAGGCCTCTAAGTGGTCAAATTATCCACGTGCAGACTTTACAAACAGAGTGCTTCCAAACTGCTGAATGAAAAGAAAAGTTAAACTCTGAGAGTTGAACACACACATCGCAGAGCAGTTTCTGAGAATGATTCTGTCTAGTTTTTACACGAAGATATTTCCTTTTCTGCCTTTGGCCTCAAAGCGCTTGAAATCTCCACTTGCAAATTCCACAAAAAGAGTGTTTCAAATCTGCTCTGTGTAAATGAAAGTTCAACTCTGTGAGTTGAACACACACAACACAAGGAAGTTACTGGGAATTCTTCTCTCTAGCCTTATATGAAAAAAACCCGTTTCCAACGAAGGCCTCAAAGAGGTCTGAATATCCACTTGCAGACTTTAGAAACAGAGTGTTTCCTAACTGCTCTATGAAAAGAAAGGTTAAACTCTGTGAGTTGAACGCACACATGACAAAGGAGTTTCTGAGAATCATTCTGTCTAGTTTCTATAGGAAGATATTTCCTATTCTACCATTGACCTCAAAGCGGCTGAAATCTCCACTTGCAAATTCCAGAAAAAGAGTGTTTCAAGTCTGCTCTGTGTAAAGGATCGTTCAACTCTGTGAGTTGAATACACACAACACAATGAAGTTACTGAGAATTCTTCTGTCTAGCATAATATGTAGAAATCCCGTTTCCAACGAAGGCCTCAAAGGGGTCTGAATATCCACTTGCAGACTTTATAAACAGACTGTTTACTAACTGCTCTATGAAAAGAAAGGTTAAACTCTGTGAGTTGAACACACACATCACAAAGGAGTTTCTGAGAATCATTCTGTCTAGTTTCTATAGGAAGATATTTCCTATTCTACCATTGAACTCAAAGCGGCTGAAATCTCCACTTGCAAATTCCACAAAAAGAGTGTTTCAAGTCTGCTCTGTGTAAAGGATCGTTCAACTCTGTGAGTTGAATACACACATCACAAGGAAGTTACTGAGAATACTTCTGTCTAGCAGAATATGAAGAAATCCCGTTTCCAACGAAGGCCACAAGATGTCAGAATATCCACTCACAGAATTTACAAACAGAGTGTTTCCTAACTGCTCTATGAAAAGAAAGGTTAAACTCTGTGAGATGAACGAACACATCACAACGCAGTTTGTGGGAATGATTCTGTCTAGTTGTTATAGGAAGATATTTCCTTTTCTACCTTTGACTTCAAAGCGGCTGAAATCTCCACTTGCAAATTCCACAAAAAGAGTGTTACAAGTCTGCTCTGTGTAAAGGATCGTGCAACTCTGTGAGTTGAATACACACAACTCAAGGAAGTTACTGAGAATTCTTCTGTCTAGCCTTACATGAAAAAAACCCGTTTCCAACGAAGGCCTCTAAGTAGTCAAATTATCCACGTGCAGACTTTACAAACAGAGTGTTTCCAAACTGCTGAATGAAAAGAAAAGTTAAACTCTGAGAGTTGAACGCACACATCGCAGAGCAGTTTCTGAGAATGATTCTGTCTAGTTTTTATTCGAAGATATTTCCTTTTCTGCCTTTGGCCCCAAAGCGCTTGAAATCTCCACTTGCAAATTCCACAAAAACAGTGTTACAAAACTGCTCTCTCTAAATGAAAGTTCAACTCTGTCAGTTGAATACACACAACACAAGGAAGTTACTGAGAATTCTTTTGTCTAGCATAATATGAAGAAATCCCGTTTCCAACGAAGGCCGCTAAGAGGTCTGAATATCCACTTGCAGACTTTAAAAACAGAGTGTTTCCTAATTGCTCTATGAAAAGAAAGGTTAAACTTTGTGAGTTGAACGCACACATCACAAAGGAGTTTCTGAGAATCATTCTGTCTAGTTTCTATAGGAAGATATTTCCTATTCTACCATTGACCTCAAAGCGGCTGAAATCGCCAATTGCAAACTCCACAAAAAGAGTGTTTCAAGTCTGCTCTGTGTAAAGGATCGTTCAACTCTGTGAGTTGAATACACACAACACAAGGAAGTTACTGAGAATTCTTCTGTCTAGCATAGTATGAAGAAATCCCGTTTCCAACGAAGGCCTCAAACAGGTCTGAATATCCACTTGCAGAGTTTACATACAGAGTGTTTCCTAACTGCTCTATGAAAAGAAAGGTTAAACTCTGTGAGTTGAACGCACACATCACAAAGAAGTTTCTGAGAATCATTCTGTCTAGTCTTTATACGAAGATAATTCCTTTTCTACCATTGACCTCAAAGCGGCTGAAATCTCCACTTGCAAATTCCACAAAAAGAGTGTTTCAAGTCTGCTCTGTGTAAGGGATCGTTCAACTCTGTGAGTTGAATACACACAACACAAGGAAGTTACTGAGAATTCTTCTGTCTAGCAGAATATGAAGAAATCCCGTTTCCAACGAAGGCCACAAGAGGTCAGAATATCCACTTACAGACTTTACAAACAGAGTGTTTCCTAACTGCTCTATGAACAGAAAGGTTAAACTCTGTGAGTTCAACGAACACATCACAACGCAGTTTGTGGGAATGATTCTGTCTAGTTTTGAAACGAAGATATTTTCTTTTCTGCCTTTGACCTTAAAGCGCTTGAAATCTACACTTGCAAATTGCACAAATAGAGTGTTTCAAATCTGCTCTGTCTAAGGGAACGTTCATCTCTGTGAGTTGAATGCACACAACACAAGGAAGTTACTGGGAATTCTTCTGTCTAGCCTTATAGGAAAAAAACCCGTTTCCAACGAAGGCCTCTAAGTGGTCAAAATATCCACGTGCAGACTTTACAAACAGAGTGTTTCCAAACTGCTGAATGAAAAGAAAAGTTAAACTCTGAGAGTTCAACGCACACATCGCAGAGCAGTTTCTGAGAATGATTCTGTCTAGTTTTGAAACGAAGATATTTCCTTTTCTACCTTTGGCCTCAAACCGCTTGAAATCTCCACTTGCAAATTCAACAAAAAGAGTGTTTCAAATCTGCTCTGTGTAAATGAAAGTTCAACTCTGTGAGTTGAACACACACAACACAAGGAAGTTACTGGGAATTCTTCTGTCTAGCAGAATATGAAGAAATCCCGTTTCCAACGAAAGCCTCAAAGATGTCTGAATATCCACTTGCAGACTTTACAAACAGAGTGTTTCCTAACTGCTCTATGAAAAGAAAGGTTAAACTCTGTGAGTTGAACGCACACATCACAAAGGAGTTTCTGAGAATAATTCTGTCTAGTTTCTATACGAAGATATTCCCTTTTCTACCATTGACCTCAAAGCGGCTGAAATCTCCACTTGCAAATTCCACAAAAAGAGTGTTTCAAGTCTGCTCTGTGTAAAGGATCGTTCAACTCTGTGAGTTGAATACACACAACACAAGGAAGATACTCAGAATTCTTCTGTCTAGCATAATAGGAAGAAATCCCGTTTCCAACGAAGGCCTCAAGGAGGTCTGAATATCCACTTGCAGACTTTACCAACAGAGTGTTTCCTAACTGCTCTATGAAAAGAAAGGTTAAACTCTGTGCGTTGAAAGCACACATCACAAAGGAGTTTCTGAGAATCATTCTGTCTAGTTTTTATACGAAGATATCTCCTTTTCTACCATTGACCTCAAAGCGGCTGAAATCTCCACCCTGCCAATTCCACAAAAAGAGTGTTTCAAGTCTACTCTGTGTAAAGGATCGTTGAACTCTGTGAGTTGAAAACACACAACACAACGAAGTTTCTGAGAATTCTTCTGTCTAGCAGAATATGAAGAAATCCCGTTTCCAACGAAGGCCACAAGATGTCAGAATATCCACTTACAGAATTTACAAACAGACTGTTTCCTAACTGCTCTATGAAAAGAAAGGTTAAACTCTGTGAGTTAAACGAACACATCACAACGCAGTTTGTGGGAATGATTCTGTCTAGTTTTGAAACGAAGATATTTCCTTTTCTGCCGTTGACCTTAAAGGGCTTGAAATCTACAATTGCAAATTGCACAAATAGAGTGTTTCAAATCTGCTCTGTCTAAGGGAACGTTCAAATTGGTGAGTTGAATGCACACAACACAAGGAAGTTACTGGGAATTCTTCTGTCTAGCCTTACATGAAAAAAACCCGTTTCCAACGAAGGCCTCTAAGTGGTCAAAATATCCACGTGCAGACTTTACAAAAAGAGTGTTTCCAAACCGCTGAATGAAAAGAAAAGTTAAAGTCTGAGAGTTGAACGCACACATCACGCAGCAGTTTCTGAGAATGATTCTGTCTAGTTTTGAAACGAAGATATTTCCTTTTCTGCCTTTGGCCTCAAAGCGCTTGAAATCTCCACTTGCAAATTCCACAAAAAGAGTGTTTCAAATCTGCTCTGTGTAAATGAAAGTTCAACTCTGTGTGTTGAACACACACAACACAAGGGAAGTTACTGGGAATTCTTCTGTCTAGCCTTATATGAAAAAAACCCGTTTCCAACGAAGGCCTCAAAGAGGTCTGAATATCCACTTGCAGACTTTACAAACAGAGTGTTTCCTAACTGCTCTATGAAAAGAAACGTTAAACTCTGTGAGCTGAACGCACACATCACAAAGGAGTTTCTGAGAATCATTCTGTCTAGTCTTTATACGAAGATATTTCCTTTTCTACCATTGACCTCAAAGCGGCTGAAATCTCCACCTGCAAATTCCACAAAAAGAGTGTTTCAAGTCTGCTCTGTGTAAAGGATCGTTCAACTCTGTGAGTTGAATACACACAACACAAGGAAGTTACTGAGAATTCTTCTGTCTAGCACAGTATGGAGAAATCCCGTTTCCAACGAAGGCCTCAAAGAGGTCTGAATATCCACTTGCAGAGTTTACAAACAGAGTGTTTCCTAACTGCTCTATGAAAAGAAAGGTTAAACTCTGTGAGTTGAACGCACACATCACAAAGGAGTTTCTGAGAATCATTCTGTCTAGTTTTTATACGAAGATATTTCCTTTTCTAACATTGACCTCAACGCGGCTGAAATCTCCACTTGCAAATTCCACAAAAAGAGTGTTTCAAGTCTGCTCTGTGTAAAGGATCGTTCAACTCTGTGAGTTGAATACACACAACACAAGGAAAGTTACTGAGAATTCTTCTGTCTAGCAGAATATGAAGAAATCCCGTTTCCAACGAAGGCCACAAGATGTCAGAATATCCACTTACAGACTTTACAAACAGAGTGTTTCCTAAATGCTCTATGAACAGAAAGGTTAAACTCTGTGAGTTGAACGAACACATCACAACGCAGTTTGTGGGAATGATTCTGTCTAGTTTTGAAACGAAGATATTTCCTTTTCTGCCATTGACCTTAAAGCGCTTGAAATCTACACTTGCAAATTGCACAAATAGAGTGTTTCAAATATGCTCTGTCTAAGGGAACGTTCAACACTGTGAGTTGAATTCACACAACACAAGGAAGTTACTGGGAATTCTTCTGCCTAGCCTTACATGAAAAAAACCCGTTTCCAACGAAGGCCTCTAAGTGCTCAAAATATCCACGTGCAGACTTTACAAACAGAGTGTATCCAAACTGCTGAATGAAAAGAAAAGTTAAACTCTGTGAGTTCAACGCACACATCACAAAGGAGTTTCTGAGAATCATTCTGTCTAGTTTTTATACGAAGATATTTCCTTTTCTACCATTGACCTCAAAGCGGCTGAAATCTCCACTTGCAAATTCCACAAAAAGTGTGTTAGAAGTCTGCTCTGTGTAAAGGATCGTTCAACTCTGTGAGTTGAATACACACAACACAAGGAAGTTTCTGAGAATTCTTCTGTCTAGCATAATATGAAGAAATCCCGTTTCCAACGAAGGCCTCAAAGAGGTCTGAATATCCACTTGCAGACTTTACAAACAGAGTGTTTCCTAACTGCTCTATGAAAGGAAAAGTTAAACTCTGTGAGTTGAACGCACACATCACAAAGGATTTTCTGAGAATCATTCTGTCTAGTTTTTATACGAAGATATTTCCTTTTCTACCATTGACCTCAACGCGGCTGAAATCTCCACTTGCAAATTCCACAAAAAGTGTGTTTCAAGTCCGCTCTGTGTAAAGGATCGTTCAACTCTGTGAGTTGAATACACACAACACAAGGAAGTTAATGAGAATTCTTCTGTCTAGCATAGTATGAAGAAATCCCGTTTCCAACGAAGGCCTCAAAGAGGTCTGACTATCCACTTGCAGAGTTTACAAACAGAGTGTTTCCTAACTGCTCTATGAAAAGAAAGGTTAAACTCTGTGAGTTGAACGCACACATCACAAAGAAGTTTCTGAGAATCATTCTGTCTAGTTTTTATACGAAGATATTTCCTTTTCTGCCGTTGGCCTCAAAGCGCTTGAAATCTCCACTTGCAAATTCCACAAAAAGAGTGTTTCAAATCTGCTCTCTGTAAATGAAAGTTCAACTCTGTGAGTTGAACACACACAACACAAGGAAGTTACTGGGAATTCTTCTGTCTAGCCTTATATGAAAAAAACCCGTTTCCAACGAAGGCCTCAAAGAGGTCTGAATATCCACTTGCAGACTTTACAAACAGAGTGTTTCCTAACTGCTCTATGAAAAGGAAGGTTAAACTCTGTGAGTTCAACGCACACATCACAAAGGAGTTTCTGAGAATCATTCTGTCTAGTTTTTATAGGAAGATATTTCCTTTTCTACATTTGACTTCAAAGCGGCTGAAATCTCCACTTGCAAATTCCACAAAAAGAGTGTTTCAAATCTGCTCTGTGTAAATGAAAGTTCAACTCTGTGAGTTGAACACACACAACACAAGGAAGTTACTGAGAATTCTTCTGTCTAGCAGAATATGAATAAATCCCGTTTCCAACGAAAGCCTCAAGGATGTCTGAATATCCACTTGCAGACTTTACAAACAGAGTGTTTCCTAACTGCTCTATGAAAAGAAAGGTTAAACTCTGTGAGTTGAACGCACACATCACAAAGGAGTTTCTGAGAATCATTCTGTCTAGTTTCTATAGGAAGATATTTCCTATTCTACGATTGACCTCAAAGCGGCTGAAATCTCCACTTGCAAATTCCACAAAAAGAACGTTTCAAGTCTGCTCTGTGTAAAGGATCGTTCAACTCTGTGAGTTGAATACACACAACACAAGGAAGTTACTGAGAATTCTTCTGTCTAGCAGAATATGAAGAAATCCCTTTTCCAACGAAGGCCACAAGGATGTCAGAATATCCACTTACAGACTTTACAAACAGAGTGTTTCCTAACTGCTCTATGAACAGAAAGGTAAAACTCTGTGAGTTGAACGAACACATCACAACGCAGTTTGTGGGAATGATTCTGTCTAGTTTTGAAACGAAGATATTTCCTTTTCTGCCATTGACCTTAAAGCGCTTGAAATCTACACTTGCACATTGCACAAATAGAGTGTTTCAAATCTGCTGTGTCTAAGGGAACGTTCAACTCTGTGAGTTGAATGCACACAACACAAGGAAGTTACTGGGAATTCTTCTGTCTAGACTTACATGAAAAAAACCCGTTTCCAACGAAGGCCTCAAAGAGGTCAAAATATCCACTTGCAGACTTTACAAACAGAGTGCTTCCAAACTGCTGAATGAAAAGAAAAGTTAAACCCTGAGAGTTGAACGCACACATCGCAGAGCAGTTTCTGAGAATGATTCTGTCTAGTTTTTATACGAAGATATTTCCTTTTCTGCCTTTGGCCCCAAAGCGCTTGAAATCTCCCCTTGCAAATTCCACAAAAAGAGTGTTTCAAGTCTGCTCTGTGTAAAGGATCGTTCAACTCTGTCACTTGAATACACACAACACAAGGAAGTTACTGAGAATTCTTCTGTCAAGCCTTATATGAAAAAAACCCGTTTCCAACGAAGGCCTCAAAGAGGTCTGAATATCCACTTGCAGACTTTACAAACAGAGTGTTTCCTAACTGCTCTATGAAAAGAAAGGTTAAACTCTGTGAGTTGAACGCACACATCACAAAGGAGTTTCTGAGAATCATTCTGTCTAGTTTTTATAGGAAGATATTTCCTTTTCTACCTTTGACTTCAAAGCGGCTGAAATCTCCACTTTCAAATTCCACAAAAAGAGTGTTACAAGTCTGCTCTGTGTAAAGGATCGTTCAACTGTGTGAGTTGAATACACACAACACAAGGAAGTTACTGAGAATTCTTCTGTCTAGCCTTACATGAAAAAAACCCGTTTCCAACGAAGGCCTCTAAGTGGTCAAATTATCCACGTGCAGACTTTACAAACAGAGTGTTTCCAAACTGCTGAATGAAAAGAAAAGTTAAACTCTGAGAGTTGAACGCACACATCGCAGAGCAGTTTCTCAGAATGATTCTGTCTAGTTTTTATACGAAGATATTTCCTTTTCTGCCTTTGGCCTCAAACCGCTTGAAATCTCCATTTGCAAATTCCACAAAAAGAGTGTTTCAAATCTGCTCTGTGTAAATGAAAGTTCAACTCTGTGAGTTGAACACACACAACACATGGAAGTTAGTGGGAACTCTTCTTTCTAGCAGAATATGAAGAAATCCCGTTTCCAACGAAAGCCTCAAGGATGTCTGAATATCCACTTGCAGACTTTACAAACAGAGTGTTTCCCAACTGCTCTATGAAAAGAAAGTTTAAACTCTGTGAGTTGAACGCACACATCACAAAGGAGTTTCTGAGAATCATTCTGTCTAGTTTTTCTACGAAGATATTTCCTTTTCTACTATTGACCTCAAAGCGGCTGAAATCTCCACTTGCAAATTCGACAAAAAGAGTGTTTCAAGCCTGCTCTCTGTAAAGGATCCTTCAACTCTGTGAGTTGAATACACACAACACAAGGAAGTTACTGAGAATTCTTCTGTCTAGCAGAAAATGAAGAAATCCCGTTTCCAACGAAGGCCTCAAGGAGGTCTGAATATCCACTTGCAGACTTTACAAACAGAGTGTTTCCTAACTGCTCTATGAACAGAAAGGTTAAACTCTGTGAGTTGAACGAACACATCACAACGCAGTTTGTGGGAATGATTCTGTCTAGTTTTGAAACGAAGATATTTCCTTTTCTGCCATTGACCTTAAAGCGCTTGAAATCTACACTTGCAAATTGCACAAATAGAGTGTTTCAAATCTGCTCTGTCTAAGGGAAAGTTCAACTCTGTGAGTTGAATGCACGCAACACAAGGAAGTTACTGGGAATTCTTCTGTCTAGCCTTACATGAAAAAAACCCGTTTCCAACGAAGGCCTCTAAGTGGTCAAATTATCCACGTGCAGACTTTACAAACAGAGTGTTTCCAAACTGCTGAATGAAAAGAAAAGTTAAACTCTGAGAGTTGAACGCACACATCACAGAGCAGTTTGCTGAGAATGATTCTGTCTAGTTTTTATACGAAGGTATTTCCTTTTCTGCCTTTGGCCCCAAAGCGCTTGAAATCTCCACTTGCAAATTCCACAAAAACAGTGTTTCAAATCTGCTCTCTCTAAATGAAAGTTCAACTCTGTCAGTTGAATACACACAACACAAGGAAGTTACTGAGAATTCTTCTGTCTAGCATAATATGAAGAAATCCCGTTTCCAAGGAAGGCCTCAAAGAGGTCTGAATATCCACTTGCAGACTTTACAAACAGAGTGTTTCCTAACTGCTCTATGAAAAGAAAGGTTAAACTCTGTGAGTTGAACGCACACATCTCAAAGGAGTTTCTTAGAATCATTCTGTCTAGTTTCCATAGGAAGATATTTCCTATTCTACCATTGACCTCAAAGCGGCTGAAATCTCCACTTGCAAATTCCACAAATGGAGTGTTTCAAGTCTGCTCTGAGTAAAGGATCGTTCGACTCTGTGAGTTGAATAAACACAACACAAGGGAAGTTTCTGAGAATTCTTCTGTCTAGCATAATATGAAGAAATGCCGTTTCCAACGAAGGCCTCAAAGGGGTCTGAATATCCACTTGCAGACTTTATAAACAGAGTGTTTACTAACTGCTCTATGAAAAGAAAGGTTAAACTCTGTGAGTTGAACACACACATCACAAATGAGTTTCTGAGAATCATTCTGTCTAGTTTTTATAGGAAGATATTTCCTTTTCTACCTTTGACTTCAAAGCGGCTGAAATCTCCACTTGCAAATTCCACAAAAAGAGTGTTACAAGTCTGCTCTGTGTAAAGGATCGTTCAGCTCTGTGAGTTGAATACACACAACACAAGGAAGTTACTGAGAATTCTTCTTTCTAGCAGAATATGAAGAAATCCTGTTTCCAAAGAAGGCCTCAAGGAGGTCTGAATATCCACTTGCAGACTTTACAAACAGAGTGTTTCCTAACTGCTCTATGAAAAGAAAGGTTAAACTCTGTGAGTTGAACGCACACATCACAAAGGAGTTTCTGAGAATCATTCTGTCTAGTTTCTATAGGAAGATATTTCCTATTCTACCATTGACCTCAAAGCGGCTGAAATCTCCACTTGCAAATTCCACAAAAAGAGTGTTTCAAGTCTGCTCTGTGTAAACGATCGTTCAACTCTGTGAGTTGAATACACACAACACAAGGAAGTTTCTGAGAATTCTTCTGTCTAGCAGAATTTGAAGAAATCCCGCTTCCAACGAAGGCCTCAAAGAAGTCTGAATATCCACTTGCAGACTTTACAAACAGAGTGTTTCCCAACTGCTCTATGAAAAGAAAGGTTGAACTCTGTGAGTTGAACGCACACATCACAAAGGAGTTTCTGAGAATCATTCTGTCTAGTTTCTATAGGAAGATATTTCCTATTCTACCATTGACCTCAAAGCGGCTGAAATCTCCACTTGCAAATTCCACAAAAAGATTGTTTCAAGTCTGCTCTGTGTAAAGGATCGTTCAACTCTGTGAGTTGAATACACACAACACAAGGAAGTTACTGAGAATTATTCTGTCTAGCATAATATGAAGAAATCCCGTTTCCAACGAAGGCCTCAAGGAGGTCTGAATATCCACTTGCAGACTTTACAAACAGAGTGTTTCCTAACTGCTCTATGAAAAGAAAAGATAAACTCTGTGAGTTCAACGCACACATCACAAAGGAGTTTCTCAGAATCATTCTGTCTAGTTTTTATACGAAGATATTTCCTTTTCTACCATTGACCTCAACGCGGCTGAAATCTCCACTTGCAAATTCCACAAAAAGAGTGTTTCAAGTCTGCTCTGTGTAAACGATCGTTCAACTCCGTGAGTTGAATACACACAACACAAGGGAAGTTACTGAGAATTCTTCTATCTAGCAGAATATGAAGAAATCCCGTTTCCAACGAAGACCTCAAGGAGGTCTGAATATCCACTTGCAGACTTTACAAACAGAGTGTTTCCTAACTGCTCTATGAAAAGAAAGGTGAAACTCTGTGAGTTGAATGCACACATCACAAAGAAGTTTATGAGAATCATTCTGTCTAGTTGTTATACGAAGGTATTTCCTTTTCTACCATTGACCTCAAAGCGGCTGAAATCTCCACTTGCAAATTCCACCAAATGAGTGTTTCAAATCTGCTCTGTGTAAACCATCGTTCAACTCTGTGAGTTGAATACACACAACACAAGGAAGATTCTGAGAATTCTTCTGTCTAGCAGAATATGAAGAAATCCCGTTTCCAACGAAGGCCACAAGATGTCAGAATATCCACTTACAGAATTTTCAAACAGACTGTTTCCTAACTGCTCTATGAAAAGAAAGGTTAAACTCTGTGAGTTGAACGAACACATCACAATGCAGTTTGTGGGAATGATTCTGTCTAGTTTTTGTACGAAGATATTTCCTTTTCTACCATTGACCTCAACGCGGCTGAAATCTCCACTTGCAAATTCCACAAAAAGAGTGTTTCAAGTCCGCTCTGTGTAAAGGGTCGTTCAACTCTGTGAGTTGAATACACACAACACAAGGAAGTTACTGAGAATTCTTCTGTCTAGCAGAATATGAAGAAATCCCGTTTCCAACGAAGGCCTCAAGGAGGTCTGAATATCCACTTGCAGACTTTACAAACAGAGTGTTTCCTAACTGCTCTATGAAAAGAAAGGTTAAACTCTGTGAGTTGAACGCACACATCACAAAAGAGTTTCTGAGAATCATTCTGTCTAGTTTTTATACGAAGATATTTCCTTTTCTACCATTTATCTCAACACGGCTGAAATCTCCACTTGCAAATTCCACAAAACGAGTGTTTCAAGTCCGCTCTGTGTAAAGGATCGTTCAACTCTGTGAGTTGAATACACACAACACAAGGAAGTTACTGAGAATTCTTCTGTCTAGCACAGTATGAAGAAATCCCGTTTCCAACGAAGGCCTCAAAGAGGTCTGAATATCCACTTGCAGAGTTTACAAACAGAGTGTTTCCTAACTGCTCTATGAAAAGAAAGGATAAACTCTGTGAGTTGAACGCACACATCACAATGAAGTTTCTGAGAATCATTCTGTCTAGTCTTTATACGAAGATATTTACTTTTCTACCATTGACCTCAAAGCGGCTGAAATCTCCACTTGCAAATTCCACAAAAAGAGTGTTTCAAGTCTGCTCTGTGTAAAGGATCATTCAACTCTGTGAGTTGAATAAACACAACACAAGGAAGCTACTGAGAATTCTTCTGTCTAGCAGAATATGAAGAAATACCGTTTCCAACGAAGGCCTCAAGGAGGTCTGAATATCCACTTGCAGACTTTACAAACAGAGTGTTTCCTAACTGCTCTATGAAAAGAAAGGTTAAACTCTGTGAGTTGAACGCACACATCACAAAGGAGTTCATGAGAATCATTCTGTCTAGTTTTTATAGGAAGATATTTCCTTTTCTACCTTTGACTTCAAAGCGGCTGAAATCTCCACTTGCAAATTCCACAAAAAGAGTGTTACAAGTCTGCTCTGTGTAAAGGATCGTTCAACTCTGTGAGTTGCATACACACAACACAAGGAAGTTACTGAGAATTCTTCTGTCTAGCAGAATATGAAGAAATCCCGCTTCCACCGAAGGCCTCAAAGAAGTCTGAATATCCACTTGCAGACTTTACAAACAGAGTGTTTCCCAACTGCTCTATGAAAAGAAAGGTTGAACTCTGTGAGTTGAACGCACACATCACAAAGGAGTTTCTGAGAATCATTCTGTCTAGTTTTTATACGAAGATATTTCCTTTTCTACCATTGACCTCAAAGCGGCTGAAATCTCCTCTTGCAAATTCCACAAAAAGAGTGTGTCAAGTCTACTCTGTGTAAAGCATCGTTGAACTCTGTGAGTTGAAAACACACAACACAAGGAAGTTTCTGAGAATTCTTCTGTCTAGCAAAATATGAAGAAATCCCGTTTCCAACGAAGACCTCAAGGAGGTCTGAATATCCACTTGCAGACTTTACAAACAGAGTGTTTCCTAACTGCTCTATGAAAAGAAAGGTTAAACTGTGTGAGTTGAACGCACACATCACAAAGGAGTTTCTGAGAATCATTCTGTCTAGTTTCTATAGGAAGATATTTCCTATTCTACCATGGACCTCAAAGCGGCTGAAATCTCCACTTGCAAATTCCACAAGAAGAGTGTTTCAAGTATGCTCTGTGTAAAGGATCGTTCAACTCTGTGAGTTGAATACACACAACACAAGGAAGTTACTGAGAATTCTTCTGTCTAGCCTTATATGAAAAAAACCCGTTTCCAACGAAGGCCTCGAAGAGGTCTGAATATCCACTTGCAGACTTTACAAACAGAGTGTTTCCTAACTGCTCTATGAAAAGAAAGGTTAAACTCTGTGAGTTGAACACACACATCACAAAGGAGTTTCTGAGAATCATTCTGTCTAGTTTTTATACGAAGATATTTCCTTTTCTACTATTGACCTCAAAGCGCCTGAAATCTCCACTTGCAAATTCCACAAAAAGAGTTTTTCAAGTCTACTCTGTGTAAGGCATCGTTCAACTCTGGGAGTTGAAAACACACAACACAAGGAAGTTTCTGAGAATTCTACTGTCTAGCCTTACATGAAAAAAACCAGTTTCCAACGAGGGCCTCAAAGAGGTCTGAATATCCACTTGCAGACTTTACAAACAGAGTGTTTCCTAACTGCTCTATGAAAAGAAAGGTTAAAGTTCTGTGAGTTGAACGCACAAATCACAATGAAGTTTCTGAGAATCATTCTGTCTAGTTTCTATAGGAAGATATTTCCTATTCTACCGTCGACCTCAAAGCGGCTGAAATCTCCACTTGCAAATTCCACAAAAAGAGTGTTTCAAGTCTGTTCTGTGTAAAGGATCATTCAACTCTGTGAGTTGAATACACACAACACAAGGAAGTTACTGAGAATTCTTCTGTCTAGCAGAATATGAAGAAATCCCGTTTCCAACGAAGGCCTCAAAGAGGTCTGAATATCCACTTGCAGACTTTACAAACAGAGTGTTTCCCAATTGCTCTATGAACAGAAAGGTTAAACTCTGTGAGTTGAACGCACACATCACAAAGGAGTTTCTGAGAATCATTCTGTCTAGTTTTTATACGAAGATATTTCCTTTTCTACCATTGTCCTCAAAGCGGCTGAAATCTCCACTTGCAAATTCCACAAAAAGAGTGTTTCAATTCTGCTCTGTGTAAACCATCGTTCAACTCTGTGAGTTGAATACACACAACACAAGGAGGTTACTGAGAATTCTTCTGTCTAGCATAATATGAAGAAATCCCGTTTCCAACGAAGGCCTCAAAGAGGTCTGAATATCCACTTGCAGACTTTACAAACAGAGTGTTTGCTAACTGCTCTATGAAAAGAAAGGTTAAACTCTGTGAGTTGAACGCACACATCACAAAGGAGTTTCTGAGAATCATTCTGTCTAGTTTTTATACGAAGATATTTCCTTTTCTGCCTTTGGCCTCAAAGCGCTTGAAATCTCCATTTGCAAATTCCACAAAAAGAGTGTTTCAAGTCTGCTCTGTGTAAAGGATCGTTCAACTCTGTGAGTTGAATACACACAACACAAGGAAGTTACTGAGAATTCTTCTGTCTAGCATAGTATGAAGAAATCCCGTTTCCAACGAAGGCCTCAAAGAGGTCTGAATATCCACTTGCAGAGTTTACAAACAGAGTGTTTCCTAACTGCTCTATGAAAAGAAAGGTTAAACTCCGTGAGTTGAACGCACACATCACAATGAAGTTTCTGAGAATCATTCTGTCTAGTCTTTATACGAAGATATTTCCTTTTCTACAATTGACCTCAAAGCGGCTGAAATCTCCACTTGCAAATTCCACAAAAAGAGTGTTTCAAGTCTGCTCTCTGTAAAGGATCGTTCAACTCTGTGAGTTGAATACACACAACACAAGGAAGTTACTGAGAATTCTTCTGTCTAGCATAATATGAAGAAATCCCGTTTCCTACGAAGGCCTCAAAGAGGTCTGAATATCCACTTGCAGACTTTACAAACAGAGTGTTCCCTAACTGCTCTATGAAAAGAAAGGTTAAACTCTGTGAGTTGAACGCACACATCACAAAGGAGTTTCTGAGAATCATTCTGTCTAGTTTCTATAGGAAGATATTTCCTATTCTACCATTGACCTCAAAGCGGCTGAAATCTCCACTTGCAAATTCCACAAAAAGAATGTATCAAGTCTGCTCTGTGTAAAGGATCGTTCAACTCTGTGAGTTGAATACACACAACACAAGGAAGTTACTGAGAATTCTTCTGTCTAGCATAGTATGAAGAAATCCCGTTTCCAACGAAGGCCTCAAAGAGGTCTGTATATCCACTTGCAGAGTTTACAAACAGAGTGTTTCCTAACTGCTCTATGAAAAGAAAGGTTAAACTCTGTGAGTTGAACGCACACATCACAAAGGAGTTTCTGAGAATCATTCTGTCTAGTTTTTATACGAAGATATTTCCTTTTCTACCATTGACCTCAAAGCGGCTGAAATCTCCACTTGCCAATTCCACGAAAAGAGTGTTTCAAGTCTACTCTGTGTAAAGGATCGTTGAACTCTGTGAGTTGAAAACACACAACACCAGGAAGTTTCTGAGAATTCTTCTGTATAGCAGAATATGAAGAAATCCCGTTTCCAACGAAAGCCTCAAGGATGTCTGAATATCCACTTGCAGACTTTACAAACAGAGTGTTTCCCAACTGCTCTAGGAAAAGAAAGGTTGAACTCTGTGAGTTGAACGCACACATCACAAAGGAGTTTCTGAGAATCATTCTGTCAAGTTTCTATAGGAAGATATTTCCTATTCTACCATTGACCTCAAAGCGGATGAAATCTCCACTTGCAAATTCCACAAAAAGAGTGTTTCAAGCCTGCTCTCTGTAAAGGATCGTTCAACTCTGTGAATTGAATACACACAACACAAGGAAGTTACTGAGAATTCTTCTGTCTAGCATAATATGAAGAAATCCCGTTTCCAACGAAGGCCTCAAAGAGGTCTGAATATTCACTTGCAGACTTTACAAACAGAGTGTTTCCTAACTGCTCTATGAAAAGAAAAGTTAAACTCTGTGAATTGAACGCACACATCACAAAGGAGTTTCTGAGAATCATTCTGTCTAGTTTCTATAGGAAGATATTTCCTATTCTACCATTGACCCCATAGCGGCTGAAATCTCCACTTGCAAATTCCCCAAAAAGAGTGTTTCAAGTCTGCTCTGTGTAAAGGATCGTTCAACTCTGTCAGTTGAATACACACAACACAAGGAAGTTACTGAGAATTCTTCTGTCTAGCAGAATATGAAGAAATCCCGCTTCCAACGAAGGCCTCAAAGAAGTCTGAATATCCACTTGCAGACTTTACAAACAGAGTGTTTCCCAACTGCTCTATTAAAAGAAAGGTTCAACTCTGTGAGTCGAACGCACACATCACAAAGGAGTTTCTGAGAATCATTCTGTCTAGTTTCTATACGAAGATATTCCCTTTTCTACCATTGACCTCAAAGCGGCTGAAATCTCCACTTGCAAATTTCACAAAAAGAGTGTTTCAAGTCTGCTCTGTGTAAAGGATCGTTCAACTCTGTGAGTTGAATACACACAACACAAGGAAGTTACTGAGAATTCTTCTGTCTAGCATAATATGAAGAAATCCCGTTTCCAACGAAGGCCTCAAAGAGGTCTGAATATCCACTTGCATACTTTACAAACAGAGTGTTTCCTAACTGCTCTATGAAAAGAAAGGTTAAACTCTGTGAGTTGAACGCACACATCACAAAGGAGTTTATGAGAATCATTCTGTCTACCTTCTATAGGAAGATATTTCCTATTCTACCATTGACCTCAAAGCGGCTGAAATCTCCACTTGCAAATTCCACAAAAGGAGTGTTTCAAGTCTGCTCTGTGTAAAGGATCGTTCAACTCTGTGAGTTGAAAACACACAACACAAGGAAGTTTCTGAGAATTCTTCTGTCTAGCAGAATATGAAGAAATCCCGTTTTCAACGAAGGCCTCAAAGAGGTCTGAATATCCACTTGCAGACTTTACAAACAGAGTGTTTCCTAAATGCTCTATGAAAAGAAAGGTTAAACTCTGTGAGTTGAACGCACACATCACAAAGGAGTTTATGAGAATCATTCTGTCTAGTTTCTATAGGAAGATATTTCCTATTCTACCATTGACTTCAAAGCGGCTGAAATCTCCACTTGCAAATTCCACAAAAGGAGTGTTTCAAGTCTGCTCTGTGTAAAGGATCGTTCAACTCTGTGAGTTGAATACACACAACACAAGGCAGTTACTGAGAATTCTTCTGTCTAGCATAATATGAAGAAATAACGTTTCCAACGAAGGCCTCAAAGAGGTCTGAATATCCACTTGCAGACTTTACAAACAGAGTGTTTCCTAACTGCTCTATGAAAAGAAAAGTTAAACTCTGTGAGTTGAACGCACACATCAAAAAGGATTTTCTGAGAATCATTCTGTCTAGTTTCTATAGGAAGATATTTCCTATTCTACCATTGAACTCAAAGCGGCTGAAATCTCCACTTGCAAATTCCACAAAAAGAGTGTTTCAAGTCTGCTCTGTGTAAAGGATCGTTCAACTCTGTTAGTTGAATACACACAACACAAGGAAGTTACTGAGAATTCTGCTGTCTAGCAGAATATGAAGAAATCCCGTTTCCAACGAAAGCCTCAAAGATGTCTGAATATCCACTTGCAGACTTTACAAACAGAGTGTTTCCTAACTGCTCTATGAAAAGAAAGGTTAAACTCTGTGAGTTGAACGCACACATCACAAAGGAGTTTCTGAGAATCATTCTGTCTAGTTTTTATACGAAGATATTTCCTTTTCTACCATTGACCTCAAAGCGGCTGAAATCTCCACTTGCAAATTCCAGAAAAACAGTGTTTCAAATCTGCTCTGTGTAAAGGATCGTTCAACTCTGTGAGTTGAATACACACAACACAAGGAAGTTACTGAGAATTCATCTGTCTAGCCTTACATGAAAAAAACCCGTTTCCAACGAAGGCCTCAAAGAAGTCCAAGTATCCACTTGCAGACTTTACAAACAGAGTGTTTCCTAACTGCTCTATGAAAAGAAAGGTTAAACTCTGTGAGTTGAACGCCCACATCACAAAGGAGTTTCTGAGAATCATTCTGTCTAGTTTTTCTACGAAGATATTTCCTTTTCTACTACTGACCTCAAAGCGGCTGAAATCTCCACTTGCAAATTCCACAAAAAGAGTGTTTCAAGTCTGCTCTGTGTAAAGGATCAGTTCAACTCTGTGAGTTGAATACACACAACACAAGGAAGTTACTGAGAATTCTTCTGTCTAGCAGAATATGAAGAAATCCCGTTTCCAACGAAGGCCTCAAGGAGGTCTGAATATCCACTTGCAGACTTTACAAACAGAGTGTTTCCTAACAGCTCTATGAACAGAAAGGTTAAACTCTGTGAGTTGAACGCACACATCACAAAGGAGTTTCGGAGAATCATTCTGTCTAGTTTTTATACGAAGATATTTCCTTTTCTACCATTGACCTCAACGCGGCTTAAATCTCCACTTGCAAATTCCACAAAAAGAGTGTTTCAAGTCCGCTCTGTGTAAAGGATCGTTCAACTCTGTGAGTTGAATACACACAACACAAGGAAAGTTACTGAGAATTCTTCTGTCTAGCACAATATGAAGAAATCCCTTTTCCAAAGAAGGCCTCAAAGAGGTCTGAATATCCACTTGCAGAGTATACAAACAGAGTGTTTCCTAACTGCTCTATGAAAAGAAAGTTTAAACTCTGTGAGTTGAAGACACACATCAAAAAGGAGTTTCTGAGAATCAATCTGTCTAGTCTTTATACGAAGATATTTCCTTTTCTACCATTGACCTCAAAGTGGCTGAAATCTCCACTTGCAAATTCCACAAAAAGAGTGTTTCAAGTCTGCTCTCTGTAAAGGATCGTTCAACTCTGTGAGTTGAATACACACAACACAAGGAAAGTTACTGAGAATTCTTCTGTCTAGCAGAATATGAAGAAATCCCGTTTCCAACGAAGGCCACAAGATGTCAGAATATCCACTTACAGACTTTACAAACAGTGTGTTTCCTAACTGCTCTATGAACGGAAAGGTTAAACTCTGTGAGTTGAACGAACCCATCACAACGCAGTTTGTGGGAATGATTCTGTCTAGTTTCTATAGGAAGATATTTCCTATTCTACCATTGAACCCAAAGCGGCTGAAATCTCCACTTGCAAATTCCACAAAAAGAGTGTTTCAAGTCTGCTCTGTGTAAAGGATCGTTCAACTCTGTGAGTTGAATCCACACAACACAAGGAAGTTACTGAGAATTCTTGTGTCTAGCACAATATGAAGAAATCCCGTTTCCAACGAAGGCCTCAAAGAGGTCTGAATATCCACTTACAGACTTTACAAACAGAGTGTTTCCTAACTGCTCTATGAAAAGAAAGGTTAAACTCTGTGAGTTGAACGCACACATCACAAAGGAGTTTCTGAGAATCATTCTGTCTAGTTTCTATAGGAAGATATTTCCTATTCTACCATTGACCTCAAATCGGCTAAAATCTCCACTTGCAAATTCCACAAAAAGAGTGTTTCAAGTCCGCTCTGTGTAAAGGATTGTTCAACTCTGTGAGTTGAATACACACAACACAAGGAAGTTACTGAGAATTCTTCTGTCTAGCAGAATATGAAGAAATCCCGTTTCCAACGAAGGCCACAGGATGTCAGAATATCCACTTACAGACTTTACAAACAGAGTGTTTCCTAACTGCTCTATGAACAGAAAGGTTAAACTCTGTGAGTTGAACGAACACATCACAACGCAGTTTGTGGGAATGATTCTGTCTAGTTTTTATAGGAAGATATTTCTTTTTCTACCATTGACCTCAAAGCGGCTGAAATCTCCACTTGCAAATTCCAGAAAAAGAGTGTTTCAAGTCTGCTCTGTGTAAAGGATCGTTGAACTCTGTGAGTTGAATACAGACAACACAATGAAGTTACTGAGAATTCTTCTGTATGGCAGAATATGAAGAAATCCCGCTTCCAACGAAGGCCTCAAAGAAGTCTGAATATCCACTTGCAGACTTTACAAACAGAGTGTTTCCCAACTGCTCTAGGAAAAGAAAGGTTGAACTCTGTGAGTTGAACGCACACATCACAAAGGAGTTTCTCAGAATCATTCTGTCTAGTTTCTATAGGAAGATATTCCCTATTCTACCATTGACCTCAAAGCGGCTGAAATCTCCACTTGCAAATTCCACAAAAAGAGTGTTTCAAGTCTGCTCTGTGTAAAGGATCGTTCAACTCTGTGAGTTGAATTCACACAACACAGGGGAAGTTTCTGAGAATTCTTCTGTCTAGCAGAATAGGAAGAAATCCCGTTTCCAACGAAGGCCTCAAAGAGGTCTGAATATCCACTTGCAGACTTTACAAACAGAGTGTTTCCTAACGGCTCTATGAAAAGAAAAGTTAAACTCTGTGAGTTGAACGCACACATCACAAAGGAGTTTCTGAGGATCGTTCTGTCTAGTTTTTATACGAAGATATTTCCTTTTCTACCATTGACCTCAAAGCGGCTGAAATCTCCACTTGCAAATTCCACAAAAAGAGTGTTTCAAATCTGCTCTGTGTAAACCATCGTTCAAATCTGTGAGTTGAATACACACAACACAAGGAAGATTCTGAGAATTCTTCTGTCTAGCATAATAAGAAGAAATCCCGTTTCCAACGAAGGCCTCAAAGGGGTCTGAATATCCACTTGCAGACTTTATAAACAGAGTGTTTACTAACTGCTCTATGAAAAGAAAGGTTGAACTCTGTGAGTTGAACACACACATCACAAAGGAGTTTCTGAGAATCATTCTGTCTAGTTTTTATAGGAAGATATTTCCTTTTCTACCTTTGACTTCAAAGCGGCTGAAATCTCCACTTGCAAATTCCACAAAAAGAGTGTGACAAGTCTGCTCTGTGTAAAGGATCGTTCAACTCTGTGAGTTGAACACACACAACACAAGGAAAGTTACTGAGAATTCTTCTGTCTAGCAGAACATGAAGAAATCCCGTTTCCAACGAAGGCCCCAAAGATGTCTGAATATCCACTTGCAGACTTTAGAAACAGAGTGTTTCCTAACTGCTCTATGAAAAGAAAGGTTAAACTCTGTGAGTTGAATGCACACATCACAAAGGAGTTTCTGAGAATCATTCTGTCTAGTTTCTATAGGAAGATATTTCCTATTCTACCATTGACCTCAAAGCGGCTGAAATCTCCACTTGCAAATTCCACAAAAAGAGTGTTTCAAGTCTGCTCTGTGTAAAGGATCGTTCAACTCTGTGAGTTGAATACACGCAACAGAAGGAAGTTACTGAGAATTCTTCTGTCTAGCATAATATGAAGAAATCCCGTTTCCGACGAAGGCCTCAAAGGGGTCTGAATATCTACTTGCAGACTTTATAAACAGAGTGTTTACTAACTGCTCTATGAAAAGAAAGGTTAAACTCTGTGAGTTGAACACACACATCACAAAGGAGTTTCTGAGAATCATTCTGTCTAATCTTTATATGAAGATAGTTTCCTTTTCTACCATTGACCTCAAAGCGGCTGAAATCTCCACTTGCAAATTCCACAAAAAGAGTGTTTCAAGTCTGCTCTGTGTAAAGGATCGTTCAACTCTGTGAGTTGAATAAACACAACACAAGGAAGTTACTGAGCATTCTTCTGTCTAGCAGAATATGAAGAAATCCCGTTTCCAACGAAGGCCTCAAGGAGGTCTGAATATCCACTTGCAGACTTTACAAACAGAGTGTTTCCTAACTGCTCTATGAACGGAAAAGTTAAACTCTGTGAGTTGAACGAACACATCACAACGCAGTTTGTGGGAATGATTCTGTCTAGTTTTGAAACGAAGATATTTCCTTTTCTGCCGTTGATCTTAAAGAGCTTGAAAACTACACTTGCAAATTGCACAAATAGAGTGTTTCAAATCTGCTCTGTCTAAGGGAACGTTCAACTCTGTGAGTTGAATGCACACAACACAAGGAAGTTACTGGGAATTCTTCTGTCTAGCCTCACATGCAAAAAACCCGTTTCCAACGAAGGCCTCTAAGTGGTCAAAATATCCACGTGCAGACTTTACAAACAGAGTGTTTACAAACCGCTGAATGAAAAGAAAAGTTAAACTCTGAGAGTTGAACGCACACATCACGCAGCAGTTTCTGAGAATGATTCTGTCTAGTCTTTATACGAAGATATTTACTTTTCTACCATTGACCTCAAAGCGGCTGAAATCTCCACTTGCAAATTCCCCAAAAAGAGTGTTTCAAGTCTGCTCTGTGTAAAGGATCATTCAACTCTGTGAGTTGAATAAACACAACACAAGGAAGTTACTGAGAATTCTTCTGTCTACCAGAATATGAAGAAATCCCGTTTCCAACGAAGGCCTCAAGGAGGTCTGAATATCCACTTGCAGACTTTACAAACAGAGTGTTTCCTAACTGCTCTATGAAAAGAAAGGTTAAACTCTGTGAGTTGAACGCACACATCACAAAGGAGTTTCTGAGAATCGTTCTGTCTAGTTTTGAAACGAAGATATTTCCTTTTCTACCATTGACCTCAACGCGGCTGAAATCTCCATTTGCAAATACCACAAAAAGAGTGTTTCAAATCTGCTCTGTGTAAATGAAAGTTCAACTCTGTGAGTTGAACACACACAACACAAGGAAGTTACTGGGAATTCTTCTGTCTAGCAGAATATGAAGAAATCCCGTTTCCAACGAAGGCCACAAGATGTCAGAATATCCACTTACAGACTTAACAAACAGAGTGTTTCCTAACTGCTCTATGAACAGAAAGGTTAAACTCTGTGAGTTGAACGAACACATCACAACGCAGTTTGTGGGAATGATTCTGTCTAGTTTTGAAACGAAGATATTTCCTTTTCTGCTATTGACCTTAAAGCGCTTGAAATCTCCACTTCCCAATTGCACAAAAAGAGTGTTTCAAATCTGCTCTGTCTAAGGGAACGTTCAACTCTGTGAGTTGAATGTACACAACACAAGGAAGTTACTGGGAATTCTTCTGTATAGCCTTACATGAAAAAAACCCGTTTCCAACGAAGGCCTCTAAGTGGTCTAATTATCCACGTGCAGACTTTACAAACAGAGTGTTTCCAAACTGCTGAATGAAAAGAAAAGTTAAACTCTGAGAGTTGAACGCACACATCACAGAGCAGATTCTGAGAATGATTATGTCTAGTTTTTATACGAAGATATTTCCTTTTCTGCCTTTGGCCCCACAGCGCTTGAAATCTCCACTTGCAAATTCCACAAAAACAGTGTTTCAAATCTGCTCTCTCTAAATGAAAGTTCAACTCTGTCAGTTGAATACACACAACACAAGGAAGTTACTGAGAATTCTTCTGCCTAGCATAATATGAAGAAATCCCGTTTCCAACGAAGGCCTCAAAGAGGTCTGAATATCCACCTGCAGACTTTACAAACAGAGTGTTTCCTAACTGCTCTATGAAAAGAAAAGTTAAACTCTGTGAGTTGAACGCACACATCACAAAGGAGTTTCTGAGAATCATTCTGTCTAGTTTTTATAGGAAGATATTTCCTTTTCTACCTTTGACTTCAAAGCGGCTGAAATCTCCATTTGCAAATTCCACAAAAAGAGTGTTACAAGTCTGCTCTGTGTAAAGGATCGTTCAACTCTGGGAGTTGAATACACACAACACAAGGAAGTTACTGAGAATTCTTCTGTCTAGCCTTACATGAAAAAAACCCGTTTCCAACGAAGGCCTCTAAGTGGTCAAAATATCCACGTGCAGACTTTACAAACAGAGTGTTTCCAAACTGCTGAATGGAAAGAAAAGTTAAACTCTGAGAGTTGAACGCACACATCGCAGAGCAGTTTCTGAGAATGATTCTGTCTAGTTTTTATACGAAGATATTTCCTTTTCTACCATCGACCTCAAAGCGGCTGAAATCTCCACTTGCAAATTCCACAAAAAGAGTGTTTCAAGTCTGCTCTGTGTAAAGGATCGTTCAACTCTGTGAGTTGAATACACACAACACAAGGAAGATTCTGAGAATTCTTCTGTCTAGCAGAATATGAAGAAATCCCGTTTCCAACGAAGGCCACAAGATGTCAGACTATGCACTTTCAGACTTTAGAAACAGAGTGTTTCCTAACTGCTCTATGAACAGAAAGGTTAAACTCTGTGAGTTGAACGAACACATCACAACGCAGTTTGTGGGAATGATTCTGTCTAGTTTTGAAACGAAGATATTTCCTTTTCTGCCATTGACCTTATAGCGCTTGAAATCTCCACTTGCCAATTGCACAAAAAGTGTGTTTCAAATCTGCTCTCTCTAAGGGAACGTTCAACTCTGTGAGCTGAATGCACACAACACAAGGAAGTTACTGGGAATTCTTCTGTCTAGCCTTACATGAAAAAAAAACCGTTTCCAACGAAGGCCTCTAAGTGGTCAAATTATCCACGTGCAGACTTTACAAACAGAGTGTTTCCAAACTGCTGAATGAAAAGAAAAGTTAAACTCGGAGAGTTGAACGCACACATCGCAGAGCAGTTTATGAGAATGATTCTGTCTAGTTTTTATACGAAGATATTTCCTTTTCTGCCTTTGGCCCCAAAGCGCTTGAAATCTCCACTTGCAAATTCCACAAAAAGAGTGTTTCAAATCTGCTCTCTCTAAATGAAAGTTCAACTCTGTCAGTTGAATACACACAACACAAGGAAGTTACTGAGAAATCTTCTGTCTAGCATAATATGAAGAAATCCCGTTTCCAACGAAGGCCTCAAAGAGGTCTGAATATCCACTTGCAGACTTTACAAACAGAGTGTCTCCTAACTGCTCTATGAAAAGAAAGGTTAAACTTTGTGAGTTGAACGCACACATCACAAAGGAATTTATGAGAATCATTCTGTTTAGTTTTTATACGAAGATATTTCCTTTTCTACCATGGACCTCAAAGCGGCTGAAATCTCCACTTGCAAATTCCACAAAAAGAGTGTTTCAAATCTGCTCTGTGTAAACCATCGTTCAACTCTGTGAGTTGGATACACACAACACAAGGAAGATTCTGAGAATTCTTCTGTCTAGCATAGTATGAAGAAATCCCGTTTCCAACGAAGGCCTCAAAGAGGTCTGAATATCCACTTGCAGAGTTTACAAACAGAGTGTTTCCTACCTGCTCTATGAAAAGAAAGGTTAAACTCTGTGAGTTGAACGCACACATCACAAAGAAGTTTCTGAGAATCATTTTGTCTAGTTTCTATAAGAAGATATTTCCTATTCTACCATTGACCTCAAAGCGGCTGAAATCTCCACTTGCAAATTCGACAAAAAGAGTGTTTCAAGCCTGCTCTCTGTAAAGGATCCTTCAACTCTGTCAGTTGAATACACACAACACAAGGAAGTTACTGAGAATTATTCTGTCTAGCAGAATATGAAGAAATCCCGTTTCCAACGAAGGCCACAAGATGTCAGAATATCCACTTACAGACTTTACAAACAGAGTGTTTCCTAACTGCTCTATGAACAGAAAGGTTAAACTCTGTGAGTTGAACGAACACATCACATCGCAGTTTGTGGGAATGATTCTGTCTAGTTTTTATACGAAGATATTTCCTTTTCTACCATTGACCTCAAAGCGGCTGAAATCACTACTTGCCAATTGCACAAAAAGAGTGTTTCAAATCTGCTCTGTCTAAGGGAACGTTCAACGCTGTGAGTTGAATGTACACAACACAAGGAAGTTACTGGGAATTCTTCTGTCTAGCCTTACATGAAAAAAACCCGTTTCCAACGAAGGCGTCTAAGTGGTCAAAATATCCACGTGCAGACTTTACAAACAGAGTGTTTCCAAACCGCTGAATGAAAAGAAAAGTGAAACTCTGAGAGTTGAACGCACACATCACGCAGCAGTTTCTGAGAATGATTCTGTCTAGTTTTGAAACGAAGATATTTCCTTTTCTTCCTTTGGCCTCAAAGCGCTTGAAATCTCCATTTGCAAATTCCACAAAAAGAGTGTTTCAAATCTGCTCTGTGTAAATGAAAGTTCAACTCTGTGAGTTGAACACACACAACACAAGGAAGTTACTGGGAATTCCTCTGTCTAGCATAATATGAAGAAATCCCGTTTCCAACGAAGGCCTGAAAGAGGTCTGAATATCCACTTGCAGACTTTACAAACAGAGTGTTTCCAAACGGCTCTATGAAAAGAAAAGTTAAATTCTGTGAGTTGAACGCACACATCACAAAGGATTTTCTGAGAATCATTCTGTCTTGTTTCTATACGAAGATATTTCCTTTTCTACCATTGACCTCAAAGCGGCTGAAATCTCCACTTGCAAATTCCACAAAAAGAGTGTTTCAAGTCTGCTCTGTGTAAAGGATCGTTCAAATCTGTGAGTTGAATACACACAACACAAGGAAGTTACTGAGAATTCTTGTGTCTAGCCTTACAGGAAAAAAACCCATTTCCAACGAAGCCCTCTAAGTGGTCAAAATATCCACGTGCAGACTTTACAAACAGAGTGTTTCCAAACTGCTGAATGAAAAGAAAAGTTAAACTCTGAGAGTTGAACGCACACATCGCAGAGCAGTTTCTGAGAATGATTTTGTCTAGTTTTTATGTGAAGATTTTTCCTTTTCTACCATTGGCCCCAAAGCGCTTGAAATCTCCAATTGGGAATTCCACAAAAAGTGTGTTTCAAATCTACTCTATCTAAAAGAAGGTTCAACTCTGTGAGTTGAATACACACAATACAAAGAAGTTACTAAGAATTCCTCTGTCTTGCAGAATATGAAGAAATCCCGTTTCCAACGAAGGCCTCAAAGAGGTCTGATTATCCACTTGCAGACTTTACAAACACAGTGTTTCCTAACTGCTCTATGAAAAGAAAGGTTAAACTCTGTGAGTTGAACGCACACATCACAAAGGAGTTTCTGAGAATCATTCTGTCTAGTTTCTATAGGAAGATATTTCCTATTCTACCATTGAACTCAAAGCGGCTGAAATCTCCACTTGCAAATTCCACAAAAAGAGTGTTTCAAGTCTGCTCTGTGTAAAGGATCGTTCAACTCTGTGAGTTGAATGCACACAACACAAGGAAGTTACTGAGAATTCTTCTGTCTAGCCTTACATGAAAAAAACCCGTTTCCAACGAAGGCCTCTAAGTGGTCAAATTATCCACGTACAGACTTTACAAACAGAGTGTTTCCAAACTGCTGAATGAAAAGAAAAGTTAAACTCTGAGAGTTGAACGCACACATCACAGAGCAGTTTCTGAGAATGATTCTGTCTAGTTTTTATACGAAGATATTCCCTTTCCTGCCTTTGGCCTCAAAGCGCTTGAAATCTCCACTTGCAAATTCCACAAAAAGAGTGTTTCAAATCTGCTCTGTGTAAATCAAAGTTCAACTCCGTGAGTTGAACACACACAACACAAGGAAGTTACTGGGAATTCTTCTGTCTATCATAATATGAAGAAATCCCGTTTCCAACGAAGGCCTCAAAGGGGTCTGAATATCCACTTGCAGACTTTATAAACAGAGTGTTTACTAACTGCTCTATGAAAAGAAAAGTTAAACTCTGTGTGTTGAACGCACACATCACAAAGGAGTTTCTGAGAATCATTCTGTCTAGGTTTTATAGGAAGATATTTCCTTTTCTAACTTTGACTTCAAAGCGGCTGAAATCTCCACTTGCAAATTCCACAAAAAGAGTGTTACAAGTCTGCTCTGTGTAAAGGATCGTTCAACTCTGTGAGTTGAATACACACAACACAAGGAAGTTACTGAGAATTCTTCTGTCTAGCCTTATATGAAAAAAACCCGTTTCCAACGAAGGCCTCGAAGAGGTCTCAATATCCACTTGCAGACTTTACAAACAGAGTGTTTCCTAACTGCTCTATGAAAAGAAAGGTTAAACTCTGTGAGTTGAACGCACACATCACAAAGGAGTTTCTGAGAATCATTCTGTCTAGTTTTTATAGGAAGATTTTTCCTTTTCTACCTTTGACTTCAAAGCGGCTGAAATCTCCACTTGCAAATTCCACAAAAAGAGTGTTACAAGTCTGCTCTGTGTAAAGGATCGTTCAACTCTGTGAGGTGAATACACACAACACAAGGAAGTTACTGAGAATTCTTCTGTCTAGCATAATATGAAGAAATAACGTTTCCAACGAAGGCCTCAAAGAGGTCTGAATATGCACTTGCAGACTTTACAAACAGAGTGTTTCCTAACTGCTCTATGAACAGAAAGGTTAAACTCTGTGAGTTGAACGAACACATCACAACGCAGTTTGTGGGAATGATTCTGTCTAGTTTTGAAACGAAGATATTTCCTTTTCTGCCATTGACCTTAAAGCGCTTGAAATCTCCACTTGCCAATTGCACAAAAAGGGTGTTTCAAATCTGCTCTGTCTAAGGGAACGTTCAACTCTGTGAGTTGAATGTACACAACACAAGGAAGTTACTGGGAATTCTTCTGTCTAGCCTTACATGAAAAAAACCCGTTTCCAACGAAGGCCTCAAAGAGGTCAAAATATCCACGTGCAGACTTTCCAAACAGAGTGTTTCCAAACTGCTGAATGAAAAGAAAAGTTAAACTCTGTGAGTTGAACGCACACATCCCAGAGCAGTTTCTGAGAAAGATTTCTGTCTAGTTTTTATACGAAGATATTTCCTTTTCTGCCTTTGACCTCAAAGCGCTTGAAATCTCCACTTGCAAATTCCACAAAAAGAGTGTTTCAAATCTGCTCTGTGTAAATGAAAGTTCAACTCTGTGAGTTGAACACACACAACACAAGGAAGTTACTGGGAATTCTTCTGTCTAGCAGAATATGAAGAAATCCCGTTTCCAACGAAGGCCTCAAAGAGGTCTGAATATCCACTTGCAGACTATACAAACAGAGTGTTTCCCAACTGCTCTATGAAAAGAAAGGTTAAACTCTGTGAGTTGAACGCACACATCACAAAGGAGTTTCTGAGAATCATTCTGTCTAGTTTCTATAGGAAGATATTTCCTATTCTACCATTGAACTCAAAGCGGCTGAAATCTCCACTTGCAAATTCCACAAAAAGAGTGTTTCAAGTCTGCTCTGTGTAAAGGATCATTCAACTCTGTGAGTTGAATACACACAACACAAGAAAGTTACTGAGAATTCTTCTGTCTAGCATAGTATGAAGAAATCCCGTTTCCAACGAAGGCCTCAAAGAGGTCTGAATATCCACTTGCAGAGTTTACAAACAGAGTGTTTCCTAACTGCTCTATGAAAAGAAAGGTTAAATTCTGTGAGTTGAACGCACACATCACAAAGAAGTTTCTGAGAGTCATTCTGTCTAGTTTCTATAGGAAGATATTTCCTATTCTACCATTGACCTCAAAGCCGCTGAAATCTCCACTTGCAAATTCCACAAAAAGAGTGTTTCAAGTCTGCTCTGTGGAAAGGATCGTTGAACTCTGTGAGTTGAATACACACAACACAAGGAAGTTACTGAGAATTCTTCTGTCTAGCAGAATATGAAGAAATCCCTTTTCCAAAGAAGGCCTCAAGGAGGTCTGAATATCCACTTGCAGACTTTACAAACAGAGTGTTTCCTAACTGCTCTATGAACAGAAAGGTTAAACTCTGTGAGTTGAACGAACACATCACAACGCAGTTTGTGGGAATGATTCTGTCTAGTTTTAAAACGAAGATATTTCCTTTTCTGCCATTGACCTTAAAGCGCTTGAAATCTACAATTGCAAATTGCACAAATAGAGTGTTTCAAATGTGCTCTGTCTAAGGGAACGTTCAACTCTGTGAGTTGAATGCACACAACACAAGGAAGTTACTGGGAATTCTTCTGTCTAGCCTTACAGGAAAAAAACCCGTTTCCAACGAAGGCCTCTAAGTGGTCAAAATATCCACGTGCAGACTTTAGAAACAGAGTGTTTCCAAACTGCTGAATGAAAAGAAAAGTTAAACTCTGAGAGTTGAACGCACACATCGCAGAGCAGTTTCTGAGAATGATTTCTGTCTAGTTTTTATACGAAGATATTTCCTTTTCTGCCTTTGGCCCCAAAGCTCTTGAAATCTCCACTTGCAAATTCCACAAAAACAGTGTTTCAAGTCTGCTCTCTGTAAAGGATCGTTCAACTCTGTGAGTTGAATACACACAACACAAGGAAGTTACTGAGAATTCTTCTGTCTAGCACAGTATGAAGAAATCCCGTTTCCAACGAAGGCCTCAAAGAGGTCTGAATATCCACTTGCAGAGTTTACAAACAGAGTGTTTCCTAACTGCTCTATGAAAAGAAAGGTTAAACTCTGTGAGTTGAACGCACATATCACAAAGAAGTTTCTGAGAATCATTTCTGTCTAGTTTTTCTACGAAGATATTTCCTATTCTACCATTGACCTCAAAGCGGCTGAAATCTCCACTTGCAAATTCCACAAAAAGAGTGTTTCAAGTCTGCTCTGTGTAAAGGATCGTTCAATTCTGTGAGTTGAATACACACAACACAAGGGAAGTTACTGAGAATTCTTCTGTCTAGCCTTACATGAAAAAAACCCGTTTCCAACGAAGGCCTCTAAGTGGTCAAATTATTCACGTGCAGACGTTACAAACAGAGTGTTTCCAAACTGCTGAATGAAAAGAAAAGTTAAACTCTGAGAGTTGAACGCACACATCGCAGAGCAGTTTCTGAGAATGATTCTGTCTAGTTTTTATACGAAGATATTTCCTTTTCTGCCTTTGGCCTCAAAGCGCTTGAAATCTCCATTTGCAAATTCCACAAAAAGGGTGTTTCAAATCTGCTCTGTGTAAATGAAAGTTCAACTCTGTGAGTTGAACACACACAACACAAGAAAGTTACTGGGAATTCTTCTGTCTAGCAGAATATGAAGAAACCCCGTTTCCAACGAAGGCCTCAAGGAGGTCTGAATATCCACTTGCAGACTTTACAAACAGAGTGTTTCTTAACTGCTCTATGAAAAGAAAGGTTAAACTCTGTGAGTTGGACGCACACATCACAAAGGAGTTTATGAGAATCATTCTGTCTAGTTTCTATAAGAAGATATTTCCTATTCTACCATTGACCTCAAAGCGGCTGAAATCTCCACTTGCAAATTCGACAAAAAGAGTGTTTCAAGCCTGCTCTCTGTAAAGGATCGTTCAACTCTGTGAGTTGAATACACACAACACAAGGAAGGTTACTGAGAATTCTTCTGTCTAGCATAATATGAAGAAATCCCGTTTCCAACGAAGGCCTCAAAGAGGTCTGAATATCCACTTGCAGACTTTACAAACAGAGTGTTTCCTAACTGCTCTATTAAAAGAAAAGTTAAACTCTGTGAGTTGAACGCACACATCACAAAGGAGTTTCTGAGAATCATTCTGTCTAGTCTTTATACGAAGATATTTACTTTTCTACCATTGACCTCAAAGCGGCTGAAATCTCCACTTGCAAATTCCACAAAAAGAGTGTTTCAAGTCTGCTCTGTGTAAAGGATCATTCAACTCACAGAGTTGAATAAACACAACACAAGGAAGTTACTGAGAATTCTTCTGTCTAGCAGAATATGAAGAAATCCCGTTTCCAACGAAGGCCACAAGATGTCAGAATATCCACTTACAGAATTTACCAACAGAGTGTTTCCTAACTGCTCTATGAAAAGAAAAGTTAAACTCTGTGAGTTGAACGAACACATCACAACGCAGTTTGTGGAAATGAT